>NC_000020.11:41466234-41769264 GCF_000001405.40 Homo sapiens | reverse complement strand
AGTAACAACAGCTAACATTGATTTAGCACCTACTGTAGACCAGGCATGGAGCCAAGTGCTTTAGAATCATTCTCTCTTTTAAGATTGCGCCACTGCAGTCCGCAGTCCGGCCTGGGCGACAGAGCGAGACTCCGTCTCAAAAAAAAAAAAAAAAGAATCATTCTCTCTTTAATCTTCAGAAAATCCAGTATGATAGCTACTGCCATTCTTATGTTTGAGATAAAGAAAAAGGCTCAGAGATGCTAAGCAACTAGCCAGAGTGACCCAGCCAGTCAGTGCAATGGTGGGATATGAGAAGTCTAGAGCCAGAGCCCAAGCTTTTCACCTTCTGCTGTCTTTACAATTAGAATCAGCTCTTCCGTGGCCATCGCCGCACCAGTGAGTTCACAGGTTCTGCAAGGCCTCAGCTGTCAAACTCCCAAAAGTAGGGCTGGTAGCCAAGGTTGGAAGATAGACAATGTAAGAGGTATGATCAGCAAAGGTTGTCACCTTTAGTGATGACCTAAAATCTTGTTTCCAGAAGGCCTATACCTGGGAAGGTAGAACTGTGTTGATTTAAAAGCTGGCATGCCCTCTTCTGTTCTACCAAGAGAAAAGGGTATCCTTGAAGGCTTCCAGTGCCTTCTGGATCACAGCAGGGTCTGGCCCACTTGCCCTGACCTGCCTCTTTTGCCTTCAACACATGAACATTTTTTTCCTTTGGCCTTCTTGCAATAAACTGTGCTGTACTTCTAAGTCAAGCAGTGTGACATACATTCAAATGACAGTCTTCACTTATGATGATTCAGGCCTCTTAAGTAACCAATCATTGTGACATTGAATGAGCTTAATTATCAGAGCACTTCAGTGCATAAATAACCATGCACACCCTGTTAGCCAGGCTGAAAGCTCTAACCGAATTCAGCAGTCTGGTCTCATCTGGCAAAAAAAAAACAACTCTCTGGAATTTGGTCCTGACGCTTTACCCTGCATTGTCAGGGTGACTGGAAGGGTCGACCCAGTGGAGCTGCAAACTCCCTAGGCTGACTCTTTTTGGAAAGACCCAAGTCTCTTCTCTTCAACAGGCAACTTGACTAAAGAGCAGAAAATATGGGTAACTTTAAAAGGAACTGATTCAATGGGAGCATCTCTTTTCAAAGTGCTTTCGGACGCAGCATCTCATTTAATCCACTCAATGATTGTAGAGGCTTCAGCCTCCTACACAGTGCTTGGAGCTTAATCAATATTAACTGAATGAATGGCAATCTAGAGATGAGAAAACTAGAGGTCAGAAGTTACATGGCTACTGGGCACAGTGGCTCACGCCTGTAATCCCAGCATTTTGGGAGGCCAAGCCGGGAGGATCACCTGAGGTCAGGAGTTCGAGACCAGCCTGTCCAACATGATGAAACCCTGTCTCTACTAAAAATACAAAAAATTAGCCAGGCCTGGTGGTGCACCTGTAATCCCAGCTACTCAGGAGGCTGAGGAAGAGAATTGCTTGAACCTGTGAGGCGAAGGTTGCAGTGAGCTATGATTGCGCCACTGCACTCCACCCTGGGTGACAGAGCAGGACTATGATTGCGCCACTGCACTCCAGCCTGGGTGACAGAGCAGGACTATGATTGCGCCACTGCACTCCAGCCTGGGTGACAGAGCAGGACTCCATCTTTAAAAAAAAGAAGTTGTTACATGGCTGGGCCAGGTGCAGTGGCTCACGCCTGTAATCTCAGCACTTTGGGAGGCCGAGGTGGGTGGATCACTTGGGGTGATCCATGGATCAGGCCAACATGGAGAAGTGGCCAAAATGGCGAGACCCAGCTTGGCTGACATGGCGAAACACCATCTCTACAAAAATACAAAAATTAGTCGTGCCCGTAGTCCCAGCTACTTGGGAGGCTAAGGCACGAGAAACACTTGAACCCTGGAGGTGGAGGTTGCAGTGAGCTGAGATCGCATCACTGTGCTCCAGCCTGAGCGACAGAGCAAGTCTCTGTCTCAAAAAGAAAAAAAAAAAAAGTTACATGGCTAGTCCACGCTGACCCAGTCGGTCTGCGGCAAGCCTAGCTCTTAATCTCAGAACTGCCAACTCAGTTATCAGATAGACAATCTGAGACTAATCAGGCAAGCAGCATTCTTACCATAGCTTATCTTTCCAGACCTAGGTCCACCAGCCTTGAACAGGCCCTGAGACTCATGTTCTTTCAGCTCCATCATCTGCCCAGGGAGCCAGCGCAGACCTGAGGACCACCCTGAACAAACTACAGCAGCAATGCATGGTCAAAAGTCCAGGCAGTTGGGTCCTTACACCTCCCAAAGCATGCTCTCAATTTTCTCTTTGACAACAACCTCCTCCCTCTAGGTTCCAAAGATAAGAGTCTCCCTAGCTATCTACCCCTTCTGCACCATCTAACCCAGCATTTCTTGATCTTTTTTTTTTTTCATCTAGGCCTTTTTTTTATTATTTCACTTTAAGTTCTAGGGTACATGTGCACAATGTGCAGGTTTGTTACATATGTATACATGTGCCATGTTGGTGTGCTGTACCTGTTAACTTGTCATTTACATTAGGTATATCTCCTAATGCTATCCCTCCCTGCTCCCCCTACCTGATGACAGGCCCCAGTGTGTGATGTTCCCCACCCTGTGTCCGTGTGTTCTCATTGTTCAATTCCCGCCTATGAGTGAGAACATGCGGTGTTTGGTTTTCTATCCTTGCAATAGTTTGCTCAGAATGATGGTTTCCACCTTCATCCATGTCCCTATAAAGGACACGAACTCATCCTTTTTTATGGCTGCATAGTATTCCATGGTGTATATGTGCCACATTTTCTTAGTCCAGTCTATCATTGATGGACGTTTGGGTTGGTTCCAAGTCTTTGCTATTGTGAATAGTGCTGCAGTAAACATACGTGTGCATGTGTCTTTATAGCAGCATAATTTATAATCCATTGGGTATACGCCCAGTAATGGGATGGCTGGGTCAAATGGTATTTCTAGTTCTAGATCCTTGAGCAACTGCCACACTGTCTTCCACAAGGGTTGAAGTAGTTTACAGTCCCACCAACAGTGTAAAAGTCTTCCTATTTCTCCACATCCTCTCCAGCACCTGTTGTTTCCTGACTTTAATGATCGCCATTCTAACTGGTGTGAGATGGTATCTCATTGTGGTTTTGATTTGCATTTCTCTGATGGCCAGTGATGATGAGCATTTTTTTATGTGTCTGTTGGCTGCATAAATGTCTTCTTTTGATAAGTGTCTGTTCATATCCTTCACCCACTTGTTGATGGGGGTGATTTTTTCTTGTAAATTTGTTTAAGTTCTTTGTAGATTCTGGATATTAGCCCTTTGTCAGATGAGTAGATTGTAAAAATTTTCTCCCATTCTGTAGGTTGCCTGTTCACTCTGATGGTAGTTTCTTCTGCTGTGCAGAAGCTCTTTGGTTTAATTAGACCCCATTTGTCAATTTTGGCTTTTGTTGCCATTGCTTTTAGTGTTTTAGTCATGAAGTCCTTGCCCATGCCTATGTCCTGAATGGTATTGCCTAGGTTTTCTTCTAGAGTTTTTATGGTTTTAGGTCTAACATTTAAGTCTTTAATCCATCTTGAATTGATTTTTGTATAAGGTGTAAGGAAGAGATCCAGTTTCAGCTTTCTACATATGGCTAGCCAGTTTTCCCAGCATCATTAAATAGGGAATCTTTCCCCATTTCTTGTCTTTGTCAGGTTTGTCAAAGATCAGATGGTTGTAGATGTGTGCTATTATTTCCAAGGGCTCTATTCTGTTCCATTGGTCTGTATCTCTGTTTTGGTACCAGTACCATGCTATTTTGGTTACTGTAGCTTTGTAGTATAGTTTGAAGTCAGGTAGCGTGATGCCTCCAGCTTTGTTCTTTTGGCTTAGGATTGACTTGGCAATGTGGGCTCCTTTTTGGTTCCATATGAACTTTAAAGTAGTTTTTTCCAATTCTGTGAAGAAAGTCATTGGTAGCTTGATGGGGATGACATTGAATCTATAAATTACCTTGGGCAGTATGGCCATTTTCACAATATTCATTCCTCCTATCCATTTGTGTTTCTTGACCTTTTTGTTCAAGTACTACATTGGTAATCTGTTGAAGCCTATGAATCACTTCTCAGAATACTATTTTTAAATGCACAAAATAAAAAACAATGGGTGACACAGGAAACCAAAAATATTAAAATACACTCATCAAAATGTTTTTAAAATATGCTATAAGAATATATGGGCTTCTTTATTAATGTATTAAACGAGATGTATCAGAGGGCCTAATAATATCCATAATTTCAAAGTAGTGAGTATGAATGATGTTTGATGTATCTGCAATGACTCTAATGTGAAATTAAAATATCTGTGATTTTTTTTTTACTGGTAACAAAGTCACAGACACTGTTAATACTACTGTAATTTGGTGCCTACATTCAGTAACTGAAAGAAATGGTAAATTTCAATTAGATATTAGAGAAAATAGAAACGTAATATTTTTCCCTTCTGAGTTCATAGACTCCCAGAATTCTATCAAAGACTTTTCAATGGACCCCAAGTTAAGAACCCCTACTCTGATCCCGAATTTGCCAGTACCCATCCCCTCTGGTCTCAGAGAAGGATGGAAGAAAGAGCTGTCTAAGTCAGCATTGTTAACCCAGGCTGCCCCGTAGTTATCTTCAAGCAGGGTCCTTGAGCCTCAAGCATTGCAGAATCCCACCTCAGCATTGCAGTATTGAGCCTCAGCATTGCAGAAGCCCACCTCCACTTGTTCCCCCATAGGCTGTCTCCTAGAGCCTTGGCTTCCTACCTCACATTAGTGCTAGTCTTTCTTTTCACATTTCCCTTTTTGCCAACTTTTCTCTTTAGTTGTACACAAGTCATACCCCACTTTTTTTTTAGCCTTCAACTCATATCATCCCCCATTACAGCATCTTCACTTGGAAACTCACAGTGCCTACCACACTTTCTATAATCACAGTGCACAATGGCAAGAGAACACCAGCCCCTGTCTGTTTACAATAGGTGTCTCCAGTGTCAGGGTGGAGCAGCCTCTGCTGTACAATATCCATCCCTGCCTCAACTACCAGAGAACCAGTTATTGCCTTATAATTACCCTGTAATATACTATAAAGACTAGACACTTCTCCCTGAGTTGAATTTACATCATGATAAGAAGCATGGACTCTGTCTTCACAGCAACATGATGTTAATATAAGATACTGACAGGTTCAGCTCTTTTCGGTAGAAAGTATGTGTTCATCATACACCCTCCCAAGACTAAACCAGGAAGAAGTCAAATCCCTGAATAGACCAATAATAAATTCTGAAATTGAGGCAGTAATTAATAGTCTACTAAAATCCCAGAACCAGACAGATTCACAGCCAAATTTTACCAGAGTTACAAAGAGGAGCTGGTATAATTCCTCCTGAAACTATTCCAAACAATAAAAAAAGAGAGACTCCTCCCTAATTCATTTTATCAGGCCAGCATCATCCTGATACCAAAACCTGGCAGAGACACAACAAAAAAGGAAAATTTCAGGCCAATATCCCTTATGAACATCAATGCAAAAATCCTCAATAAAATACTGGCAAACAAAATCCAGCAGCACATCAAAAAGCTTATCCACCACAATCAAGTTGGCTTCATCCCTGGGATGCAAGGCTGGTTCAACATACACAAATCAATAAACATAATCCATCAAATTAACAGAACCAATGACAGAAACCACATGATTGTCTCAATAGAGGCAGAAAAGGCCTTTGGTAAAATTCAACACCCCTTCATGCTAAAAACAATAAACTAGGTATTGATGGAACATATTTCAAAATAGTAAGAGCTATTTATGACAAACCCATAGCCAATATCATACTGAATAGGCAAAAGCTGGAAGCATTCCCTTTGAAAACCAGCACAAGACAAGGATGCCCTCTCTCACCACTCCTATTCAACTACTGGAAGTTCTGGCCAGGCCAATCAGGCAAGAGATAGAAATAAAGATTATTCAAATAGCAAGAAGAGCAAGTCAAATTGTCTCTGTTTGCAGATGACATGATTGTATATTTAGAAAACCCTGTCGTCTCAACCCAAAATCTCCTTAAGCTGATAAGCAACTTCAGCAAAGTCTCAGGATACAAAATCAATGTGCAAAAATCACAAGCATTCCTATACACCAATAACAGACAAACAGCCAAATCATGAGTGAACTCCCATTCACAATTGCTACAAAGAGAATAAAATACCTAGGAATCCAACTTACAAGGGATGTGAAGGACCTCTTCAAAGAGAACTACAAACCACTGCTCAAGGAAATAAGAGAGGGCACAAAGACATGGAAAAACATTCCATGCTCATGGATAGGAAAAAATAATATTGTGAAAATGGCCATACTGCCCAAAGTAATTTATAGATTCAATGCTATTCCCATCAAGCCACCATTGAATTTCTTCACAGAATTAGAAAAAACTACTTTACATTTTATATGGAACCAAAAAACAGCCTGTATAGCTAAGACAATCCTAAGCAAAAAGAACAAAGCTGGAGGCATCATGCTACCTGACTTCAAACTACAAGGCTGCAGTAACCGAAATAGCATGGTACTGGTTACAAAACAGATATATAGACCAATGGAACATAACATAAGCCTCAGAAATAACATCACACACCTACAATAATCTGATCTTTGACAAACCTGACAAAAATAAGCAATAAGGAAAGGATTCACTATTTAATAAGTGGTGTTGGGAAAACTGGCTAGCCGTATGCAGAAAACTGAAACTGGACCCCTTCCTTAAACCTTATACAAAAATTAACTCAAGATGGATTAAAGATTTAAACGTAAGAACTAAACCCATAAAAACCCTAGAAGAAAACCTAGGCTATACCATTCTGGACATAGGCATGGGCAAAGACTTCATGACTAAAACACCAAAAGCAATTGCAACAAAAGCCAAAATTGACAAATGTGATCTAATTAAACTAAAGAGCTTCTGCACAGCAAAAGAAACTATCATCAGAGTGAATAGGCAACCTACAGAATGGGAGAAAATTTTTGCAATGTATCCATCCAACAAAGGTCTAATATCCAGAATCTACAAAGAACTTATACAAATTTACAAGAAAAAAACAAACAACCCCATCAAAAAGTGGGTGAAGGATATGAACAGACACTTCTCAAAGAAGACATTTATGTGGCCAACAAACATATGGAAAAAAAAAAAGGCTCATCATCACTGGTCATCAGAGAAATGCATATCAAAACCACAATGAGATACCATCTCACACCACTTAGAATGGCGATCATTAAAACGTCAGGAAACAACAGATGCTGGAGAGGATGTGGAGAAATAGGAATGCTTTTACACTGTTGGTGGGAGGGTAAATTAGTTCAACCATTGTGGAAGACAGTGTGGCAATTCCTCAAGGATCTGGAACCACAAATACCATTTGACCTAGCAATTCCATTACTGGGTATATACCCAAAGGATTATAAATCATTTTACTGTAAAGACATATGCACATCCATTTTTATTGCAACGCTATTCACAATAGCAAAGACTTGGAACCAACCCAAATGCCCATCAATAATAGACTGGATAAAGAAAATGTGGCACATATACACCATGGAATACTATGCAGCCATAAAAAAGGATAAGTTCATGTCCTTTGCAGGGACATGGATGAAGCTAGAAACCATCATTCTCAGCAAACTAACACAAACCAAACAGAAAACCAAACGCCGCATGTTCTCACTCATAAGTGGGAGTTGAACAATAAGAACACATGGACGCAGGGAGGGGGGCATCACACACTGGGGCCTGTCAGGGGGTGGGGGGCAAGGGGAGGGATAGCATTAGGACAAATACCTAATGCATGTGGGGCTTAAAACCTAGATGATGGGTTGATGGATGCAGCAAACCACCATGGCACATGTATACCTATGTAACAAGCCTGCATGTTCTGCACATGTATCCTGGAACTTAAAGTATAATTTAAAAAAAAAAAAGGAAACTTCAAAATGAAAGGAAATCAATAGGAAGTGTGCTGGAGAATTGATTATTAAATAATTGATAGGCCAAGTGTATGCAAAAGAGGAAATAGAGAAGTCTCCAGCCCCTGAAGACACTGGAAGTAGAAAAGTACTTGCTCTCTTGCCAATGTAGAAACTAAAAACAAACTTTGGAAATTATCTGAGCATATGCTTGGGCACTTTGCAACTGAGTTTCTTTTGCAATTTACATTTGAGCAAGAGGTGATGTTGATTGGATCTCTTCTTGAGCTCTCTTGGCTTTTACAACTTGTAGTCAAGGAAAACACATAAACCCACATCTCTTGCTCCCACTGTTCCCATATGTGTGTGCAAAATAGCCGTTGTCTATTACTATTATTATTTTTATTATTATTATTATCTGTTTTGAGGGCATTTGAGGTTGTACAAATAATTTTCCATTTTTAATTAGGGAACAAATGTTTCTAAGAACTCTTTGAACCAACAAAACTCTCATAGAAATGGGCAGGAAGAAGAGATATCACACAGCTATCAGAACAGAGCCACATAATAAAAACAGCTAATATCTATAGCTAGTATCTAGAACTACATAATAAAAATAGCTAACACTTAAGTGCAGGCAATGCCTTACATGTAGTTTCTCCTGTAATTCTCACAACAACGCTGTGAGATAACTGCCATTTTATCCTCATTTTACAGATAAGAAAATAGGGCTTGGGGAAGGGAATTAACTTACTTAACTTCACATGGCTACTATCATAGAATCAAGACCTAGGAAAACACTCTGGTACACCTCTCCCAATTTACTAGTCCTTTGGAGAAAAAATTAAGCTGGATGCCTATCTCACTCTTTACACACACAAAAAAAAATCAATCAAAGATGTAAAAATAAAAAGGGTATGCAAAAGAATACCATAAGGAAATTTAGGTAAATAGTTTTATAACTCCAGGATGGGGAAGGCATTTTTAAATCATCACGTCAATAACAGAAACCAAACAGGAAAGACTGACAGATTGTACTACATAAAAATGTAGGGCCAGGCACAGTGGCTCATGCCTGTAATCCCAGCACTTTGGGAGGCCAAGGCGGGCAGATCACCTGAGGTCAGGAGTTCGAGACCAGCCTGGCCAACATGGCGGAACCCCATCTGTACTAAAAATACAAAAATTACCCAGGCATGGTGGCAGGTGCCTGCAATCCCAGCTACTTGGGAGGCTAAGGCAGGAGAATCGCTTGAACCCAGAAGGAGGAGGTTGCAGTGAGCTGAGATCGTACCATTGCACTCCAGCCTGGGTGACAGAGCAAGACTCTGTCTCAAAAAAACAAAAAACAAAAAAACAAAAAAAAAACATAAACCTTCTGTGTGACCAATAAATAAACTTGGAAAAATATTTTCAACATATGTTTGTTACAGACAAAAGGTTAGCATTACTCATAGAGACATAAATTACCAAACAAATGGTAAATAACAGAAAGTGATAACTTACAAAAGATATAAAAATAGCTAGTGAACATGTGACCTCCTAATATAATAGGGAGAGTTATATTAAGGATTTAATGTAGCAGCATAAGAAAACTCAACCTTATTATTGGCTTCTGCTACTTAAGAGAAGCATGTCTTTCTCAAGCCCAGGAGAAGTAAATTGGGTCTTTTATGGTCCTAAGGTCTGGGCCTTGGAAGTCTATACCATTAAACTACATTTGGGAAAGTAGGGAGAAACAGAGATGAGAGAAGGAGCTGGAGAAAGAGTGGCCAAATGCTGGGGTAAGAGGAAATTTCTGCCTGGAATGTCTTAGGTCAAGTTTCCTAGGAGCAGAGCTTGAGATGGGCATTTGAGTGCAAATTTCTCATTAAGGGAGAGCTCTCAGGTAAAAATTGTAAACAAAAAACAGTAGAGAAAACTAAGCCCAAAGCAAGTAGAAGGAAGTACTAAAGGTTACGTAGAAATTAGTGAAAGAGCAAATTTTAAAAGACGATCAACAAAAGCAAAAGTTGATTATTTGAAAAGATGAACAAAACTGACAAACTGTTAGTTAAAAATAGAAGAGAGAAAGAGAAAGACTCAAGTTACTAAAATCAAGAATGAAACAAGAGACATTACTAATGGCCTTACAGGAAGAAAAAGGATTACATGGTAGTATTGTGAACAAATGTATGCCAACATATTAGATAACTTATATGAAACAGACAAACTATTAAAACTTACTCAAGAAGAAATAGAAAGTTTGAGTAGATATATAACAAGTCAAAAGACTGAATTCGTAAGTTAAAAACATGTCACGAAGAAAAGCCCAGGCCCACATGACTTTACTGGTAAATTCTACCAAACATTTAAAAAATAAGTAAAACCATTTCTTCACAAACTCCTTCAAAAATTAGAAGAGGAGGTAACATTTCCCAACTCATTCTATGAGGCCAGCATTACCCTGATGCCCAAACCAGATGAAGATATCATAAGAAAAGAAAACTATAGGCCAATTGCTCTAATGAATATAGACACAGAACATGCTCAAAAAAACACTAGCAAACTTAATCCAGCAATATATAAAAAGGATCATATTACCATGACAAAGTACAATTATCTCAGAAACACAAGGTTGGCTTAGCATCTGAAGATCAATTAATGTAAGGTACCATATCAATAAGGGACAAAAACCAAATGATCACCTCAAGAGATGGAGGGAAATCAAATATTTATCAAAATAAATATACTTCATAAACAAGAAATAGAAGAGAATTTTCTCAACTTCATAAAGGGCATCTATGAAAAACTCATAGCCAGCATCATAGTAAATAATGAAAGACTAAATACTTTCCCCCTAAGATCAGGAACAAGACAAGGATGTTCACTTATATTTAACATTGTACTGGAGGTTCTAGCAAGACCAATTAGGCAAGAAAAAGAAAAAAAAGGCATCCCGATTAGAAAATAAGTAAATTATCTCTATTTAAGATGAAAGAATCTTATATACAGAAAATTCTAAGAAAACCACTGAAAAATAATTTGAACTAATAAATGTTTAGCGAGGTTTGAGGATATAAAATCAATATACAAAAATCAATTGTATTTATAGATTCAATGCTATTCCCATTAAACTACAATTGACATTCTTCACAGAATTAGAAAAAACTATTTTAAAATTCATATGGAACCAAAAAAGAGCCTGAATAGCCAAGATGATCCTAAGCAAAAAGAACAAAGCCAGAGGCATCATACTACCTAACTTAAAACTACACAAGCCTACAGAAACCAAAACAGCATGGTACTGGTACCAAAACAGACACACAGACCAATGGAACAGAATAGAGTACCCAGAAATAAGACCACACACCTACAACCATCTGATTTTTCACAAACCTGACAAAAACAAGCAATGGGAAAGGGTTCCCTATATAATAAATGCAGAAAATTGAAACTGGACCCCTTCCTTAAACATATACAAAAATCAACTCAAGATGGATTAAAGATTAAATGTAAAACCCAAAATTATAAAAATCCTAGAGGAAAACTTAGGCAATACCATTCAGGACATAGGCATGGGAAAAAAATTAATGACAAAGATGCCAAAAGCAATTGCAACAAAAGCAAAAATTGACAAATGGGATCTAATTAAACTAAAGAGCTTCTGCACAGCAAAAGACACTATCATCACAGTAAACAATCTATTTGCAATCCATCATCTGACAAAGGTCTAACATCCAGCATCTACAAAAAACTTAAACAAATTTACAAGAAAAAAACAACCCCATTAAAAGTAGGAAAACAACATGAAAAGACACTTCTCAAAAGAAGACATACATGCATCTAACAAACACATGAAAAAAAGCTCAACATCACTGATCATCAGAGAAATGCAAATCAAAATCTCAATGAGATACCATCTCACACCAGTCAGTATGGCCATTATTAAAAAGTCAAAAAAAAAAAAAAAAAACAGATGTTGGCAAGGTTGTGGAGAAAAAGGAATGCTTCTACACTGTTGGTGGAAGTGTTAATTAGTCCAACCATTGTGGAAGAGAGTGTGGCAATTCCTCAAAGACCTAGAGGCAGAAATATCATTTGACCCAGCAATCCCATTACTGGGTATATATCCAAAGGAATATAAATCATTCTATTATAAAGAGACACGCAAGTGTATGTTCACTGCAGTACTATTTACAATAGCAAATACATGAAATCAACCTAAATGCCAATCAATTATAGACTGAATAAAGAAAATGTCGTACATAGACACCATGGAATACTATGCAGCCATAAAAAGGAACAAGATCATGTCCTTTGCAGGGACATAGATGGAGCTGCAAACTAACACAGGAAGAGAAAATCAAATACTGCATGTTCTCACTAATAAGTAGGAGCTGAATGATAACACATGGACACATAGGGGTGAACAACAATCACTGGGGCCTGTCAGAGGAGAGCATCAGGAAGAACAGCTAGTGAATGCTGGGCTTAACACCTAGCTGAAGGGATGATATATGCAGCAAACTAGCATGGCACACATTTACCTATGTAACAAACCTGTACATCCCACACAGGTACCCCTGAACTTAAAATAAATGTTGGAAGTCAAACAAAAATGAAAACAAAAATCAATTGTATTTTTATACATTAGCAATGAACAACCCAAAAAGGAAAACTAAGCAAACAATTCTATTTATAATGGCATCAATAAGAATAAAATATTTGAGGGGATATTTAACAAAAGAATTACAAAATTTATATTGTGAAAACTCCATCAGTAGCTGTCAGGGGAAATGCAAGTCAAAACACAATGAGATACTACTTCACACCCACTATATGGTCCATAATCAAAAATACAGATAATAAGTATTGGTGAGGAGGTGCACACATTGGAATCCTCATACACTGCTGGTGTAAAATGTTGTACCCACTTTGGAAAACAGAAGACAATAAAACAGCATGGCAGTTCCTCAAAAGTTTAGACAGTTACCACGTGACCCAGCAATTCTATATGTCTAGAAGTTCATTTTCATTCTTTCTGTTTAGAAATTCTAGCATTAAAGGCAATAAATTTTCCACCCACATTTGCTGTAGTTGCATCCCAGAAGACACACATTTTAAAGCTTTTTTCCTGATTATAAAAATAACACATTATTTTTGTAAAGATAGGTATATACTCAAGAGAAACGAAAACATGACCACACAAAAAAATTGTACATGGATGAGCATAGCAAGGATAATAGCAAAAAGTAGAAACAACTCAAATGTCTATCAAGTGATGAATAAATAAAATGTGGTATACCCATATAATGTAATATTGTTCCATAATAAAATGGAATGAAGCACTGTTACTTCATGGATGTAACATTTATATACCTTGAAAACATCCTAAATAAAAGAAGCCAGTCACAAAAGACCACATATTATATCATTCCATTGATATGAAATGTCCAGAATAGGCCAATCTATAGACATGAGAGTAGATTGGTGACTGCCTAGGGCTCAGGAGATTGGAATAAATATGGGGAGTGACTGCTGGTGGGTAGTTTTCTTGTTGACATGATGAAAATGCTCCACAATTTATTGTGGTGATGGTTGCACAACTCTCTGAGTATACTAAAACTCATGGAACTGTACACTTTAAACTGGTAGATTATATGGTAGGTGAATTATATCCCAATACAATTGTTATATAAAAAAGAAATTGGCTGGGTGCAGTGGCTCACACCTGTAATCCCAGCACTTTGGGAGGCAGAGGCAAGCAGATCGCTTGAGCCCAGGAGTTCAAGATCAGCCTGGGCAACACGGTGAAACCCCATCTCTACAAAAAATACACAAATTAGCCGGGTGTGGTGGCACATGCCTGTAGTCCTAGCTGCTTGGAAAGCTGAGGTGGGACCATCTCTTGAGCCCAGGAGGTCGAGGCTGCAGTGAGCCATGATCGGGCCACTGCATTCCAGCCTGGGTGACAGAGTGAGAAAGAGTGAGAGAGAAGGAAAGAAGGAGAGAAAGAAAGAGAGGAAGAAAGGAAGAAAGAGAGGAAGAGAGAGAGAGAGAAAGAGAGAGAAAAGAAAGAAAGAAAAGAGAAAGAAAGAAAAGAGAATGAAAAGAAAGAAAGAAAAAGAAAGAAGCAATCAATGTTTTTGTGATAATATCAAATTTGAATTCAAAGTAAAAAGATAAGGCCGGGCATGGTGGCTTATGCCTGTAATCCTAGTACTTTGGGAGGCCAAGACAGGCAGACTGCCTGAGCTCAGGAGTTCGAGACCAGCCTGGACAACACGATGAAACCCTAAAATACAAAAAATTAGCCAGGTGTGGCGGCGTGTGCCTATAGTCCCAGCTACTCACGAGGCTGAGGCAGTAGAAATTGCTTGAACCCAGGAGGCAGAGGTTGCACTGAGCCAAGACTGCACCACTGCACTCCAGCCTGGGTGACAGAGCAAGGCTCTGTCTCAAAAAAAACAAAAAAAGATATTAAACTGGAAGAATGGGGCCAATTATAATAAAAATAGTACTGCATGATGAAAACATAGATACTTTGAACGTTCAAGCACTAAGTAGCATGTGTCATCAAAATATGTAATACAGAAACTGTTGTAAATACAAGGAGAACTTAAAAAAAAAAAAAAAAGACTCACAGTTCTTATCCCAGGACAGATCAAGGGGACTAAAAATAATCAAAACTGCACAGGACCTGATTAATAAAATTTATAAGGTCTATCCAATAGATAAATTTCAAACTCTACACCTTCAAAATGTATGCTCAAAATATATGCTCAAAAACAAGCATACATTTTAAGGCCCCATAGATTGTTTACAGAAGTTAATTCTAAAGAAAACTTACTAAATCCACACCAGTATGGAGATTCCTTAGAGGACTAAAAGTAGAACTACCATTTGATCCCGCAATCCCACTACTCAGTATCTATCCAGAGGAAAAGAAATCATTATATGAAAAAGACACTTGCACATACATGGTTATAACAGCACAATTCGTAATTGCAAAAATATGGAACGAGCTTAAATGCCCAACAACCAATGAGTAGATTTTTAAAATATGGTATCTATATACCATGGGATACTAGTCAGCCATAAAAAGAAGGAAATAATGGCATTCACAACAAAGTGGATAAAGTTGGAGACCATGATTCTAAGTAACTCAGGAATGGAAAACCAAAACTGTATGTTCTCAATTATAAGTGGAAGCTAAGTTTGAGGACACAAAGGCGTAAGAATGATGTGATGAACTTTGGGGACTCAGGCGGAAGGGCAAGAGGGAGGTAAGGGATAAAAGACTACACATGGGTACAGTGGACACTGCTCGGGTGATGACTGCACCAAAATCTCAGAAATTACCACTAAAGAACTTATCCATGTAACCAGGAACCACCTGTCCCCAAAAACTATTGAAATTTAAAAATAAAGGAGAAAAAAAGAAATAGCACATAACACATTCTTCAAAAATACCATAAAATTGAGTAACAAAAAATGGCACAAAAGTTGACACAAACAAAAAAAGGAAGCCTAATTAGTAAGAAACATCCTGTCTCCTGAACAACTTTTGTTTCAAACAAAAATCAGAAATCAAAACCGCACTGAGCTACATGCTCCACCAGTTATAAGACCTGGTTGCTCCTTTCAAAGGTTTTGCAAACCATGTTTTTCACAGAAGCATAACTAGATAGATGCTAGATTTGCTAGATGTGTTGCTGGCTCCAGCTGGTGTCAAAATTAATCTGTGTCCCTGTATTTGTTCTATTTAATTGTGCTTTGATTACTTTTTACTTATGTCCATTTATTCCTAAACCAGTGTGAAATCTACTCATATTTTATTTATCGATAAGTTCATGTTCATTCTTTCTGTTTAGAAATTCTAGCATTAGAGGCAATAAATTTTCCACTTATAATTGCTGTAGTTGCATCTCAGAAGATATACATTTTAAAGCTTTTTTCCTGATTATAAAAGTAACACATTGTTTTTGTAAAGATAAAAGTAAATATTCAGGAATATATAAATTAGATTATGAAGTCCTCTCTTCTGTAATTCCATTCCCTACTACAACCACCCCTCAACCAATACCTTAACTAATTTTACAATTTGGCGAATATTCCTTTAAAAACTTTCCAGGCTATGAAGGGTATATATGTATATAATAATCTCTTTTTAACAGAAATGGAATCATACTTTTGTACTTTACATAAAATTTGTTCTTTTCACCTAAGCATATAAATGGTAACCCTCCATATTGGTACATATAGGCTTCTCTCAATGGAAACATGATATTCAGTTGTATGGCTGTAATCACATGCATTTAACAAGCTCCCTCTCGACTGACATTTCAGTTGTTTACAATTTTGGATATTACAAACACTGCTGCAATAAATATTCTTACTCATACATCTTTGCACACTTGTACAAATATGTATATTACTGTAAGATTTGTCATTTTCTCATGATTATCCCTCAGGTACCAAACAAGATTGCCTAGGACTACAAACAAGGTTGTCTAAGACAACGACCCTCATTTTAAAGTAGAATGACTGAAGAAACAACAGGAAATGCCTACTTAATATGGTTTTATATGGTTCCGTGTAGGTGGAAATAGAAAAATTGCAGAAGAAATACAGGAAGGGACCTAAATGGAATTATTTTAAAAAGAAAATCAAAAAAAGAGGATTTCAGGTCTTATAAAGTATGAAACCAACTTGGTAGGTTTCAAAACTTGTGGGGTGCTACAGACTAACTTCTACCCTATGGACTCTCCTGTCATCAGTCAGTGCAGGTAAAAATTCACATACACCCAGCTTTGACAGTTCTACTAGTCAATGTGGGTACATAAAGGTAACCACGCACCAAGAAAACAAAGCCTAGGATCAAAATAAGCAAGAAAAACTTCTGCTTGAATATTCTCCCTACCCTCACTATTGCCAAGGGGGCTGAGCCCACCTGGAGTGGGGAGCAGAACGGGGTGTTAAAACAATCAAGTAATCCTAACTAGAGGGAACAGAAGGAATAACTGAAGATAACAGAAATTAATTAATTTGAAAATGGAGCTCAGTTTGTTATTTTTCAAAAGCTCCAAGAGTTCTTATTTCTAAAAATATAAAAAATTAAATAGATAAACCAGTATAGGCTCAGGCTGAGCAAAGTCTACCCTGGCATATATGAAAGAATGTTAGTGGCGTTCAGGGCAAGGTGTGATGAGAAATAATTCTGGAAAAGTTGACATGTATCAGACAAAGGACAGTCTTGGGCATCACACTAAAGAATGTGGACTCTATCCAGGGGACAACTGGGACTGCTTTGCACCTTTTTTTTTTTTAAATTGGAGACAGGGTCTCACTCTGTTGTCCAGTCTGAAGTGCAGTGGCACAATGGTAGTTCACTGTAACCTCAAACTTTTGGGCTCAAGCAATCCTCCTGCCTCAGCCTCCTGAGTAGCCAGGACTACAGGTGCACACACTACACCCAGCTAAATTTTTCTATTTTTTATAGGGACAGAGCGTCACTATGTTGCCCAGGCTGGTCTCAAACTCCTGGCCTCCAGCAATCCTCTCACCTTAGCCTCCCAAGCCACTGGTATTACAGGTGTGAGCCACGATGCCCGGCCTAATTTTCACTTTTAAGCAGAGGCGTAGCATGATTACTTTTTAGTCTTGGAGCAATTGCAGTGAACAGTAGGATGGAGGAGGGAACTTTGAGGCAGTGAGAACAAAAAAGAGACTGTAGCAATTCTCCAAATGAGAACTAACATGGACAGTGGCAATGAATAAAGAACATGGTTCTTAGAGAAACAAAGAGAAAAGGGGAAGTATCAGAAGACACTCCGTTTCATTGTTGGATAAATGTTTCCTTATCTATAAAATGAGGATAATTTTCAATACTGTTATTGTAAAGATTATAAAAGTGGGTTTGTTTCTAGTTAACCTATAACTTCTATCTTTGTTTGAGCAAAAATTTGCTGCAGCTTAAATTAGAGTAATGGATGTTGTCTTAATCCGTTTGTGCTGCTATAACAGAACGCCTGAGGCTGGGTAACTTATAAAGAAGAGAAATGGCTTTCTCACAGTCCTGGAGGCTGCCAAGTCCAAGATCAAGACACCAGCATCTGGTGTCTGGTGAGGGCCTTCTTGCTATGTGCTCACATAGGAGAAGGTGAAAGGACAAAAAGGAGATGAATGCTGTGTCCTCACATGGCAAAAAAGCAGAAGAGAACAAACTCACTCCTGCAAGCTCTTTTCATAGCAGCATTAATCCATTCATGAGGCAGAAGCCTTATGACCTAAAGAGCCCTCCCATGAGGCCTGAGCCCCCAACACTGTTGCACTGAGGATTAAGCTTCCAACACATTAATTTGGGGGATGCATTCACACCATAGCAGATATAAACACACTACACAATGCCCCATGAATGTGCACTATTGCCATTTATTACTAGCAGTGGCACATCCATGAATGTTCATGAGTTTAGAGACTGAGTTTGCCATGCTGTGCAGGACAGGGCAGAGGGGCAGCTTGGTGGGCTCTGCCCAGCAGATGATTCCAAGGCCAAGGTTTATCAAACAAATATTGGAGTCGTGAGCTCAGTGTGTCTGAAACCAGAGCACTCACTGTGAGTCAGACCCTGTACCACATACACTGTATGTGTTTATTTCACTTTATTTTCAGAACAAGGATTTTTTTTAAAGACTTTACAGATGACAAAATGCAAGGCTTTTTCTACTTATGAGATTAATCAGCCTCATCCGTGGAAGTCAGAGGGGCCCACACTTACTTCTCCATGCTTTCCCTATGATGCATAACCCTCTGTGTCTGCAATGGCAGAGCAGCAGTTCAATAGAGATATGTCCACAGCAGCTCCGTCCAGCTGCAGCCCATACAGGGGTTGCAGGCTGCCTGGTGTGGGGTAGCCACGACTAGCAGGCGGCGCTTCTGTGGGAAGAGCAAGCCTTGTCTCTTCTGTGTGGTTATCCATTCTCTTTTTCCTTCTGTCTTAGGCAGCTCCAGGGTCCCTCCCCTCCCCTGGGAGGACCCTGACGGTGGCTCTCATGCTCTTCTTGGTGGTCATCCCTATTCTCAGTTATGCTGACCCCTGCTGCCCTTCCCAGCAGCCTCAGTCAGCTGCCATGTTATAGCTCAGTCTTTTAGTTGTGGTGGGACCGCTCCCCACCGAGGCTACAACTCTCTCATTAGGCGCACAAGACAAGGATACTGAATTTTCAGTTATTTGCAGGCAAGTTAGGTAGAAGGATTTTAAAGCTGTCACCATCCATTGTCCCCCAAGCATCATCTTTAAGGGCAAAGATGCTGCTGAACCAATAAAACATTTGACAAAATTTCCCAGTGTCACCTTTAACTAGCCACCTACTCTCACCTTTGACAGCCACATCTCTGGCTCCCAACTTGGCTGAATCCTAAACATGGCGTTTCTGGCGCCCTAGGAGTGGCTCAGTTGGGTAAGTTCTGTTAGGACCCCCATAGCTTCCACCTTGTGGGCTGATTATCAGAGGTCAGGACCCCTCATACTGACCTGGCCCAACCTTGATTTTGCTTCTACGAAGTCCTATTGTGTTCACCCAAGCCCCTTCCTCACCCAACACTCATACACACATCCCTCACAAGAGTCTGGCTGTCCTGGGTGACCATGAGCCACCAGAACAGCAATTTTTAAAGACAGGTCTTGGGCAGCAACTTCTACCAAGACAACAGGAATAATAAAAGAAGTCAGACTCTGTGGGTTAAAGTGCAAGGGCAATGACTGTCAACACCTGAACTGTGGATGAAGTCCGGCCCATGGAAATACAGAACAAGTGGAGGGAATAGAGCTGGGTCAGAGCAGGGAAGGAGCAGGGGAGGGGCTGAACACAGGCCACAAATCTCACTGATGCTTTTATCTGATTATGGGCCCGCAGGCAAAGCATTCATGAGCGAGTCCTGCCAGCTTAAAAGGTGGAGAGAGGGTTTGCTGCCAACAGTTAAGTGGTACCAGGGACAGGGTACAAGCCCCTGGACTCTGCCCAGAGAAGAATTCCCAGGGTAGCCATGACCCTCGGCAAGGCTGGTGCTGCCACTCTTCCCCAGTCCCCAGGCCTGGTCCCCGTGGCAATTCCCAGAGTAGGAATCAGCATCAAGAATCTAGAAAAGCAAGACTCAGAAGCCAGGGAGGGTTCTAAAGTCTTAGAGCAGTGTTCATCAAGGCGCATGCTCAGAGTTCACCAGATGTAAGGAAATGGCAGCTCAGGGAGGCAAGGAAGCCAGTCCCCAGTCTGGGTCACTCCCTCAACCCCCACTGGCCCTATCACTGTGTCATCTGCAGGCAGCCTGGGAGACCCAGGGGACCAGGGCTGTCAGTATCTTATAGACCAGCCTTGGGTTGGCTCTATCAGAGGCAGGCTAGGAGTTCAACTGCAGTCCTAAATGATTGTGTGTTCATAGAGATTTGCTAGGGAGAACTTGAGATGGCTGGCTAGAAGAAGTTAGTACACACCACTCTCACAGAGAGGAGACAAAGTGGCGTTGAACACTAGCTCTTCACATGGATCGTCCAGGAGGTCACGTTGGGATTCATCAAGGAGGCATCAAGACTCACAGAGAGCAGAGAAGAGTAAAGTAGGGCAGCCACCCACCTGAGATCAACACAGAGCCATGGGAAGCTCCCTACTGCGGGAAAGGGTGAGTGAGCAAGAGCCCCCCAGGGACCCACACTTCCACCACAGACCTCTGCAATCCTGTGCACTGGAGATCTCCCATGACCTCCCCAGGGCTCCAGGTGAACACAGAGAGCCACCTGGAGTCTGGGCAGAGCCACTGCTCAAGCCCATGTGAAGCCCCAGGGGTCTTGGATCCCTGAATACCCTGACACCAGCTGCCATAGCCCCTCCAACCAGGAAGGACTGGCTTTTTCACAAGCCCTAGGTTAGGGACCACCTCCACGGTGCTGAGGAGCAGCAGGACTGTAGGCCCTACCTTTCCTGCTCCTCACCAGGCAAGGCCCACTGGCCTGGGTCGCCAGCACAGCCACCCTACTCCTGCCTGAGCACTCTGGCCAGTCATGGCTCTGCATTTCTCTGGGAAGCAGCTCCCAGAGGTAACCCTACAGGCCTGCTGTACTGCCTTTAGGCTGGGGAGGGAGCAAAGAGCCAGAGAGCTATTGTGGCCTCCAGCTTGCTGCAGCTCCCCTACAGAGAAGAGGCCAGACTGTTTTCCGGGCGATCCCATGCCCTTACTGCTCCTCACCAGGCAGGGTCTCCCAGTTTGGGCCTGCAGCACAGCCACCCACCCCTGCTTGATCACTCCTATCTGCCACGGCTCTGTGCTTCTCTAGGGTGGAGCTCCCAGAGGCAACTGACTGGCCCTCAGCCATCGACCTGGCACTGGGATCCCCACTCTTACTTCCCCACAGGCTGGGGAGAGAACAAAAAGCATGATTGCCTTTACTGGAGCCTCCAGCACACCAGCAGCTGCCCTACAGAAGCAGCCAGATTCTTTCCTCATGATCCCCCCACCTTCCCTGCCCTCTCCCAAATGGGGCTTGCTGCCTTCTGGCTTCTAGTGCACCCACGCTGCCCTGCATGAGCATTTCAGCTTTGGCCCAGAGGCCTACTTAAAACCCTACCCCCACAACCTATGAGCTTCCCTCAAGCTCCCACCACCTAAGCACCCTGTCTCACACCAACTGAGAGTTCAGCTAGTGACCTGGGGACTGGCCCAATCCTTCCCATCACAGCCAGTACCTGAGCCCCCAGCCCCATCAGGACTTATACACTCTGTCCACCCAGCCATCTGGGGGCCAGGGAGTTAGAGAACTACCTAATCCATTCCAGATCTGCTGGCACCTGACCTTTCCCCCAGAGCCTGAGGTTAGACTGGCCTAACCAGCCAATGCCACCACCACCAACAAACCCCTGCACAGGCCCAAAGACAGAGCTCCCCATCCTCTTCCACAAAGAAGTAGCACTATCACATTGGAGAAGAGGGGAGCCACAGAGCATTAGGTTGAGTGATGAAGTTCTGCCCCAAAACCACTCCCACAGACAATCACAAATTAGTCAATCCCCAAGGCTCTCAACCACACTGTGGTCCAGAGATAGGCTATGATGTGCATCTGATTTAGGAGTCATGAGCTCCGGAACAGGAGTGAGACAGAAGAGCAGTCCACATTCCTGCCTATCAAGGATGAGGGGCTGGTGCAGCCCCCCACCCCACCCCCATGCAGAGACCTCAGCTCATTTCACTAGGAGCTCCTCCCAGCCACCCTCATCAAGGAAGGTACCTACATTCAACACGGGGATATTATTGGGCAAGCCAGGGCTCCAGCTCTGCCTAGCTGTGTCACCCTACCCCATGGAAGAGGAAGCACATGGCAAGGAGCACTCTGTGGTCCAGCCCATCACCTAAAACAACAGAGAGCATCTCACAGTAATCAAAGATCAGGTACATACCCATCTGCTTGCACCATGCTAGCTCTCACCCATAAGTGCCATCTATTGGCCCACATGCTGAAATGCACAGTCCAGTATAAAACCTACTGGTGGAAGTGCATAGGACCATAGAAGCAAAGCCAAAAAAACCCTATCCAACATGCCCTACAGTCATACCCTCTAGCAAGGTGGGAGAAAGGGAAAGAAAAAAAAACAATAGTAATATAGGGAAAGAAAAAGGGGGAGAGCCTATCATCACGAAAATTATTACAAAAATTAGAAGTGCCAGCATCTCCAAATGAGAAGGAACCAGCATAAGAATTCTGGCACCGTGAAAAATCTGCATGTTGTGATACCACCGAAGGATCACACTAGCTCTCTAGCAATAGTCCACAACCAAAATTGAAACCCAGAAGTGTCAGATAAAAAATTCAAAGCATAGATTACAATAAAACTCAATGATTTTCAAGATGAGGTTTAAAATCAATGTAAAGAAACCTGTAAAACAATCCTGGAAATGAAGGAAGAGATAAACATCTTAAAAGAAATTAATCAGAGCTTCTGGAGTTGAAAAATTCAGTTAAGGAATATCAAAACACAACTGAAAACTCTGTCAATAGACTAGATCAAACAGAAGAAAGAATTTCAGAGCTTGAAGCCTGGTCCTTTGAGCTAACCCAGGAATTTTTTTAAATGAAAAAGAGAATACACAAAAAGAGTTTTTTAAAATGAACAAAGTCTTCAAGATGTATGGGGTTGTATAAAATGACTAAACCTATAAATTATTGGCATTCCTGAGGGAGAAGGAGAAAAAGGTAACAACCCAGAAAACATACTTGAAGGAGTAATTCATGAAAATGTCCCTAATCTTGTTAGAGATGTAGGTATTCAGGTACAAGAAATCCAGAGAACATTTGCAAGATACTATACAAAATGAGCATCACCAAGGCATATAGTCACCAGACTGTTCAATCTTAAGAAAAAAATCTTAAAGGCAGCTACGGAAAAAGTCAGATCACATACAAAGGGAACTCCATCAGGCTAACAGCAGACTTCTCAGCAGAAACCCTATAAGCCAGAAGACATTAGGGGCCTATTTTAAGCATTATTAAAGAAAAGAAACTCCAACCAAGAATTTCATACCCACCAAACTAAACTTCATAACTAAAAGGAAAAATAAAATCTTCCTCGGACAAGCAAGTGCTAAGGAAATTCATTACTACTAGACCAGCCTTACAAGAGATCCTTAAGTGGGTTCTAAACATGTAAAAGAAAGAACAAAACCTGCTACCACAGAAACACACTTAAGTACAGAGCCCACAGACTCTATAAAGCAACTACTCAATGGAAACTACAAAACAACACATTAACAACTTTACAATAGGATCGATTCCTCAGTATGAATACTAACCTTGAATGCAAATGGTCTAAATACCCCATATAAAAAGCACAGAGTGGCAAGGTGGATTTAAAAAAATGAGATCCATCCATCTGCTGTCTTCAAGAGATCCGTCTCACATGTAATGATACCCATAGGCTCAAAGGAAAGAGATGGATATATCAGATATCAGATAAAACAGACGTTAAGCCAGCAACAGCAAAAAAAAGGACAAAGAAGGGCATTACATACTGATAAAGAGTTCAGTTCAACATGAAGACTTAACTATCCTAAATACATATGCACCCAACAACCAGATTCATAAAATGAGTGCTTTTAGACCTACGAAAAGACTTAGGCAGTCACACATTAATAGTGGGGGACTTCAAAAATCCCACTGACAGCATTAGACAGATCACTGAGGCAAAAAACTAACAAGGAAATTCTGGACTTAAATTTGACCCTTGACCAATTGGACCTAATGGACATCTACAGAACACTCCACCCATCAACCACAGAATATACATCCTTCTCATTTGCACATGGGACATACTCTAAATCAACCATATACTTGGCCATAAAGCAAGTCTCAATAAATTCAAAAATATCAAAATCATACCAAGCATACTCTCAGACAACAGTGGAATAAAAATAGGTATCAATACCAAGAAGATCTTCCAAATTCACACAACTACACAAAAATTGAGCAACTTGCTCTTGAACAGCTTTTGGGTAAACAACAAAATTAAGGCAGAAATCAAAAAATTCTTTTTGAAATAAATAAAAATAGAGATATAACATACCAAAATCTCTTGGACACAGCAAAAGCAGTGTTAAGAGAAAAACTTATAATGCTAAATGCCTACATTAAGACATTAGAAAGCTCTCAAATCAACTAACATTACAACTAGAGAAATTAGAAAAACAAGAACAAATTAACCCCAAAGCCAGCAGAAGAAAAGAAATGACTGAAATCAGAGCAGAACTGAACAAAATTGAGATCCAGAAGTCCATACAAAAAAAATCAACAAAACCAAAAGTTGGTTCTTTGAAAGGACACACAAGATCAGAAGACCACTAGCTAGACTAACAAAGGAAAACAGAAAGATGACCCAAACACCCACAATCAGAAATAACAAGACTGGCATTACAATCTCACAGAAATACAAAAGATTCTCAAAGACTACTACGAACACCTATATGCACACAAACTAGAAAATCTAGAGGAAGTAGATAATTTCCTTGACACATGCAACTTCCCAAAATTGACTCAGGAAGAAACCGAAACATTGAACAGACCAATGCTAAGTTCCAAAATTGAATCAGTAATTTTTTTTTAAACCTACCCACTAAAAAACACCCTGGAGGCCAGGCGTCGTGGCTCACGTCTGTCATCTCAGCACTTTGGGAGGCTGAGGCAGGCGGATCACGAGGTCAGGAGATCGAGACCATCCTGTTTAACATGGTGAAACCCCGTCTCTACTAAAAATACAAAAAAAAAAAATTAGCCAGGCTTGGTGGCGGGCACCTGTAGTCCCAGCTACTCGTGAGGCTGAGGCAGGAGAATGGCGTGAACCTGGGAGGCGGAGCTTGCAGTTAGCGGAGATCGCACCACTGCACTCCAGCCTGGGGGACAGAGGGAGACACCCTCTCAAAAAAAAAAAAAAAAAAAAAAAAAAAAAAAAAAAACCTGGATTAGACAGATTCACTGCCAAATTCTACCAAATGTACAAAGAAGAGTTGGTACCAACTCTACCAAAACTCTTCTAAGAAACTGAGAAAGAGGGACTCTTCCCTCATTCATTCTGCTAAGCTAGTATTACCCAGATACCGAAATCTGGTAAAGACACAACAAAAAAAGAAAACTACAGGCCAATATCCCTGATGAACATAGAGACCAAATCCTCAACAAAATACAAGCAAATTGAATCCAACAGCACATCAAAAAGTTAATTCACCATGATCAAGTACGCTTTATTCCTGGGATGCAAGGTTGGTTCAACATACACAAATCTTTAAATGTGATTCAGCACATAAACAGAACCTAAACAAAACCATATGATTATCTCAATAGATGCAGAGAAACCTTTCAATAAAATTCAACATCTTTTCATGATAAAAGCTCTCAACAAACTAGGCATCAAAGGAACATATTTCAAAATAGTAAGAGCCATCTGTGAAACCCATAACCAACATCATTCTGAATGGGCAAAAGCTGGAAGCATTCTCCTTAAGAACTAGAACACCACAAGGATGTCAACTTTCACCACTCCTATTCAACACTGTATTAGAAGTTCTAGCCAGAGCAATCAAGCAGGAGAAAGAAATAAAAGGCACCCAAATAGGAAAAGAGGAAGTCAAATCATCTCTTTTTGGCCAGGCACAGTGGCTCACACCTGTAATCCCGCACTTTGGGAGGCCGAGGTGGACAGATCACGATGTCAGGAGTTCGAGACCAGCCTGGTCAACATGGTGAAACCCCATCTCTACTAAAAATACAAAAATTAGCCAGGCATGGTGTCGCGCACCTGTAATCCCAGCTACTTAGGAGGCTGAGACAGGAGAATCACTTGAACTGGGGAGGTGGAGATTGCAGTGAGCTGAGATCGCACCACTGCTCTGCAGCCTGGCTGACAGAGTGAGGCTCCATCTCAAAAAAAAATTAAAAAATTAAAAAATCTCTTCACTGACAATATAATTCTATACCTAGAAAACCCTAAATATTCTGCCAAAAGCCTCCTAAAACTGATAAACAACTTCAGTAAAGTTTCAGGGTACAAAAATCAAAAATCAATAGCATTTCTATATACCAGTAACACTCAAGCTGAGAGCCAAATCAAGAATTCCATGTACAATAGCCATAAAAAAAATATAAACACACACACACACCTAGGAAAACATCTAAGCAAGGAAGTGAAAGAGCGCTATAAGGAGAACTGCAAAACACTTCTGAAAGAAATCATAGATGGGCCAGGTGCAGTGGCTCATGCCTGTAGTCCTAGCAGTTTGGGAGACCAAGGCTGGTGGATTACTTGAGCCCAAGAATTCGAGACCAGCCTAGACAACCATGACAAGATTCCATCTCTACAAAAAAGTACAAAAATTAGATGGGCGTGATGGTATGCCCCTGTAGTTCCAGCTACTCAGGAGGCTGAGGTGGGAGGATCGCTTGAGCCTGGAAGGCAGAGGTTACAGTGAGCCAAGATTGTGCCACTGCACTCCAGCCTGAGTGACAGAGTGAGACCCTGTTTCAAAGGAAGGAAGGAAGGCAGGAAGGGGAAGGAAGGGGAAGGAGGAAGGAAGGGGAAGAGGAAGAAAGAAATCATACAAACAAATGGAAAAACATTCCATGTTCACGGATTGGAAGAATCACTATTATTAAAATACTGCCCAAAGCAATCTACAGATTCAACACTATTCCTAACAAACCACCAACATAATGTTTCACAGAAAGAAAAAAAACTACTCTTTAAAAAGCCCAATTAGCCAAAGCAATCCTACCCAAAAAGAACAAAGTCAGAGACATCACATTATGTGACTTCAAACTGTATTATAAGGCTACAGTAACCAAAACAGCATGGTACTTGTACAAAAACAGACACATAGACCCAAGGAACAGAACAGAGAACTCAGAAATAAAGCCACACACCTGCAACCATCTGATCTTCGATGAAGTCAACAAAAACAAGCAATGGAGAAAGGACTCTATATTCAATAAATGCTGCTGGGATAACTGGCTAATCATATGCAGAAGAATGAAACTGGACCCCTACTTTTTACCATATACAAAAATTAATTCAAGATGGATCAAAGATTTAAATATAAGACCTCAAGCTATAAAAATCCTATAAGAAAACCTGAGAAATACCATTCTGGACATCGCTCATGGCAAAGAATTTATAGCTAAGACCTCAAAAATCAATCTCAACAAAACAAAAACTGACAAGTGGGCCCTATGAAGCTAAACAGCATCTGCACAGCAAAAGAAACTACCAACAAGGTAAACAGACAACCTATAGAATGAGAGAAAATAGCCACAAACTATGCATCTGACAAAGATCTAATATTGAGACTCTGTAAGAAACCTAAATCAGCAAGCAAAAAACAACCCCATCAAAAAATAGGCAAAGGACATGAACAGACACTTTTGAAAAGAAGACATACAAATGGCCAACAAACATATGAAAAAAATGCTCCACATTACTAATCACCAGAGAGATGCAAATCAAAACCACTATAAGATACCATCTCATATCCGTCAGAATGGCTATTACTAAAAAGCCAAAAAATTACAGATGCTGGTGAGGCTATGGGAAAAATGGAATGTTTATACACAGTTGCTGGGAATGTAAATTAGTTCAGCCACTGTGGAAAGCAGTTCAGATGTTTCCCAAAGAACTCAGAACTATCGTTCAACCCAGCAATCCCAGTACCGGTATATATCCAAAGGAAAATAAATCATTCTACCAAAAAGACACATGCCCTCTCGTATTCATCACGACACTATTCACAATAGCAAAGACGTGGAATCAACCTAGGTGCCCATCCACGGTGGATTGGATAAAGAAAATGTGGCACAAATACACCATGGAATACTATACAGCCATAAAAAAAGAACAAAATCATGTCCCTTCAGCAACGTGGTTGCAGCTGGAGGCCATTATGCTAAGCGAACGAACATGGGAACAGAAAACCAAATACCGCATGTTCCCACTCATAAGTGGGAGCTAAACACTAGGTACACATGGACACAAAGATTGGAACAATAGACACTACGGATTCCAAAAGGGGGCAGGGAGGGAGGGGGCAGGGGCTGAAAAGCCTCTTGTCCGGTACTATGCTCACTACCTGGATGATGGGATCAATTGTACCCCAAACCTCAGCATCACACAATATACCCATGTAACACCTGCACATGTACCATTTGAATCTAAAATAAAAGTTGAACTTTTTAATAAAGAGATTTGCTGAATACATAAATGAGGTAAAGGGACCAGGGAGACTGTAAGGGGAAAAATACAATAATAAGAAAAAGGGGGATATTTTTTGGCAGCTACTGAGTGACCACCATTATATCCACACAACAGCCATGAGTAGGAAATGGCATCTTTCTAAAACCCAAACCTATCTGGTCATTCCTCTGCCTAAAATCCCTCAGCAACTTCTACTGCAATCAGAGTAAAATCTAAAAGCCTCAGAGAGGCTTTCAAGGCCTTCCGGGAACTGGCCCCTGACTGCCTTTTCAGTCTCACCTCTTGCCAGGCCCAGCCACACTCCCCACCACCCTACCCCAACCTGCCCTGTGCTCTGCACTCCAGATTGCAGCTGCAGACTTACTTCCATGTATCTTTCTGCCATTGCTTTTTTCACTCACTATATCATCGACATCTGGCTGTGCCCACATGTTTAGGTTTATACCTGATACTTTATATGCATGAACTCACTTAATCCTCTCAAGAAATCTGAGACAGGGATAATTATACCTATTTACAATAAAAGAAATGGAGGCTGAGAGGTTAAGTGACTTGTTCAAGGTCATTGCTCATGCTAAGACATGCTCCCCCCGTCCTCCCCAGGCATCCTGCTAGTCACCCCTAAGGTGACCAGAAAGCACAGGACAGGCAGGGGTTATATTAATAATTAGCCTCTCAGTCTAGTAGCTTGGACCTCAGAAACACTGGGTGGAGAGAGGCAAGGAGGCCAGGCCTGTCAGGAGTGTGGTGGGGAAGCTGACCTATGGTGACAAACCCACCCCAATTTGCCCAGGACTTTTCAGGTTTTAGCACTGAAAGTCTCACATCCTGGGAAACTCATCAGTACTTTTCTTAAAACTGAAAGTTCTGCATCCCATGACTATCTCTCCTCTCAGTACCAAGAAAACAGGTTTGGTTAGTCACCCAAACTCAGATCAGTTTCTTTGTCCAGCAGATAAGGTGTCCAGGACAGGCAGGGCTCCTAGGCATTCTCTCAGAGTCAGTATTAAAGCTACAGTTCAGATCATCAAACTGTACAAGACCCAGGCATAGACCCAATAGGAAAATGAGGCAGAGGGAAAAGGAGTCCCTCCACCATGGGCGAGGGCTGGCCAGAATCAGGCTGGATCAGGGTAGAGCAGAGGTCGGGGGAAAACTCAAGTCCAAATCTTTGGCTGCCTTATTTGCAGTTGCTTTCCTAGTTTCTAGCACAGTATCTGGCACACAGCAAGTACTGGATGCATAATGAATGAATGGAGGAATGAGTGAACAAATGCATGCCTAGCCCATTACAATTAAATCAGAGACTTCAAGCAGCTAGAACAGAACCCAGCTCAATGATACAACTGCTAACAGACAACTTGGATCCGTGGGAGAGGATTCAAAGGGCCAGGAGGGAAAATGCCACTGGAGACAGAGTTATGCCTGAGAGAACAGCCAATCAATCCAGCCTTGCTGCTGGAGGGCTCACTGTCTGCTGGTGGTTCTTGGGGAGGAGGCTGCCATTTCCAGCCATTTTTCCTTCTCTCAATTGGTGCCTTTGGAAAATACACCAAGAATGCAAGGCTTTCACTGAGGCCTTCTTCAAAAGCATTCATTGTGAGAAGTCTCCATCATTAGCCAAAATTCGAGCAGAGTTTCTATCGGGCAATCACTTCTAACTTATAAAGAGCTTTTTACTGTAATTATTCCAGCGGCTACAGGCGTGAGCAAAAAGGCCAGGCCTGGGGAGCAACAGCAGCACCATCTTGTGGCTCTTTGGAGAACACCACCGGGCTGTGTCTGCCCTTCACTGGGTGTGTAAACCCAGTTTCTGAGAATTGACACCTTTGGATATCTTAACAAGGATATCTGCTTTGCTATTTAACAACCTGATCCACTGCCCAACCTTTATAAAGATCAAAAAAACATAAAATCAATCACCAAATTCAGCACGGATTCAATGGCATGTAACCTTTGTGTTTTCAGAAGTTTCCCAGAGAAAATGTACATTTGCTGAGCTAACTAACATGCAATACACAGGTGCAGATTAAGGAAAAACTATGCTTTTCACAGGCCTTCCACTACACAAGCATGCCTTTCTTGCCCATCAAAGGAAACACTGATTTTTTGAACTAAATGATTTGTTCGTTTATTTAACAAATATTTATTGAGTGCCTGTTATGTGCAAGGCCCTATACAAGGCACTGGGTGTACCACAATGAGGAAAACAAATATGGTCGCTGTCTGCTATAGTGCATATAGTCTAGTAGGGGAGGCAACATAACTCAAATAATTACTGAGATACTAGTGCCCTGGAAAAAGTGCTAGGAAGGACACAGGGGTGGTGTGTGTGATGTAGAACAAGGAGTCGAATAGAGCTTCTTTTATGATGGGTAAGCTAAAAACTAAAAGTCTCAATTCTCTTCCAGGAAACTCAGAACGAAAGCCTTCAAGCATTGCATTGACAAGCCTGCTGGGAGTTGATTGCTGGGAACAATTTGAACTGACCCCCAGTGTTAAGTGTGGTTATCTGGTTCCCTTTCACTACCCCCCACACACAATACGCACATATATATCCATACATGCACACGTGCACACACACACATTCACACACATACACATGCACAACTGATTTACCATCTCTTTGTGCTGAAGAGGAATTAAATTATGTGCAGATGAGAACCGCAGTTGTATGGAGTCATGCTTAGTTGGGGAAGAGCTGAAAGGTTCTTTAAAAGCCTTATCTTTGAGGTTCTGACAAGCTGGGTCTGTAGAACAGCAACTGAGGCTCCCCCAGGGCAGTAAGTCTCTGGCTGGAGTCCCCTAAGGAAGGGAAGATGAGGTCACAGGTCCACATGGTTGGGAGACTTCATAGGTGTAGAAATTCAGACTTGAAAGGGACCTTAAAGTTCACCCCCTCCTGATGTTTGAAAGAGGATGGTGGAATGCACGTGAGTCTTAGAATCAAACAGACATAGATCCTAAGCCTGGCTACAGCATGATTTGCCAATTCAACTTCTCTGAGCCATTTCATCATCTGTGAAATGAAATTAAGGATCTCTATGCTGCAAGCAGGCTCAAATTCTATTATGGTCCCAAGACTGGGCTTCTTCCTGAAAGCTCTGCTCTCTCTGCCCTGCATGACAGGGGATCCTTTCACCAAAAATTATTTGTTCTTTCTGAAAAATGGTAACTCGACATTCAAGATTTTTAGTTTATATTAATTTTATAAAGAACATATTTTAATATGCTATTTTCCATACTGACATAAATATAAATCACTGAATAATTAAATTGGTGGATAGGGACAGCTCATCCTTACAGAAGAACACTAACTAATAAATACAAGGAATAATGGAAATAGAAAATCACCATCAGGCAAACACCACCATGTAATTGTTACAAACAAGATACTTATTAAATACAAATGGAGAAATAGGAACTTAATGGTGAAGAAACCTGGCAGACAGCACCTTTACCAAGAGATCAACATTAATATCACAGGTAATAAGATATATCAACATCAGTGATGCGATGCCCTGAGAAGAGCAATACGTCCCTTCTGTGATATTCTTGCCACAATGCATAATCTCAATCTAACCATGAAAAAACACCTGACAAATCCAAATTGAGGGCCATGCTACAAAGTAACTGACCAGTACTCTTCAAAAGTGTCAGGTAATGAAAGTCACAAATAAAAATCTGACAACCTCTTACAGATTAGAGAAGACCAGGAAGACATAGCTAATGCAATGGAGAGCGCTGATCCTGCACCAGAAAAAAAGAACATTACTGGAAAAACTGGATACATTCAAACAATGTCTGTAGATAATGTTGTATCAATGTTAATTTTATCAAGTTATTTAGATGTGAAAAGAACCTATGGAAATAATTTAAACTACAGACAAGAGTGTAAAGTACACATGCCCCTCCCAAAGTCCCACCTCCTACAAGTAACCATGGCTAATGGTTTGGTTTTTTTTTTTATATTTATAGTAACAATAAAAATACATACATATATGTATATGTCTTATATGCATATACATAAATGGAATCCTACTATGTCTCTATATAGTTCTATAACATGCTATATTCACTCAACAATCTTTCCATATATATCTGCCTTATTCTTTTCCATGGCTATCAGATATTTCACTAGAATGACATATAATTTTTATTTAATCAATCCCAGATTTATCTCCAATTGTTCCCTATAATAAATGATACTTCTGGTTTTTTTTAAAAAAGTTATATATGTATATATGTTGCATATATGTGCGAATGTAGATATTTCTATAGGATAGAGTCTTAAAGGAAGAGTGGTAGAGTCAAAATAAAGAAAAATTTAAATTTTGAACAGTGAATGAAAGTGTCCATTTCCCCATATCCTGAGAAATAGTATTATCAGCATTTTTTAATTTTTTCAGTAGAGTGGGCAAAGCATGAGTTCTTGATTCTTTCACCTATCCGAATGTCTCTCCAAGGCCTCTGCCCCTACTACAAAAGAACAGTGGGAACTTTAAGTGAATTTCAGTCTATTTGATAGCCAAGTTACTTAAGCTCTCTGGTAGCAGCCGGTCTCCAGGATAGCCCCCAAAGATCCTTGTCTACCAATCTGCACACCCTTCTGGAGTCCCATCCCACCCTGCATCATGGTTGGTCTGCACGACCAATAGAATATGACAGAAGTGATGATGTGTAGTTTCTGAGGCTAGTTCATAAAAAGGCATGTGTCTTCGCCTTCTCCCTTGGATCACTAGCCCTTGTAAAAGCCAACCGCCATGCTAAACTGACACTCAGGCCTCCTGTGGAGGCCTCACCAGTACTGCATGATGCAGAACTGAGGCCTCCTTCCAACAGCCATGTGAGTGTGTCATCTTGAAAGCAGAGTATCCAGCCCCAGTCAAGCCTTCAGATGACTGCAGCCCAAACCAACATCTTGAGTGCAACCTCGAGATACCTAAAATTAGCACCACCCAGCTAGGCCACTCCCAGATTCCTGACACTCAGAAACTACATGCTTATTATTTCAAGCGACTAAGTTTTGAAGTAATTTGTTATACAGCAATAGATAACAAATACACTCTCTGAGCCACACTTTCCACTGTAAGGTAGAAATAATAATTAGAATGTCCACTTCACAGAGAGACAGTAGACGAAGCCCCTGCCACCTGCATGGCCCATGGGCATTAGTCTTTCCCCCTCTCTCCTTGAGAGCCTTGTGACACACTAGCAGGCCTGTCTACACAGAGAGGAGTGTTTTCAGTTGTAATGTCTTTGACCTTTTCATTGAAAATACGTGTCAAATCCACTTCTAATTCATTTACAGACACATTATTCTGGGAATGAAGCAGGGAGTGAACTTTGTTGCAATGTGTTCCCTGCCCTTTTATGTGATGAAATTATCAAGACCAGACCATTGCTCTAGTCTTCCAAGAGTTGCCAAACTCTAGGTGATCGGGGGTGGCCGCTTGGGACCCTGACCAGGGACGAGCCACTGTGGAGGGCCAAGGACAGAGAATCTGGCCAGTACAGGAAGCTACAATTTTGTTTCCAAGCAGTGTGGACACACATATCCAAAAAAATAAATTACTTGGCCCTTCTCCACTAATAGATGTTCCCCATGGATGGACTGAGCCCAGTGGTGGCGACAGTGAGCAGAGGGAAGCCAGGAGCCATGAAATCCAAAAGGGTAATGGAACCCCAGCATTCAGCCCAGTGAATCTTGAGGCCAGTCCCTGAGCTGGGAACATAGGACCAACTGACTACTCCTGTTCCATGCAGCAGCCCACACGCTGCGAGGCCAGGCCAGCTTGGGGCTTTTTCTCTGGAGCATCCATGGAAGCCCAGGCACAGCTCCTGCTTGGGGAGCACAGGTCAAATTCCACCCAGACTGTAACCGGCACTGTTCTCCATGCTTCCATCTAGTGGTCACAGTCAGCAATTGCAGGCTTCCCACAGGACAGCCACCTTCAATGGGATAGGGATGTCTCTCCCTCCGTCTGTGTTAGCAACTATTTTTCCCCTCCCAAATGAGTGGCCAGGCTCTTTCCTTTAGCCCTCCATTCCCAAGAGCTTGAGCAAATTTCCAGGGAAGGAGTCTTAGTTCAGGATGATATAACAAAGTACCATAGGCCAGGTGTGGTGGTTCACGCCTGTAATCCCAGCACTTTAGGAGGCCAAAGCAGGCAGATCACCTCAGGTCAGGAGTTCAAGACCATCCTGGCCAACATGGTGAAAACCCGTCTCTACTAAAAATACAAAAATTAGTCGGGTGTGGTGGCACACACCTGTAGTCCCAGCTACACGGGAAGCTGAGGCAGGAGAATCGCTTGAACCTGGAAGGTGGAGGCTGAAATGAGCCAAGATCATGCCACTGCACTCCAGCCTGGGCAACAGAGTGAGACTACATCTCAAAAAAGAAAAAAAAAAAGTACCAAGTACCATAGACTTCGTGATTTATAAACAAGAAAGATTTATTTCTCAGAGTTCTAGAAGCCAGAAGGTGTTTGAATTCTGACTGTATCACACTTATCTCAGTGACCGTGGGCCCCAGTTTTCCCCTCTATTAAATGGGTATGTAAACCTTGCTCCACTGGTTGTAGGAAGGAGTAAATGAAGCTGGGGATGTGGACACTGTGGACATCCCATAAATGTGGCCTGCCTTCCTCCAATCAGCATTTTTAAGCAATGCAAATTTGTCATCACCAGCAGAGGAAAGGAACTTTCTATTTCCTTCTTTAGAAGAAAAATAAATCATAATTGCTTATATATGTCACCCTTTCAGAGGCCCATTTAATTCAATCTGCCTTTAGCAAGCACTTACATGGCCTTAGGTCCCATGGAAGAGGCAGAGGTGAGGAAGGTGTGGCTCCTACCACCGAGGAGCTCACAGCCCATCAGGGAGACAGAAGAAACTTCCACAATCCAAACGGGTGGGGGTAACAATAATAGGTAACATATAGAGCATTTACTTTATTCCAGGATATAATCCTGAAAACAGTCCTTTGAGGTAGGTACTGATAAAAGAAAACCTTCAGCCAAATTAAATTTAAAGGAACTTCACTGAGCAACAAATGATTCGCAAATCAGGCAGCCCCCAGATTCACAGCAGATTCACAGAGACTCCAGTGCAGCCACATGGTGGAAGAAGATTTATAGACAAAAAAAAGGGAAATGACGTACAGAAATCGGCAGTGAGGCACAGAAACAGCTGGATGGGTTCCAGGTTGGCGTTTGCCTCATTTGAACACAGTTTGAAAACTTAGCCCTCTGAGTGGTTGAAGCACGGCCCTGGGATTGGCCAAGACTCAGTTATTGTTACAGGCACATGCTCCTAAGTTAGGTTCTCAATCTTGTCTGACTAAGCTAGGCTACAGTTCATCCACAAGGACTCAAATAGAGAAGCACGGAGTCCTTCTCAGACCATATTTAGTTTGCTTCAACAGTACTATTATGATTCTCTCCACTTTACATATGGGAAAGCTAAAAAATCGATTTAAGAAATGTGCCAAATTCACACAGTTAAGAAATAGCAGGACTGGAGTTTGAACCCAGGTAGGGAAGAATTACAGTCCATGCACTTGGCCATTACACTATATAGTCACTTCAGCCTTGGTCAGCCGTATGTCTTTCCTTCAACACACAATGGCCTTCCGCACCTCTGAGCATCCATTCACACTGTTCCTTCTGCCTGAAAGTTTCCCACCCCTGTCATCTGTCAAAATGTTTCAATTTTTAAAACTCAACTCAAATATTTCCTCATGTGTGAATCTTTCCCAAATCCCCCATCTGAGCCCCATGACACCAGGCACACACCTGTCTTGGGGCACTGATGACACAGTCTTATAAGGTTAGGTCTTTGGACCCCTAAGAAGACTGGGCACACCTGAAGACAGGACCCATCTCTTACTCAACGCTGGGCCCAGTCCAGTGAATGTCTATTGCATGAACATGTGAGTTATTTCTGACTCAGGTTACCTGCACTAACCTGACAACCTCTCTAGTAGTCAATGGGACCTTGGCTTTGTAGTCCGTTTCACACACCAAGGGGAATCCTGCAGTGATTGGGTCCTAGAGCTTTTAATATAGCCTCACCCACCTTTAACTGCTATTCAAATCGAGTCAGTCACAGATTGGGATATGCTCTCACCTCATTTTTAATGGCAAGGTTCTAAAAATCTGATTGGGCTCTCTGAACACAGATAGGGCTTGTGACTGGTGGGCTGCACTTTGGGGTGATGGGTTGGAAAGTGATCCTCATACTAGGGGGTCCCAGATCAGGGCCACATTATGATGTTTCTGGGCCTCAGGCACTTTTAACTCTCTGTACTCCTTCCTTGAGAAAAATATTATTTTAAATTATATTTTATGACTGAGTTGGTATAAAGATGAAATACTCCAGGTCAATTTTATTATTACATATTCATTATTATTATACTCATTTTTTCTGAGTTTAAAATAATTAAAACATTTTGGGAAGCCCTGAGTGAATTGGGGCTCTAGGCACTGTGTTCAATGCATAAGTCTGCCTACCCCAGATGCCAGACATTTGGGACACTTCACTGAGACCAGTCAATTTTACAAGAACCCTCTATTTCTTTGCTTGATTTTTCTGAATTAGGGGGAAAGAATGTGTATATATGTGTATATATTTGTGTGTGTATGCCACACACATACACACACACACACAATGCCCATTTTCAGCCTTGCATCTCCATCTTACACTACTGTACCTGGTGTCTTCAGAACTTATGCACTTAAGCAGTGACTTCTTCAGGTGCCATCTGCCATGTCCTTTACTTCTTCCAGAACTTTCTTGAAATATCATATTCACTAGAGTGTAAGCTAGTTCAACCATTGTGGAAGACAGTGTGGCGATTCCTCAAGGATCTAGAACTAAGAAATATCATTTGACCCAGGGATCCCATTACTGGGTGTATACCCAAAGGATTATAAATCATGCTGCTATAAAGACACATGCACATGTATGTTTATTACGGCACTATTCACGATAGCAAAGACTTGGAACCAACCCAAATGTCCATCAATGAGAGACTGGATTAAGAAAATGTGGCACATATACACCACGGAATACTATGCAGCCATAAAAAAGATGAGTTCATATCCTTTGTAGGGACATGGATGCAGCTGGAAACCATTATTCTGAGCAAACTATCACAAGGACAGAAAACCAAATACCACATGTTCTCATTCATAGGTGGGAATTGAACAATGAGAACACTTGGACACAGGGCAGGGAAGATCACACCCTGGGGCCTGTCATGGGATTGGGGACAGGGGGAGGGATAGCATTAGGAGAAATACCTAATGTAAATGATGAGTTAATGGGTGCAGTAAACCAACGTGGCACATGTATACCTATGTAACAAACCTACACATTGTGCACACATACCCTAGAACTTAAAGTATAATTAAAAAAAAAAAAAAAACTATCTTACTCACTAATGATCTTTTCCCATTCTCTGCATCATCATGACTTTCTTCCTTTTTCATTTCTATAGTTAGGTCTCAGGAGGGGGAGGAGATAAATACATGTCGTGAATCCCCAATCTTCACATGGTGAAGCCATGAGGAAATATACAAGCTCCTTCACATTTTATCATTTGTAATGCTTTCAGCTATACATAACAGCTGCATACACAACTCAAGTTGGCCTAACTAATAAGAAAAATGTACTGGCTCATGTAAAAGGAAGGTAATGTGGGCTTCAAGATCAGCTTGATCTAGGGCGCAAGCTCCATTTCTCCATATCCCCTAGGTTGTGCCCAGCTCTGTATGTTGGCTTTATCCTGGGGCTGCTGCTTTCACAGGGGCAAATGGTTGTACCGGTTCCTAACTGCACATGTACACCATGACATCCAAATAGTGATTCCCAGTTATCTGACAATGCGAAAGCCTCTGGTAAGCATCTAAAATGAAAGCCACTTCTAGCAGAGAAAGCAAAGCTCAGAAGGGACAGGGGCTGGCCTCCAAATCTAATCAGAGGAATACATATGTTTTCTGGGCCCATAAAGAATATCATTTAAAGATCTGCCATCCTGGCACCTGGGCCATTTGGGAAGATGCCGGATACCAAAGGACCTCTATCCACTCAAGCAGATACAAGTAAGATTTGTTGAGACAAGTCAACTGTCAGGCACCCAGCTGATGGGAGAGAATGGCAGAGACATGGAGAATGAAAGAAGGCCACAGGCCTTAAGGAACCACATAACTTAGCAAGCTCAGATAGGCCTTGAAGTAGACAGAATCATGACTTCCTTGAAGATATCTACATCCTAATCCCCAGAACCTGTGAGTGTATTACCTTACACAGCCTGAGATAGGTTCCTTTGTATTTCTCATATTATAGATGACGAAACTGAAATATAGACAGTAAACATGAGACTTGCCTAAGGTCACACAGCTAGAAAGGTCATCATTACTGAAAGCCAGCTCTGAAAATGGCCCATCCTTACCTGAAAAAGAAATGGGGTGGAAGAGAAAGACATTCCCAATTGAGATGGAAAGAAATATCTTCATCAAGGGAACTGGAGCCTGTGTTGGCTTTGGGGTCTGAGGTCTGGGACTCTGGCTCTTACTCAACAGTGTCCATATGTGACCATCAGGGATGGCCTTCCCCTCCTTTCACTGAAACTCAGGAAGACAAAGTAGCAGGCCTATGTGCACATAAATAATAAATGCTAGAATCAGGACCTAAGTCAAAACCAACTAGCTTCCCTAGCTAAAGAGGTCCTGACTCCTGGATCCTATGTGCTGGGGAGGAGGGAGCTTCTGGTAGAAGTGGTATATGTAGCCAGTACAGAGGCTAGAAGTCATATCCTGGAGAAAAGCTGGGTGAGATCAAGCCAAGCATCAAAGTGAGTAACTGAGGTTTGGGATGGGAACTGGATGTGGAGCCAAAATGAGAATGTAGGGGACAGAGGGCACCTAAAACAAGATCAGAGGATCAGTCAGAGGACTACAGGCTGAAGGTACCCCATAAGAGGCATGGATTGAGAGCAGCTGTTCTCTATACAGCCCCAACACAGGCTGGCTTAGAGGAATTATCCTTTCTACTCTTCATAGAGCATGCCAACTGTCAGCAAACCCTGCCAGTCAGTCCCTGGGCTCAGGAAGTCCAGCAACCCCAGTCATTCTGGAAGACAAGGAAAATTCCCCTCTGGCTCCAGGACCTTCCATTCATCCTTGATCCAATATGTTTTAGATCAGCCACGTGAAGGCCTTTGTTGGTGACTGGGGTACAGGAACAGTCGCAAAGAGCTCACGTGCCACACTCCAAATAAGAAAGAATTGTGGGGCCCATTGGGGGTGTTCTGATGCCCACCTAGGGATTTACTGAGCTCCTCATGCAACACTGTCCTAGGAACACACGAGCAGACGGCAGATCTGTAATGCGGAATGGAACAGCAGGCGCTGTGCTCACCCTGCGGGGGTTTTTGGAACTGCACAATATGCTTGATTGAAAGGCTCTTTTAAAAGCTTGATTTTTTAACACTAAAGAATTAAATCAATAATGTCCCCATTTTGACTTCTTTGTGATTATGTCCTTTGTGTCCCGTTTACTATTTGGTGACAAACTATTTTGTGTTGCTGTAGCAGAATACCACAGACTGGGTAATTTATAAAGAAAATAAATTTACTTCTCACAGATCTGGAGGCTGAAAAGTTCAATATCAAGTTGCTGGCATCTGCCAAGGGCCCTTGTGCTGTGTCATCTTATGGGAAGCAGAAGGGCAAGAGAGGTCAAGAGTGAGAGAGTAAGAGGGGAAGGGGGCCAAACTCATCCTTTATCAGGAACCCATGTCCACTATAATGGTATTAATACATTCATGAGGGCAGGGCCCTTATGATCTAATCACCTCTCATTAGGCGCCCCCCTCCCAACACTGCTGCATTGAGGATTCAGTTTCCAAAACATAAACTTTGGAGGACACAATCAAACCATAGCATTCTGCCCCTAGCCTCCAAAATTCATGTCGTCCTCACATGCAAAATATATTTATTCTATCCCAATAGTCCTCAAAGTCTTAATTTATTCCAGCATCAACTCAAAAGTCCAAAGTCAATATTCAGGTGAGCCAACATGGCCAACTAGACACAGCCAGGAACAACATCTCCCACCAAGAGACCAGGACATGGGGAACACTGGCACACTCCAAGCAAGTCTCCAGAGGGGAAGCATTCAGAGTGGACAGAAGGAGGTTGCAGAACCTCGGCTAAATGGGGAGGAAGCTGGAAAAACTGCACAGGGTTGCCAAGCATCAGGACTCACTCCTGGTCCCCAGTAGATCCTGGGAAAGGAATGAGTTGAACAGGTGAGGAATGGCATGCTCTTGCCACATAGCTCAGGGATCCCAGCTTCAGGAGATCCCACAACCTGCACAGACACTGGAGCTGGCAGGAGACTTGTTTGGAGAGGTAGTGAGAGGTCAAGCCAGCTGGACTTCCTGGGCCCAGCAGGGACTTGGAGAACTTTTCTGTCTAGCTAGAGGATTGTAAATGCACCAATCAGCACTCTGTAAAAACGCACCAATCAGCACTCTATGTGTAAAGGTTTATAAACGCACCAATCAGTACTCTGTAAAAACGCACCAATCAGCGCTCTGTGTCTAGCTAAAGGATTGTAAATGGACCAATCAGCACTGTGTAAAAACGCACCAATCAACACTCTGTAAAATGGACCAATCAGCAGGATGTGGGTGGGGTCAAATAAGGGAATAAAAGCTGGCCACAGGAGCCAGCAGCAACAACCTGCTGGGGTCCTCTTCCACACTGTGGAAGCTTTGTTCTTTCGCTCTTCACAATAAATCTTGCTGCTGCTCACTCTGGGTCCACACTACCTTTATGAGCCAGGACACTCACTGTGAAGGTCTGCAGCTTCACTTCTGAAGTCAGTGAGACCACGAACCCACCAGGAGGAACACACTCCAGAAGTGCCACCTTTAAGAGCTGTAACACTCACTGTGAAGGTCTGCGGCTTCACTCCTGAAGTCATGCAAGACCACGATCTCACCAGAAGGAATACTCTCCAGACACATTTGAACATCTGAAGGAACAAACTCCGGACACACCATCTTTAAGAACTGTAACACTCACCACGAGGGGCCGTGGCTTCATTCTTAATGTCAGGGCGATCAAGAACCCACCGGAAGGAACCAATTCTGGACACGGTAGCAGGGGCAGGATTCCAGCCTGTGCAGACCCCAGAGGGTTTGGTGCCAGAACAGCTGTGTGGAACACAGCCTGGGACACCCATCCTCACAAAACTCTCATGCTCCTCTAGGTAACTTTGGCCTTTGGTGTCCAACCTGGACAAAGCAGGGCAGTCTTGCCTGTGGGACAGGGCCAGTCCAATCTGAGGCTCCCTGTCTGATGGCTTCTCCTGGGGCCCTAGCCTGGCCACATCTGCTTGCAGCACAGCCTCAGAAGCCCAACAATGGTGCTCTAGGGTCACACAAAACAGCAGAGCCTGGATTGGAACTCTCTGGTTTGTGAGTTTCCAAACCCATCCTCAATTGCTGTTTGTTAATTTCTACCACTCAGCGGCCCCACCCAATAACAAGACCACTAGGTGCCAAGGCCCCTTCCTCTGGCAGGTGGCTCTCCTGTTGTCAAGCATGGGTTGTGAAGTTTCTTCTTGTCTACTTGGCTGGGCCCCTCGGGTGGTGCTGTGCCTCCTACACGGCCCTGGGGATGGGAGGGAGAGCCCCAGCTCTTCTGCCTGCTGAGGGTCGGAGAAATAGCCTGAGAAACCAGCTATTTGTTTGATAGGGAAGACTACACAGGGTCCCCAATTTGGGACCAGGAGTGAGTTGGCTGTAACAGCATGTAAAGTCCTAGGAAAAATAAATAGTGTCCTAGGACTGACTGTACAGCTGTACAGCTGGACACAGGAATCCTGGCTTCCAGAGGCATCTTTGCTACTCTCTAGCTGGGAGACTTTGGGCGAGCTCCTTTTCTTTCCTGAGCCAGAGTTTCATTGTCAATAAAATTAGACCAATGCTAACTCCCATAGGGGTTGAAGGGATTAAATTAGAAGTTGTACAGAGAAGTTTCTAGATTCTTTACTGCATGGTGCCCACAGAAGAGGCCAATAATATAAGGCTGTATGCTGGGGCCACCAGCTGGCGTAGGGAGAGCAGAAGAGGGACTCAGTTGTCAGCAGTGTCCTGGGAAAGTTTTTCTGTGTGAAGATTTCCTTTTGTTTCTTGAATCATAGCTCAATCGTGTGGTCACAAATACCCAAACCTAAGGTATCATAACAACTCCCCTGCCTGCTCAGGAGGTTATGGTTTGCAGAGCAACACACACACCACAACCTGCTTGCATCTCACAGTTCTTGGAGGCTCAGAAGGGCATCAGCAGTCAAAGAAGGTGAGGAGACCAAGGTCTGAGCTGGGAGTTAGGAGCTTGGGTTTCAGTCCTGACTGGCCATCACTCACCTATTCTGGGGTTCAGAATAATAAAGCCCCCTCGCCATGTTCTGACCAGAGTCCATCTGAGCACAGCCAGGCTTCTGTTCCCTCGGTTTTCAGTTGAACTATTCAACAGTATCAACCTGTGAGATTCGGCCTCAAGGCTGCTTTGAATGGCAGGTCCCACCCCACCCCTGATCACACCCAAAGCAACTGCAGGTGCTGTGGCTCCCATTCTGGAAGAAGTTGCAGAGATGATGCTGTTTTCTCAGAGCTAAATACAAGTTCTGTGCACAGAGAAAGGCTACCAACCTTCTAGACCCCACTGGGCAACCTTGGGCAAATCCTTCACTCTCATTTATTCATTCACTCAAGGGAAAAACATCTATTAAGATCGTGCTGTCTGGCCACTGGAGATGTGCAATAAACAAACCCAATCCTTTCCTATGTGGCATGACAGCCACGTCTTGCTCCAGTTCGCCCATCCATAGTCTGAGAATCAGATTGCCTGCCTTGCAGCATTGTGGCGAGAATTAGGAGACAATATGTGGAAATGTGCCTTATATACCTAAAAAATGTCCACGAATGTTCATACAGTTTTATTCACAATAGCCAAAAATTGGAGACAACCCCAATGTCCATCAACAGGTGAGTGAGAAACAAACTGTGGTACATCCATACAATGGAATGCTGCTCAGCCGCAAAAAGAAACAAACTATTGATACCCACGGCGTGGGTGACTCGCAAAACAATTACGCTGAGTGGGAAAAAAAAAAGTCAGACAAAAGAAGAATATATGCTGTGTGATTCCATTTTTATAAAATTCCAAGAAAAATGCAAACTAATCTCTTGTGACAGAAAATAAATCAGTGGCTGCTCAGAGATGGGGGTGGAGTGGGGAGGGAAGGATGGATTACAAAGAGTCCCCAGGAAATTTTGGAAGCGATAGATTGTTATGGGCTGAGCTGTGTCCCACCCCCAACCCCGCCAAAATGTATATGTTAAGTCCCAGCCCCTAGTACTTCAGAATGTGATTGCATTTGGAGACAGGATTTTTCAAGAGGTGATTAAGTAAAAATGAGGTCACTGGGGTGGGCCCAAATCCTGTATAGACACAGAGAAGACCATGTGGGGACACAGGGAGAAGATAGTCCTGGGGAGAGGCCTCAGAAGAAACCAAACCTGCTGACACCTTGATCTTAGACTTCCCAGCCTTTAAAAACTATGAGAAAACATGGTCGGGCATGGTGGCTCCTGCCTGTAATCCCAGCACCTTGGGAGGCAGAGGTGGGCAGATCACCTGAGGTCAAGAGTTCCAGACCAGCCTGCCAACATGGTGAAACCCCATCTCTACTAAAAATACAAAATTTAGCCGAGCATGGTGGTGCATGCCTATAATCCCAGCTACTTTGGAGGCTGAGACAGGAGAATCGCTTGAACCCAGGAGGTGGAGGTTGCAGTGAGCTGAGATTGCGCCACTGCACTCCAGCCTGGGCGACGGAGCAAGACTCCATCTCAAAAAAAAAAAAAAAAAAAAAAAAAACTATGAGAAAATAAATTTCTGTTGTTTAAGCCACCCAGTATGTGGTACTTTGTTATGGCAGCCCTCGCAAACTAACAGATATCAACACCTGCATTGTGGTAATGGTTTTATATTTGTATACATACATCAAAATTCATCAAATTGTACAACTTAAGTATGGGCAGGGGCAAGGTGCAGTGGCTCATGCCTGTAATCCCAGCACTTTGGGAGACCATGGCAGGAGGATCACTTGAGGCCAGGAGTTCAAGACCAGCCTGGGAAATATAGCAAGACCCCCATCTCTTAAAAAAAAAAAAAAAAAAATTAAAATTAGCTGAGCATGGTGGTATGTGCCTATAGTCCCAGCTATCTGGGAGGCTGAGGTACCTGAGCAACATAGCAAGACCCTCAATCAATCAATGCAGTTTATTGTATGTCAATTACACCTCAATAAAGCTATTCTTAAAACCTACTACTAGGCCGGCCGCGGTGGCTCACGCCTATAATCCTAGCACTCTGAGAGGCCAAGGTGGGCGGATTGCCTGAGATGAGGAGTTCAAAACCAGCCTGGGCAAGACGGTGAAACCCCATCTCTACTAAAAATACAAAATCAAATATCCAGGCATGGCGGCGTGTACCTGTAGTCCCAGCTACTCAGGAGGCTGAGGCCGGAGAATCGCTTGAACCCAGGAGGCGGAGGTTGCAGTGAGCCGAGATCATGCCACTGCACTTCAGCCTGGGCAACAGAGCGAGACTCCATCTCCAAAAAACAACAACAAAAAAAAACCGCTACTAAGTTATTGTTTTAGTTTAATTAATCAAGCACTCACCCAGCACCCATGCCAAGTGTTGACTCTGGTTGTGACGCTGCAGGGAAGACCCAGTGCTGGACAGCTCTACAGTAGAGGCCCAGAGAGGGCAGAGTATCTGGATTTGCCCAGTGTCATGCAGAGGGTCATCGGCAGAGCCAGAGCCATGCAGAGACCTCCGCCTTCCTGTCCAGGCCCGTGCATCTCAACCTTGCCTACACCTTTGAATCACCTGGCAAGATTATTTTAAACTCCCCACACCTGAGTTGCCACATCAATTGAATCAGAATATGGGAGAGCGAGACCGGGCCTGGATAGTTTTTAAAGCTCCTCAGGTGATTCCAATGTGTATCCAAGGTTAAGCAGCCACTGCTTCCCCGAGGAAGCCTATTAGAGAAACAAGCTTCTTACAGCACCTGTCTGAGCTCAGCCAGGCACACAGATGTACCCACCTACACTGATTGGGAAACCTAATTGCCTTAAGGTTCTTTGCCGAGCCAGTCTGGACTTAATCATTCTGTCACATCAAAATATTTACTCCAAATAGTCATTACCACCTGGAAGGGGCTTGTAAGTAGCTAGGGAAGAGGGGTGAGGGGAGGCAGCAGAGTTCAGCACACCCTGTAAGCTAAGCAGGCTATCTGCAGAGGCTGCTGATCTTGGCATCCAACGCTCAACTATCCCCCAAGAGATTCTTTGAGTTAAGTGTTTGCACTTTAATGCTCCAAGGACTGAATCATCCAATTCTTCCTGGTGCAGGTGCTAGGGCTTGGGAACATATGATAGATGATTTCCGTAAAGTGAGTGATTTGCATAGAGTGGAAAATTTGCATGCAGTAAATCGCTAAGGGGAGGATAAAATTATGGTCCAGAAATGGCCTAAAATAATGTGTTAATTTGTAGCCCTGGTGTAACAGGAACGCTTCTCTGAAAAGTGAGCCCCTGCCTTCAAAGACAGAAAGCTGCCCACTTCCTGGCAATCAAGGCTCATGTCCTGAGAGTCCTGTGGGACTAAGAATGACAGGACAGAAGGACGTGTGGGACCACTCACCAGGCACCCGACCCTTCCACACCACTACTTCTTCCCGGCTCAACACTATCAGCACATTTCATTCAAGCCCAAATATTGCTCCCATGAGGTGCTTCTCCACTGGACTGTGAGCTCCTTGAGGGCAGGAGATATACACAATTCAGCTCCATTCCCCAGCATCGAGCAAAGGGCACAGCATTGTACCAGTTGGGAATGTTTTCAGCTGCAAGTAACAGAAAACGTCACTAAAAACTGCTTAAACCATAAGAATGTGTATTGTTTACTTAAGAAGTTCAGATATATGTTGGGGGAGGGGTAACTCAACAATGTCTTCAAGAGTCATCAAAGCACTCCTGGGGCTCTTTCCACTCATCCTCATGTCTGCTCTCAGGATATCAAGATGGCTGCCTCAACATCTTTGCAAGTTAATGCACAAAGCAGGAAGGAAGGAGACTTGCAACTAAATGGCTGCTCTATCTTATTAGGAAGTAAAGTTTCCCAGAAGCCCCAGCGGACATCCCTTTCCTCTATTCACCAAAGCTGAGTCACATGTCGACTTCTAGACCAATCACTATCAAAAGGTAAGAGGACTGAAGCGGGGCACATTTCTTCTGGAGCAGAATCAAGATTCTCTTAGCAGAGAAGAATCAAAGAAAGGCTGTTGGGTAGAAAACCAATGATATCCATCAGTAAAATAAATTTCTATTAATGAAGATGTGAAGCAGTGACTCTTGGGAATTAAGTGGTGGCTCCTCTTTCCCCCAACCCTGAATCCAGATATTGGGTTCCTATCACAATGGAATGTGAGCAGATATAAACTGCATCACTTCTAGCCCATGTAGGTAAGAGCTGGTATACCTTCTAGGGCCCTCTTTCTTTCTTTCCCTGCTGCAGGGATGTCAAATAATCATGTGTTGAGATGCAGGTATCTCAGAGAGCCTGAATGGCTGAATCACCAGAGGAAGGAGAGCACCCAGAGGCTCCATCAGACATTTCAGAAGCAAGAAATAAACTTTCATCTTGTTCAAACACCAGCTTTGAGGATTGATTTGTACAGCAGCATAACCTACCCTATCCTGATTCACACAACTAGGACACAGGTTCCCATTTGGTCCTGAGCAAAAAAATTAGAACTCTTTCTAATATCAAGAAGTCTAGAGCCCCTAGAAGACTGAGGTTCTCAGTATGCTTTAATCCAATCTCAACCAATAATTCATTAGGCAAGTTACCTTAGCCTGTCAGTATTGCTATTTCCCCATCTAAGTGAAAATAATAATAATACCTGCTTCATAGGATAATTATGACTAAAGAGAGAAGACCTAGGAATTTTACTCACAGGAATTTATTCTACTTACGAACTTATACCTGTATGCAACGGAATACAGGGAGGATTTTTATTTCTGGGTTTTCTATAAGAGCAAAAGACTGGGAACAACCTAAATATCCCTCAAAAGGAAGGTGTTTTAATAAATTATGGCACATCTACAAAACAAAAAAACATGTCACTTTAAAAAAATAAAGTAGATCTATTTAGGATAAAATGAAAAAACTTGCCAAGATATATCCTTCCCTGTAAAAAAAAAAAACAAGAAACAGCATGAGATGTATAAAATGTAGCCATTTGTTTTTATTTAAAGAGCAGTCTCATATATGATTGCTCATGGATTTTTTAAATTCTAGAAGAATGTGCAAGAAACAATGTTTCTGAGGAGAGAAACAGACTGGGGTAAGAAGAGAGCTTATATTTTTATAGCATATCTTCTTATACATATTTTATTTTATTTTATTTTATTTTTTGAGATGAAGTTTTGTTCTTTGGCCTAGGCTGGAGTGAAGTGGTGCGATCTTGGCTCACTGCAACCTTCATCCCCTGGGTTCAAGCAATTCTCCTGCCTCAGCCTCCCAAGTAGCTGGGATTACAGATGGCCACAACCACACCTGGCTAATTTCTGTATATATATATATATATATATATATATATATATATATATATATACACATATATATACAGTTTTATATATATATACACACATATATACAGTTTTATATATATATATATATATATATATATATAACTTTTTAGTAGAGACGGGGTTTCACCATGTTGGCCAGGCTGGTCTCAAACTCCTGGCTTCAGGTGATCCACCTCCCTCAGCTTCCCAAAGGTCTAGGATTACAGGTGTGAGCCACCGCACCTGGCCAATTATTTTTAATAAAATAAATAATAATGTAAATTAAGTGCTTACCACTCAGTGACAATACATTTTTAAATTTTAATATTTATTAAATTAAAATATTTTCAAATTTAATTTTAATTTCAAGCATATTAAATATTATTGTTATTGATAGTGTTACTTTAATAAAAGAATATTTATGCTCCGTGCAGTGGCTCACGCCTGTAATCCCAGCACTTTGGGAGGACAAGGAGGGCAGATCACAAGGTCATGAGGGTCATGAGATCGAGACCATTCTGGCTAACATGGTGAAACCCTGTCTCTACTAAAAATACAAAAAATTAGTCGGGCGTGGTGGTGGGTGCCTGTAGTCCCAGCTACTCGGGAGGCTGAGGTAGAAGAATGGTGTGAACCCGGGAGGCGGAGCTTGCAGTGAGCTGAGATCACGCCACTGCACTCCAGCCTGGGCGACAGAGCAAGACTCGGTCTCAAAAAAAAAAAAAAAAGGAATATTTATGTCTTTTGCCCAGCATGACATTTCCAGGGCCCCTCCCTCTAGCTCCTTTGGAAGGCCTGTCTCCAACCTCCTTGATTTCTCTTTCTCCAAGGACAGTGAGAAACAGGAAAATCTGAAGACCAAGCTCCTATTTTTGATCTTCTCTGGAAGTAACAATTCCACCTGGATACATCCATGAGTAAACACAGCCCAGGCTGCCTCTCAGAAAAGATATGAGGCTCAGCTAGAGGTTCTGGGAATGTGGTAAGCTCTCTGCAGCAGATGGAATTCTGCTGCTGTGCCCAAGGAGATGGTTCTCAGAGAAATATCTGTCCTTGAACCACAGTTGCAACTCCAGAGTTTGTAGTGGAAGGTGACTGCCATCGCTGCTACTGTATGTTCTGCCTCCTGGGACTGGCACAAGCAAGGAATCCTGAAAAAAACACTTCTTCCCCATGGGGGCCACCCTGCCAGCCTGGCGTGGCTGAGCAGGGAAGATGTCAGTGTGGCAGGCTGAATAACAGTCCCCAAAATGTCCATGTCCTAATCCCTGGAACCTGTGATTGTTACCTGATAGGGCAAAAGGGACTTTGCAGAGGAGATTAAGTGAAGGATCGCAAGATAGAGAGGTTATGCTGGACATCTGGGCAGGCCCGATGTAATCACGATGGTCCTTATAAGAAGGACAGAGAAGGAGTCAGAGTCAGAGAAGGTCACGTGACAATAGAAGCAGAGAGAGATTTGAAGATGCTATGTTTTGAAGATGGAAGAAGAAGCCAAGACCCAAGGAATGGAACTCCAGATGCTGAAAATGTCAAGAAAACACATTCTCCCCTAGAGACTCCTGAAGAAACAGAGCTCTGCTGCTATGTCTGAATATGTGTGTCCACCCAAATTCATATGTTGAAATCCTAACCCCCAAGGTGATGGTTTTAGGGGATAGGGTCCTTATATAAGAGGCCTAAAGGAATTTGTTTGTCCCTTCCACCATGTGAGGGCACAGCCAGAGGGTACTATCTTTGAAGCAGGGAGCAGGCCCCTCATCAGACACCAAATCTGCCAGCATCTTGGACTTCTCAGCCTCCAGAAGTATGAGTAATGATTTATGTTGTTTATAAATTGCCCAGACTAAGATAGCTGCCCAAACACACAAAGGCACCTGCCAACACCTTGGCTTTCACCTAGTAAAATACATTTCAGACTTCTGATCTCCAGAACTGTAAGATAATACATTTGTGTGGTTTAAAGCTGCTAAGTTTATGGTAATTTGTTACAACAACAATAGAAAACTAATACAGCTAGAGTCCACTTCTCACTGCCTCTCCACTCATCTCTATTCACCTTCTGCTCTCAGCTGCCTTCTCAACCAAATGTGACCCTCATGGTTCCAAGACAGCTGCTGCATCTTCACACTTTACATCCTTTCAACTTCAAGTCCTGGAAGAGTCATCTTGACTAATTTAGGCCATCTGCCCACCCTCTGGCTCTACTAGGATATGAGAGGAAGGATTTGACTGAAGAAATGGTAGGACCCTTAGATCCTGCAGTGGGAGAGCAAATCAAGTCTGCACACCATGGCAGTAAAGTCATGGTAAAGAGCAAGGATTGGGCTAGACTGCTTGTCACTAGACTGCTTGTCACTACTGTGTGACCCTGGGTAAATTACTTGACCTCCCTATGCCCCTTTTGCATAGGGATAATAATAGCCCTCAGCTAATAGGGCTATTATGAGGACTAACTGAGTTAACAAATGTGAAGCTTTTAGAACAGCCCCGGAACATAAAAGAGTTATAATGGGATTTTATTATGATCCTCCCAGAGGAAGTCAGATGTTTTGAAGAAGAAGGATTAGATGCTGAGTGGCCAAAAATATTGATGAATCTCCACCTTGGAAATGGGACTCTGGACAGGACAATGTGTATTTGTCTATTTCTAAAGCTCTAATGCAGGCTTTCCAAGGCCCAAAACTTGTTGCAGTGGATCCGACAAGGTTTAGAGCTCCCCGTCCAGCTTGGCCATGAGTAACACAGATGGAGGGTTAAGGAGGGAGGAGGAGATGGCAAGGAAGATTGAAGCTGGAGAGAGCCAGCCCTAAGGTTCAATCAGAACCTTCAGCACACATTCATATGGTCAATATGGACTGGATGCTGGGGACAGATAGAGGATTAGACACTGGCCCTGACAAGCAGAGGAGGATGAGAGAGGCTCAGAACTATAAAATGACAATGCAGCTAATCAATGTGAGCATTAGTGTATTTACAAAGGACTATGGCTGCACAGAGGAGAGGCTGGCTCACTGCCCAGAAAATCCTGGAAAGGCTTTGGAGAGGGGGTGCAATGTAAGCTGGGTCTTAAAGGATATCTGGGCAATCTCTGGACAGAGAACGTGGGGAAGGCATCCCAGCAGAGAGAACAGCTTGTGCAAAGGCACAGAAGTGTGGGCATCATTGCTGAGGGAAGGGACACTTTTAGATCCTGGTCCTTCAGCAGGGTTGCTGTCCTAGCCAAGGACTGGGGTGAGTCAGCAGGCCGAATGAATAACACGCAGCCTCCTTCCCCAGCCTACAGGCTCTGCATGATCTGTCCTCTGCCTTCTCTGGTCCCCCACTGACCCCTACCCTGCCCCCACCCGGAACCATGCTCCCCCCACCAGCCTTCTGTTCCTGAGATTCACCAAGCTCAGTCCTGCCTGGTTACTCCCCTGCCTAGAACACACCCCCCTACCCCCAGCACATTCTATGGCCAGCTCCTTTATGTAATTAGGTCTCCATTCAAGTGTCACCTGCCCAGAAAAGTCCTCCCTGATCACCAGAATGAAACAGCCACCCTTGATCATAATGCTCATCCTTCACTAAAAGTCTTATTCATTGACTTGATTTTTGATCCACCCTCCCTCTAAAGGGTAAACTCCATGAAGGCAGGGCTCATGTTTATTTGTTCTCTGCTGTGTCCCTGGTGTCTTGGAATATGCCTGACACATTGTTGGTCCCTGTGATGATTAATTTTATGTCTCAACTTAACTGGGCCATAGGGTGCCCAGATATTTGGTCAAACATTATTCCAGGTGTGTCTGTGAGGGTGTTTTTGAATGAGATTAACATTTAAACCAATGAGCTGAGTAAATTAGGTTGGCTCTCCCCAGTGTGAGTGGGCCTTGTCCTATCAGTTGAAGGCCTGAATAGAAAAAAAGGCTGATCCTCTCCCAAATAAGAGGGAATTATTCCTACTCAGCAGTCTTCAAACTGGACTTTGAGTTTTTCCTGCCTTTATGCTAGAGCTTAAACATCAGCTTTTTTTTGGTCTCAAGCTTGCTAGCCTTCAGACCACAACTACACCATTGGCCCTCCTGAGCCTCCAGCTTGCCAACTCACCCTGCAGATCTTGGGACACGTCAGCCTCCATAATCATGTAAGACAATTTCTTATAATGCATGTCTTTGGTTCTATTTCTGTTGGTTCTATTTCTCTGGAGAACCTGACTAATCCAGTGCTCTATGAATGTGGAATGAATGAGTAAAAGAATAAATAAACAGCGACTTACAAATCCTCTTTCAAAGACAAAGTCTATGCCAGAGAGTCTAACTCAAAAAAAGCAACATAGAGCCCGAGGGGGGCTTCCTGGAGCCACTCCCAGGGACTTGCATGTACCTGCAGGTTTCTGGGCAAAGAAAGAGTGGCGCTCCAAATGAAGGATTGGCTCTCCTGGTCATAGCCTGGGCTTGAGCTTCTTTTCATATTTACTTCTCCCTTCCCTTTTCCTCTGATCCATCAGGAATGGCTTCCCTGGGCCAACCAGCACTTCCCAACATGACTGCATGACCAGCTGGGCTAGAGTGTGGTCCTTCCTAGTGCATCCTTGTGCAAGATAATGATTGTTCACCAGCTCTGAATCAACCAGACCCAGGTCAGGGAGCCAGCTTAGCCAGGATGTCAATAAAACATAGAAAGCTGTCATGTAAAGGTTTTCCCTTTCATATTTCTGCTTTAACACTGCTCACAAGGTTTCAAAAGCACAAGTATGATCAACTTTCTTGAGCTGCCACCTCCCATGATGTTGTTTGTCACAAAGCATTCCTAAGCATCTGCATGCAGTGTCCCCATGCATTCTTCCCATGCAGGGATCCTGCAGATAGTCCCTTTTCTAACTTAATAACTACCTTTTTTAAAATGCTACATATCAGGTACTAAGCTAAGCATTTCCCATTATGATATCTCATTTGACCCTCAAGAGAACTCTAGATGTGGGATCTGCAGCACAGTTCTCTGGGTGGCCTTAGACCAAGACAGTTCTCCCCCCATTTCTTATCTGTAGTTCTCAAGAATAACTGCAGGACATGCTGGAAATAAAACATCCTGAGATAAGAGGGGAGCTGGTCAGGACAGTCCAGGCTCTGTTCCAATCCCTCCCTAGAAATGAGATGTCCTTCCAGGCTTAGCCCAGAGGGTCTTGTAACCCCGAGGTATAAAACTCAGTGTGGGCTGCTTTCTGAGGTCCCTCAGCTGCTATGAAAGTGGAGCACATGCAGTTGAGACTCCATCCACCCAGGCAGCTTTCCTGAACCTTGGAGGACTGGGTGGCAATGAATCCTCGGTTTCTGTTGTCCCTTGCTGCCTGCCTATCTGTAAGTAATAAGCTTGTTTACTTAACTTGTTGTGAGCATGGGTGTTCTGTCTCACCAAACTCAGACCAGTGGGTAACCAGCGCACAGGAAACCTTCTTTACAGAGTCTATTAATAAAGAAGGGGAAACCAAGGATCAAAGATGTCATTTGTGGCTGGGAGCGGTGGCTCACGCCTGTAATCCCAGCACTTTGGGAGGCCGAGGCAGACGGATCACAAGGTCAGGAGATTGAGACCATCCTGGCTAACACGGTGAAACCCCGTCTCTACTAAAAATACAAAAAAAAAAAAAATTAGCCAGGCGTGGTGGCGGGTGCCTGTAGTCCCAGCTACTCAGAAGGCTGAGGCAGGAGAATGGCTTGAACCCAGGAGGTAGAGCTTGCAGTGAGCCGAGATGGTGCCACTGCACTCCAGCCTGGGAGACAGAGCGAGACTCCATCTCAAAAAAAAAAAAAGATGTCATTTGCTAAAGACCAGAGAGCTAGTGAACAGCAAAACCTGCACTGCTAACTACTATATATGTCCTACGGTGGCCCTGTTGCAGAGAAGAAAAGAATCATCTGAATCAGAGGACAATATTTTAATCCAAAGGCTACGTGGCTACAGGTTGAAAGCAGAAATCAGAGCTATCCACAGGTGCAGGAGCCAGTGGGCCATCATCCATCAGCAGTGGGAGATGGCATTGGCAACCAGGGCTGAGGTTTGCTGGGAGCCAAGCTCTGGGCTTCAGCAGCCACATCTCATTTTCCTGAGGTCATAGCAGAAGCTCTGCTCCTCTGCCTCTCAAGTCATCAATTCTGACCCTGGCATCCAGCTACAAAAGTGATTTTACAGCATCTTGGGGATTTTGTGTAAAACCAAATTTAGGCATCAGGACAGTTAAAGGACACCCCACCCTCTTGCTATGACCTGGAAGGAATTTGCTTTACCTCTTTTCTATGAGATTGCAGATCCATTCCAAAGCTCTAAAGTCTAGCAGGCAAATGGGAGGCATGTGTGGCATTGGTGAGTCTGGGCTCTGCCCTAAAGAGCCAAACATTTTAAGAGAAAATGTTGAGAAAGGACCTCAGTACTTAGAATCTGAAGACTTGGATTTGAGTCTTCAATATATCACATAGTCTTTCTGGGTCTCAGCTTCCATTTCTCAAAAACAGTAGCAATATCTCCACCAGCATCTACTTTACTGCTTGGCTGTCCGTGCTCCAGGGAAACTGCAGAGGTCAGTCCAAGGTCAAGAGTATCCATCCTTAACAACCCAGAACCTCTTTCACAAGCCAAACAGAACCTAATTGTTGGAAGACAGCCAACTCTCACTCCAAAAAATAGCAATGTGTTCTATTGAAAATGCAATGTTTTAGTAGTTTAATTTCTATGCATTTTAGCTTTGGAAATTAAATTCAAGTTTGGAAAATTAATTTTTTTAATGTAAATTGGCTTTGGCTGTGAAAGCGCTGAGATCAAGTTCTGGGGTGTGGCCTTCAGTGATAATGATCATATTTGCATATCAATGGCCTCTCACTTCATTTGCTGCCTTGGCCAGCCTCTGAGCTTAGATGGCTCAAGACAGAATGGAAATATGGGAGAAATACTAGTCGTTCTTCCTTTTCAAAAGTTTAAGTATAGGAAGTGCTTTGAAATAAAAATTTCCCCCATGGACTTTTGAAGTCAGACTGAGCAGATAAAATAGATAATATTTTATCAAACTTACCAAGATTATAAGAGAGTACGGAATAAATTCCTTAATGTTTGCATGGGTGCACATGCCCTTTGGAATTCTCACTGGGCCTTCTAGAGATGATTCATGCACCCCCAAATATTTATTGAGAGTTCACTTAGTGCCAGGCACTGTGCTACGTGATAAGGCTACCCAGAGGAAGAAGACAGATGTGATCATTGTCCTTTGGAGCTTGGAAGTAGGAAAGGCAGATCTGAATGAAATGTTGAACAACTGTAGAAATATTATCTGTAATAAGAGCTCAGAGTAAAAAATAGAGTATTCTAAGAGTGTATAAGAGGGGGCTTCCATGAGTGAAGGGACTGATGAGCAAAGACATGAAGGAAGAACACACGTGAAGGGAATCAGTGTGTGTGTGTGTGTGTGTGTGTGTGTGTGTGTGTGTGTGTGTGTCTTGGGAAGAAGGAAGGGAGAGGAATTGTTTGGGGTTTAAGAAACAGAAAGACAGTGTAGCAGCAGTGCAGACAGCAAGAGGAAGAATGGTATACTTGAATGCTATGGACAGTGGCCAGGAGCCTGAGAAAAGATTTTTTTCTTTTTTGAAAGAGCAGTAAGAATCCATTAAAGGGTCCTAAGTAGGGGGACAGGTGATCAGATTTACACTCTTAAGAGATATTTTGGTTGCTGTATGGAGATGAGATTCAGAAGTGTGCCTGTGTGGAAGCCAAGAGATCTGCTAGGAGGGTGTAGTAGAATCATGGCTTGGACTAAGCTGGTAGTAGAGTAGATGGAGAGAATGAATGGATTTGATCATTATTTAGGTGGTCAAAACAGCGGGACTTGGTGATGGACTGGCTACAGGAGGAGGGGGAAAAGAAGCTGGCATCAAGGATGATGTCCAGGTTTCTAGCTCACATAACTGAGTGGGTGGTGGTGTAGACTCATGGGGATGTAGACTCATGCTGGGGGGAAGGGGACTGGTGTAGAGACTCAAGAGTTGAATGCTGAACATGTTAGCATGAGGGATCTTTGAGACCACCTTTGAGATGAAAGTAAGTAGCTGAGTATCAGGACTGTGTTTAGGGAAGCAGGCTGGGCTAGAGATGGACATGTGAGAACCCTCTTAGCCTTGGAATGAGCTGGGATTAGATGGTGTCAGAAAAGTGACAAGCCCTTTCCTGTGTCCTTTTAAGGTTGACACAGTGCTTTAAGAGCCTAACACAGAAAGGTAAAGTAAGTTTCCGTAAAACCCAGAAATGATATTGCAAAATTCCTCTTTGAATCATGTCTGGAGTCACAGCTGAAGAAAAAAAAAAGAAAAAGAAAAAGGAGAATAAGAAATGAGCCTCAGGTAACTCCAACATTCCTGCTCTGTAAAACTGTCTCCACCACAAGTTGTGGCCCTTGGCCCATGCAGTTCTTCTATGTGCCGTGTGTGATATGCTTGCACCTCACTGCTGATGTACTTTTTCTCTTTTCCAGTCCAAACCTTTCTTTTTACCCTCTGATTGGATAATTTCATATATTTTGTTTTCAAGCTTGCTAATTCTTTCCTCAGTTTGATCAAGTCTGCTGTTGAAGCTATCTAATGCGTTTTTCAGTTCAGTTATTCTAGTCTGTATTCCTAGAATTTCTATCCGATTTTTTAAATTATTCCTATGTCTTTGTCAAATTTCTAATTTTGTTCCTCGATTGTTTTCCAAGTTTTTTTGTTTGTTTGTTTGAGACTGAGTCTCACCCTGTTGCCCAGGCTGGAGTGCAGTGGCACGATCTCAGCTCACTGCAACCTCTGCCTCCTGGGTTCAAGTGAGTCTCTTGCCTCGGCCTCCCAAGTAGCTGGGATTACAGGTGCGCACCACCACGCCTGGCTAATTTTTGTATTTTTAGTAGAGACGGGGTTTCGCCATGTTGGCCAGGCTGGTCTTGAACTCCTGACCTTGTGATCTGCCTGCCTCGGCCTCCCAAAGTGCTGGGATTACAGGTGTGAGCCACCACACCCACCCTGTTTTCCAAGTTTTATTTAATTTTCTATTTGTATTTTCTTATGATTCCCTTAACTTGTTTAAGAGGATTCTGAATTCTCTGTCTCACATTTCATAGATCTTCAATTCTTCTGGGCCTGTTGTTAGAACTTTGTTGGTTTTTTTTGGTGATGTCATATTTTCCTGAGTTTTCACAGTCTTTACATCTTTACACTGATGTTTGCATATCTGAGGAAACAGGCACCTCTTCTAGTTTTTGCAGGTGTTCTTTGCTTGTTTTAGACCTTTACTACTTAGTATTGGAATTTAAATGCTGGCCTGTTGTTTCTGCCCATTCTGGGGAGGACTTACAGCAAGCACCAGAACTAAAACACTGCACTGGAGCTAAATTGTTGCTTTGTCATTGTTTCTTGGTCTAGGGAAAACTTATAGTAAACACAGGAGGCTAAATGTTGCCCCAGAACTATATGGCCACCCTGCCATAGTTTCTCAGTATGGGGAAGACTTAAGCAGGTACTGGAACTTAATCCTGACCTTTTAGTTGTCTCCTGGCCAAGGAAACGCTTTCTGCAAGTACCTGGGCATTGTGGAAAATCCAGCCAGGCATTTGGGCCTTTCCATGGACTGTGCCCCTGCAGCACTATGACTCCAGCCAGTCTCTTCAACATGGCATCCCCACCAATCAGAGCACAGAGTAGCCACCAAGATCCAAGTGCCAGTGCTGCAATCGGCATCCTGCTCTTTGTCTCTAAGTCATCCCAGGTGGTTCAGCCCTCCCAGCACTCCCAAAGGTTCCCATGGGACAGGACCAGAGTGGACTTCCCTTGAAGATTCCCAGACCATGGAGAGATCAAACATCCACCCCCAATTCCCTCCTCTAACTCTTGAAACAATGGATTGGGGGAAATTCTCTGTCCGTAGCATTCTGCCTGGTTAGGGGAGGGGACAGCACAGTCTGAAATGATGACTTCCCTTACCGGTCACAGATTTTCTCAATTCTGTTCGTCCAGGGTTTTCTCCACTTCTCCTCCAAGTGTTGGTGTGTTGGTGAACTCAGGGTGGTATTCTGGTCTTGAATAGTTTCTAGTTGTATTTTTTTGAGAGGAGTGATGCCAAGGGATCTTCTACTCTGCCATCTTGGTTGACATCACACTAGTACAAACTTTTCATCAACACATCATCTACATAGTTTGTATTCTTGCTAAGGATATATAATCTGAATCTAATTACGAGAAAACAATCAGACAAATTGAGATTACAATTTACAATATACAAGTCAGGTAGTGTGGCCCTTTCAAAAGCGTCAATTTCATTACAGACAAAATTAAATTAAATTAAAATAAAAAACAAGGCTGGGCGCAGTGGCTCACGCCTGTAATCCAAGGTCAGGAGATTGAGACCATCCTGGGTAACACAGTGAAACCCCGTCTCTACTAAAAATACAAAAAATTAGCTGGGTGCGGTGGCGGGCGCCTGTAGTCCCAGCTATTCGGGAGGCTGAGGCAGGAGAATGGCATGAACCCGGGAGGCGGAGCTTGCAGTGAGCCGAGATCCGCGCCACTGCACTACAGCCTGGGCGACAGAGAGAGACTCTGTCTCAAAAAAAAACAAAAAAACAAGGAGACAGGCCAGGCGCAGTGGCTCACGCCTGTAATCCCAGCACTCTGGGAGGCCGAGGGGGGTGGATCACCTGAAAGGTCAGGAGTTCCAGACCAGCCTGGCCAACATGGTGAAACCCCGTCTCTATTAAAAATACAAAAATTAGCTAAGCACAGTGGCAGGCGCCTGTAATCCCAGCTACTGGGCAGGCTGAGGCAGGAGAATTGCTTGAACCCGGGAGGTGGAGGTTGCAGTGAGCCAAGATCGTGCCACTGTACTCCTATCTGGGCAACAGAGCAAGACTCTGTCTCAAAAACAAATAAAGCAAGGAGACAGTTCTGGAATCTTGATTTAAGGAAACCAAGGAGACATAACAACCAAAGGAATACATGACCCTTGACTGGATCCTCCTAAATTGAAAGGAAAAAATTATAAGGGTTATTTTAAGGACAATAGGGAAAATAGAAACATATTAGATAATATTATTGTATCAATGCTAAATTTCTTGTGAGTGATCATGCTATTGGAATTATGTAGGAGAATGTCCTGGTTCTCAGAAGGTATGTACTGAAGTGTTTAGGGATGACATGTTTGCAACTTTCAATTGGTTCAGGAAAAAAAAAAGTATATACAGAAAGAGAAATGACACAAATATGGGAATGCATTAACAAATTGGAGACTCTAAGTGAAAAGTATATGGGTATTCATTGTACTACACTTGCAAATTTTCTTTAAGTTTTAAATTTTTCAAGATAAAAAGTTAAAGAAATTGCAATGACTTCTAAGACCAACTATCCAGAGTTAGGCCAAACTTCACAAGCCATGGGTATAATCCTCCAGAAGACTGCCTTCACTTCAGACACCAGCTGCAAGTTTGGGGGTCCCCAGGCCACTCTCACATCTGATCAACTGGCTACAAACTCGGGAGTGCTCGTTACCCCCTCAAGTTTGATAACTCACTAGAATGACTCACAGAACTCAGGAAAGTTCTGTACTTACAATTGTAGTTTTATTATAGCACAAGGATATGAATCAGAACCAGCCACAAGGAGAATACATAGGCCAAGGTCTGAGAGGGTTCCAGATGCAAAACTTCCATTGTCTTCTCCTAGTGGAGTCAGGGCTTATTGCCCTCCCCGCACATTAATATGTGACAATACACAAGGTATTGCCAATCAGGGAAGCTCACCTAAATTACAGTGTCTAGAGCTTTTATTGGGGTCTTACTTTGTAGGAGCAATCGATTGAATCATTGGCTATGCCCCGTCTCCTCTTCCTCTGAGGAGTGATATCACATGGCTAAAAACCCCATCCCTCTAATCACACCATGGTTCTTCCTAGTGTGGCCCGCTCCCATATTGAGTCATCTCATTAGCTTAAACTATTGAGGTCCACCATGAAAAACGAAGACACTCTTCTCAATCAGAAAATTCCAATTATTTACAGGTTATCTACCTTCTAAGAACCCAGGACAAAGGCAAGCCAACGTTTTCATTTTTTCGTCCAGGCTGAAGTGCAGTGGCACGATCTCAGCTCACTGCATCCTCCACCTCCCAGGTTCAAGCAATTCTCCTGCCTCAGCCTCCCCAGTAGCTGGGATAACAGGCACCCATCACCACACCCAGCTGTTGTTTTTTTTTTTTTTTGTGTATTTTCAGTAGAGACAGGGTTTCACCAAGTAGACCAGGCTGGTCTCAAACTCCTGACCTTTGGTGATCTGCCCACCTCGGCCTCCCAAAGTGCTGGGATTATGGGCATGAGCCACTGCGCCTGGCCGAACTTTTTTATTACACAGAAATAAGAGTTTTTAAAATATTTTAAAATGCAAATATTTAAAACATCCATCTAGAACCACAGTAGGTGGGCCTAGAGCACTTGAACTTAAAAAAAAAAAAACTACTAGACTCCAGGGATATTGTTTCAGCTCCATGCTCCCTCCAAACAGCAGCGCAATCTGTTTGCATCTTGAATTCAAAGAGACCACTCAGGTGTCTCAACAGTTCCCATTTCAAAGGCATTAGGATTAAGTCATTTCACTTTTCTACACAGGGTCAGCCACAAACAGTAAATATACAGTTGTGTAGGAGTGACAAATGAAAGGAAATAATTTACATTTGTTGCCCAATACTTCCCAATTCAATTTACTATGCCAAATTCTTATGATAATCACAGCCTATACTGCTTCAATCAAATCAGATCCCTCTAACTCTCCAACCCAAACAGGGAGGAAGTCAGCATTCATGAGCAGTGTGAAAAATCACTGTATAATTGCAAATTAGAACCATAATCAGCCCTCTGGCCCCTGAGCCCTCTTCATCATGAGGCTGTGAACCAAGATGACTTCTTGTGAATATATCTGCAGGAGAAGAACGCCAAAGCACCGACAGAGAGCAAACCCTTGTTCATAGACCCAGTGGAGAGAACAGAGGGAAGAAATGTTTGTGAAAAATGAAACAAGGAGGCTTGTTATTCAGCAAATGGGGGCTCTAGGAGATCAGTGTTCTCTCTATAGCTAGTTTTTCTTTCTTTCTTTCTTTCTTTCTTTCTTTCTTTCTTTCTTTCTTCCTTTCTTTCTTTCTTCTTTCTTTCTTCCTTCTTTCTTTCTTTCTTTTCTTTCCTTCCTTTCTTTCTTTCTCCTTCCTTCCTTCCTTCCTTCCTTCCTTCCTTCCCTCCTTCCTTCCTCCTTCCTTCCTTCCTTTCCTTCCTTCCTTCCTTCCTTCCTTCCTTCCTTCCTTCCTTCCTTCTTTCTTTCCTTCTTTCTTTCCTTCTTTCTTTCTTTCTTTCTTTCTTTCTTTCTTTCTTTCTTTCTTTCTTTCTTTCTTTCTTTCTTTCTGATGGAGTCTTGCTTGGTCGCCCTGGCTGGAGTGCAATGGCGCGATCTCAGCTCACTGCAACCTCCGCCTCCCGGGTTCAAGTGATTCTCCTGCCTCAGCCTCCCAAGTAGCTGGGATTACAGGTGTGTGCGACCATACCCAGCTAATTTTTTGTATTTTTAGTAGAGACGGGGTTTCACCATGTTGGCCAGGCTGGTCTCAAACTCCTGACCTCATGATCTGACCGCCTCGGCCTCCCAAAGTGCTGGGATTATAGGCGTGAGCCACTGCACCCAGCCACTAGTTTGTTTTTAAATACAAAAGTGATGACCGGGCATAGTGGCTCATGTCTGTAATCCCAGCACTTTGGGAGGCCGAGGCAGGTGTACCACCTGAGGTCAGGAGTTCAAGAACAGCCTGACCAACATGGTGAAACCCCATATCTACTAAAAATACAAAAAATTACCAGGGCGCAGTGGCAGGCATCTGTAATCCCAGCTACTCGGGAGGCTGAGGCAGGAGAATGGTTTGAACCTGGGAGATGGAGGTTGCAGTGAGCCGAGATGGCGCCATTGCACTCCAGCTTGGGCAACAAGAGCGAAACTCCGTCTCAAAAAAAACAGAAAAGAAAGAAAGTGATGCATGCATGTAGTATTTTTTGGTTTTTGTGCGTTTTGTTGTTGTTGTTGTTGTTGTTCAAACAGTAAAAGGAGTGACATTCAAAATATTTAATGACTGTTGCAACTAGGGCACAGACTAATCAGGATGACAGATTCCAAGCCACTATACTGTACTGGGGAGTACCTACTGTACAGCAGATTGGATATACAACAAAGAAAGAGGTCTCTCACCCCAGACTCCCAGCTGCACTCCCCAGAGGTAAACACTGTTTATTTCTTAGGACTTATTCCAGAAATGTTTCGTGCATCTACCAACATATCTCTGTGCCTATATACCCCTTTTTGTCTAGAGCATTGCTTTTGAAAACACCATACTGTTCTGGAGCATACTTTTTTCTTTTAACAGTGTATTTTGGCCAGATACTGTGGCTCACACCTGTAATCCCAACACTTTTCAAGGCCGAGACAGGTGAATCACTTGAGGCCAGGAATTTGAGACCAGCCTGAGCAACATAGCAAGACCCTGTCTCTGCCCAAAAAATAAATTAAAAATTTGCCAGGTATGCTGGTATGCGCCTGCAGTCCCAGCTACTCAGGAAGCTGAGATGGGAGAATCACTTGAGCCCAGGAGTTTGAGGCTGCGGTGAGCTATATGATCCAGCACTCCAGACTGGAAGACAGAGTGAGACAAACAAACAATGTATCTTAGACATTGTTTGCTCTACATCCGTAGCTCATTTCTGTTACACTTTAGCAATGCTACTCAAAGTTTGGTCTGTTTACCAGTGCAGAGACTGTTTGCTACTGGTTTGAGAAAAGATAAGGGAGGAGCTTGCACCAGAATGCAAATCAATTACGTCTCTAAGCGCACTGTTTATTTCTGTTGATATATACCCATGACCATTGAATAACGCAGGGGTTAGGGGCATCATCCCCCTATGCAATCGAAAATCCATCCATAACTTTTGACTACCCCCAAAATGTAACTATTAATATCCTACTGTTGACTGGAAACCTACTGATCAACATAAACAGTCGATTGACACATATGTTGTATGTTTTATGTATTATATACTGTATTATTACAAGAAACTAAGCTAGAGAAAATAAAATAATAAAATAAGGAAAATATATTTGCTATTCATTAGTTGGAAGTGGACTGTCATAAAGGTCTACATCCTCACCATCTTCACACTGAGTAGACTGAGGAGGAGGAGGAGGAAGAAAAGGAAACTTTGGTCTTGCTGCCTCCGAGGTGGCAGAGGTGGAAGAGGTGGAGAAGGGGAAAGGGAGGTAGGACAGGCAGGCATATTCGGTGTAACTTTCATTGAAATAAATCCACATATGAATGGACTTGTGCAGTTCAAACCCATGTTGTTCAAGGGTCAACTGTAAATATATATATATTTTGTCAGAAAGACTCTTGATAAAGTCATTGATTTACATTCTGGCTCAAGTTCTTTATCTCCTAGCAGACCAGTAACAAACAACAGGCTATCTATTTTGAGCAGTACAGCCCCAGAGCAAGTACTTTCATAAGTTATTTAACCAGTCCCCTCTTGATGAGCAATTGGGTTCATACAAGTGAACGTTCTTGTAGGCATACGTCTTCATGAACTTGGGAGAGGATTTCCGTAGGAGAGTCCTAGGAGTGGTATTAAGGTTGCGCAATTGATGAAAAAGCTGGTCATGATGGTGCCAGAGAGTTAAAAGTGACCTCAGAGTCACTTCTAAATCAAAAATAATGGGTTATTCAATGCGAAATTGAGTCGTCCAATTTTCACATTTCATTGATGAGAAAGCCAAAACCACAAAGGTAAAAGCAAGGCCCAATGTCTATCAAGTCAGTGTCAGGAATGGGCCCAACTCCTCTGAAAGGCACTGGGTGTCAGCAGAACAAAGACCTAGACACAAGGCCTTAAGGCCTGAGCTAAGGGGATGGATGGAATGACTCTGTCTCCCCCAGCAGTATAACTGGAAACAAGGGTATCTCAGTGTCTCCCCGGGGCCTAATCTACAGGAAATCCACGTTCTGTTTTAATGGGTGTTGCTGAGCTTCCTAGGAACACCTGTGAAGGAGACTGGAGCACACTCCTTGGGCCTGTCTTAAGCTGCCCCATGGAGGAAAGAAGGAAAAGGTCACATTAGACCAGGATATCCTAAGAAGGCAGATAATTTATTAATACCTCGAACTTTGAAGAGTTCAGTGATAGTGGGCTCTGGTCAGAGAAAAAAAGGAACTAAGAGCAAATGAAGGATCAAAATGATAGAGAACAGAGCTGTAGAAGACATGGATGAGGTAGAGGTTCCATAAAAGCTAAAGAAAGCGATCACAGATTTAGAAGGAGAAACAGCAATGGAGTCCTGGAAGCCAAGAGAGAAAAGTTCCAAGAAGGAATAAGCAGACAGCAGCAGCAAAAGTTGCAGAGGACTCAAACGAGATGAGGACTTTAAAAGAACCCGTGGATTTAGCAACATGGAAGCCACTGGTGGCCTCTTGGAGTCACTTCAGTAAAGCAGTGACAGCAGAATTCAGACTGCAGTGAATGGAGAAGGGGATGGGAAATGAGAAAATTGAGCCATTGAGTGTAGACGGTAATTCTTGGACAGACCGGTTGGGAAAGAAGAGAGAAAAAAAGGAGAGTAGAAGGTGGCTGCTGGGGGACATAAGAGTGTATCCTGTAAGAACTTTACTCAATCTCTGCATGCACAGGCAGGTCACTCACTCTCAGGGCCAGAGGTCGCTGGGGAGAGAAAGGGGAGTCCCAGCTCCCTGTACCAGCCTTCGCTGAATCGTGATTCCCTGAAGATTTGTATAAATTTTCCATAGTAATAGAACTCTGTGCCCATACTGTTTGCAAGATGTGTGCATGGGGTATGATAATAACAATAGCCACCATTTATTGAGAGCATATTTATGCAAAGCTAAGAGTTTTACATAAATTATCTCATTTAATCCTTACAACAACTCTGCGAGGTAAGCCTTATAATTTTTTCTTCAATTCAAAAATGGTAAAACCTGAGACACAGAAGCCTTAATTAGCCTGCTACAGGTCATCCAGCAAATAAATGCAGCAATGGGATTCAAACCCCAGTTCATCACACTCCAATGCCTGTGCTCCTATTAAGCCAGAGTCCCTCAAGCTGGACTCTATGAATCACATGCAACAGGCTCATGTGGGAGCTTTACAAAAATCCAAAAGCCCAGGTTCCATGAAAGATGTACTGACTTTTTAAAAATAAAAACTGGAGCCCAGAATCTGAAATCTCCACAAATGATACTATCAAGCTCTGCAAATGATTCCTATGCTCACGGAAGTCTTCTAAGGCAAAGTATCTACCTCCTTACTGTGTGAGCTGCCTGCTCTTGGTCTTCATCCACCTTAGGATTCACATGGGCTTCCTGAGGATAAAGAGAGCCTGGACTGCTTGTTTGAGATAAAGTAGCTTCCCAAGGCCTTAACCTGGACCTACTGAGCGAGCATGTCCACGGGGAAGGCCAGCAGTCTGTTATATATATTTAGCAAGCTCCCCAGGCAATTATTATCTTCAGAGAAGACTGAGAAACTCTGTTCAGTTATTCACAGCTAAAACTATCCTAAGTGCCACCCTGGGGTCTAATTTAGGTTCTAACACTTAATCATTCTGTGCTTCACTTTCTATAAAATGGGCATAAATGTGCCTGCCTGGCAGAGCTGTTGTGAAGAATAGATACCGTACTAAATAGGATTAGAATTATCTGCTTATAACAAAAACAAAATAACAATGGCTTAAACAAGGGGGTTTATTTTTCTCTCAGGTCTAAGTCTAGAGGTAAGCAATCCAGAGCGGGTATGAGGTCTGGGAGGAAAGTGTCTTGCTGTTAGTCTGCCCTTTCATCAGTAACACATTGCCTCTTGACACAAAATGGCAACTGAGGCTGCAGCCATTTTGTCTATAGCCCTGGGTAAAGAGAAGAGAAGAAGGGATTCACCACCCAGGCAGGCCAGATCCCCTTAAGGGGAGTATCTGGAAGGTCCTCGTGATACTTCTGGTTTATATTGCATTGATCAGAACTTAGACACAGGCCCACACCTAGTTGCAAAGAAGGCTAGGATCTTTTCATTCAATATCAGGTCTTTGCCACCCCAAATAAATCAGGCTTCTGTTATTTAAAAAAAAAAAATACAAAAAAAAAAACAAAAAAGAGGAAAATAAATATTGGTGTTTCAGCCAGGCTCAGTGGCTCACGCCTGTATTCCCAGCACTTTGGGAGGCCGAGGCAGGTAGATCTCCTAAGGTCAGGAGTTCAAGACCAGTCTGGCCAACATGGAGGAACCCCATCTCTACTAAAAATACAAAACTTAGTGGGGCAAGGTGGTGTGCGCCTGTAGTCCTAGCTGCTTGGGAGGCTGAAGCACAAGAATCGTTTGAACCCAGGAGGCAGAGGTTGCAGTGAGCTGATATCATGCCACTGCACTCCAGCCTTGGTAACAGAACAAGATTCTGTCTCAAAAAAAAAAAAAAAAAATTGGTGTCTCAGTCACAAGAATGTGCCTCTGCAAACTTCTCACTGCAGGGAGCTGAGGGCACCAGCTGCTGTGCTTTAAAATCCATTGGCCACGCCTCCCCTGGAGATGCACCCCACCAATGACGGAGTGCTGAGTACAGAGTCAGACCCAGTCCTAACAGACAAGAGACTCCTTTGCTAGCTGACTTTGGCTCAAGGACTCCCTGAGGGTTTTGCAGAACCTTTGTTAGAATGCTCCTTCCTTCAGAATGCCAACAACCCAGGCTTCTCTCCCTCTCTCCTTTTCTTGGGGCTGGTGGCTCTCCTGGCCTTCTCTAGCTCCCTCCCTCCTTCCTTTCACACAAGCATTTCCCCTTGTAAAACAACTGCATGTTTCATCCCATCTTGGTGTCCATCTCTCAAAGTAGCTGACTAACAAAAATGGCAAGGCAATTCACAGTTCCCCGCCCAGATTTAGTAATGCACATAACACTTGTGGAACTTGGTGATGGGAATGGAGTAGGCAATAAATAATAGCTATGCGGAGGGAGAAGAAGGAAGTAGTGCAGGGCCAACCATGGAGAAAGGAATGTTTTACTGAAAGGGAGGACACAAGGTCTGAGGCAAATCATTCTGTTTGATTCTCCTTCACACCCAAAGTATCTCCATTACGGTAACATTTGGTTAACCACAGCACCAAAGTCAGTGTGAAGAGGGGAATATAGATTCAGGTAGTTGTCATATGCCTGTAATCAAGGCCAAAGCAGGAGGATCGCTTGAAGCCAGGAGTTCAAGACTAGTCTGGGCAACAGGGGGAGACCCCATCTCTACAAAAAATACAAAAAATAGCTGGGTGTGATGGCATGAACCTGCAGTCCCAGCTACTTGGGAGGCTGAGCGGGGAGGATCACTTGAGCCTGGGAGGTGGAGGTTGCAGTGAGCTGAGATCGTGCCACTGTACTCCAGCCTGGGTGACAGAGAGAGACTATGTCTCAAAAAAAAAAAATTGTCATCACAGTACAATTGAACTGGTATTAGTTCACCAATCATTTCAAGTCGCTTTTCAACAAAAACAAAGAGGAAAAAAAGCAGTAGCACAGGCCCCAAGACAAAATTGCACAAAATAAACCCAATGTCCTGAGCAACTCTAGTTCTCATACTGGAAAAACAGCGACCAGATTACTTGTGATGGTGATTAAGAACACTATTTCCATGAGAACCGTTCAGTGTGGAAGCAAAAGCACAATCTCTACACAAGTAATAAAGAGTTTCGGCTGGGTGCTTACACCTGTAATCCCAGCACTTTGGGAGGCCAAGGCGGGTGGATCACCTGAGGTCAGGAGGAATTCAAAACCAGCCTGGCCAACATGGTGAAACCTCGTCTCCACTAAAATACAAAAATTGGCCTGGCATGATGGCGGGTGCCTGTAATCCAAGCTACTCAGGAGGCTGAGGCAGGAGAATCACTTGAACCCAGGAAGTATAGGTTGCAGTGAGCTGAGATCGCGCCATTGTACTCCAGCCTGGGTGAGAGAGCCAGCCTCTGTCTCAAAAAAAAAGAAAAAATTGGGAGGCTGAGGCGGGCGGATCACGAGGTCAGGAGATCGAGACCATGGTGAAACCCCATCTCTACTAAAAAATACAAAAAATTAGCCAGGCATGGTGGCGGGCGCCTGTAGTCCCAGCTACCTGGGAGGCTGAGGCAGGAGAACGGCGTGAGCCCAGGAGGCGGAGCTTGCAGTGAGCCGATATCACACCACTGCACTCCAGCCTGGGCAACAGAGTGAGACTCCGTCTCAAAAAAAAAAAGAAAAAATAGTAATAATAATAAAGAGTTTCAAGGAGAAAACACAGGGTGAGAGAAGGTGCAGTGGGGGGCACAAAGTGGATTTGAATCTGTATATGACACAAAAGTTCCCTGGGACTTAACCAACATCGTGTACATGGCACATGGTAGGAGCTTAATAAATGATGGTTACCCAGATACATGAATAGCTCACTCAAGGTTGTAGCTCACCACTCATAGATTCATCAAAGAAATATTTGTAGGCCGGGCGGGGTGGCTCATGCCTGTAATCCCAGCACTTTGGGAGGCCAAGGCGGGTGGATCATGAGATCAGGAGATCAAGACCATCCTGGCCAACATGGTGAAACCCTGTCTCTACTAAAGATACAAAAATTATCCAGGCGTGGTGGCGTGTGCCTGTAGTCCCAGCTACTCAGGAGGCTGAGTCAGGAGAATCACTTGAATCCAGGAGGCAGAGGTTGCAGTGAGCCAAGATTGCACTCCAGCCTGGGCAACAGAGCAAAACTGTGTCTCAAAAAAAAAAAAAAAAGAAAGAAAAAGAAAAGAAAGATTTGTAGAAAGCCTACCACGTGCCAGGTTCTGTGCTAGGCACCGATGATGTCACCATGAATAAGGAAGTTGAAGTCCTTGCCCCCACAGTCCTTCTTCAGAGAAATCTCCTTTGCAGACATTTTACATGGATCCCTCTACCTCTGTCTTTCTACATTCACAGACTGAATATGAGCCCATATCTATCAGACTTGAAGCCCCCATGGGCTGGTCCAAGGGTAGTACGTCATCCAAATTTATTAACATTAGTGTCACTAAGATTGCTATGCAACGCCCCACTGTGAAATTTGACTTGTCTTTTAAAAAATTAAATTAAATTAAACTAAAAGTTAAAAATAATGCCCACTTGAGTTGCTTCTGAAATATTCTCTTGGTCTCTGAAACCAAGTAGACTTACCCATGTAAAATTATCCTTGATGCAACCTTGGATTTCTATTGGCCTTTGTATTAGTCATCTATTGTTGCTTAACAAATTATACCAAAACTTAACAGCTTAAAATAACAAGCATTTATTATCTCATAGAGCCAAGGTGTGACTTAGCTGAATGGCCTGGCTCATGGTCTCTCATGAGGTTTCTTGCCATTAAGGTGTTAGCCAGGGATTTAGTCTCTGAAGACTCGACTGAGGCTGGAGGATCTGCTCCCAAGGTGGTACTCTGACATGACTAATAAGGTGACACTGGCTGTTGACAGTAGGCTCAGTTCTCTACTACATGGGTCTCTCAAGACTCCTAATGACATGGCACCTGGCTTTCCCTAGCATGACAGAAAGAGAGAGACAAAACCAGAGACAGAGAGACCAAGAGAGAAGCTATGATGTATTTTAACCTGATCTGAGAAGTGACATACCATAATTTCTCCTGTATTCTGTTTTTGGTGGGGTGTTTTTGTTTTTGTTTGTTTGTTCGAGACAGGGTCTTGCTCTGTCACCCAGGCTGGAGTGCAATGGCATGAACACAGCTCACTGCAGCCTCAACCTCCTGGGCTTAAGCAATTATCCCGCCTCAGCCTCCGTAGTATCTGGGACTACAGACTCACACCACCATGCCTGGCTAGTTTTTGTATTTTTTGTAGAGACGAGGTCTCATTTTGTTGTCCAGGCTGGTCTCTAATTCCTGGGCTCAAGCAATCCTCCTGCCTCGGCCTCCCAAAGTGCTGGGATTATAGGCATAAGCCACTATGCCCGGCCCTGCTTCTCCTGCATTCTGCTGGTGACACAGACCATTACTGCTGCTACATGGGAGGGGACCAGATAGGGTTTGAAAACCAGGAGGCAGGATCATTGGTGGCCCTCTTAGAAACTGCTTACCACAGTCTCCAAGAAGAACCCCCTCTCCCCCAAACTCCACCTAAACTCTGGAACAGGGAGGTGTGCAGATTTCACTGTTTCAAACTACGGAGGCCCACAACAAACAGTGAATTTACTCTGTCCTGGAAACTCATGTTTTAAGCCCAGTAGAACTGCTTTTCCTCAATTATACTTGAGCGTCATGCCATAGGCCTGCATAAAAGGACATTATAAGAAACAGCTCCAATTAAGTCACCGCTGTATTGCATCACTGTTCAGTCAGCTGACCCACGGGAAAAATATCTCTTTGGTCTCAGGGTCAGGAAAAGTTGAGCTTCTCCCAAATATTTGTTTTTCTCACATAAAATCTAGAATTTTATTACCACTCACATTTCCCTCTTTACTTTGGCCATTTGGAAGCTCGGAGCCAAATGTGTAAGCCTTTGCTGGTGTTGATCTTTTTGAGCTAATGTCATCCTGGAGTTATTTCTTCCACTTGTTTTCTATTTTCTCCAGCTACCTCAACTTTTTGTCTTATCCTTTTGTATATTTTGTACTTTTGTAATTCCCCTCAAAGCTTTTGTGGATTGAGATGGAGTTTAAATACACAATAAAATTAGTTTTTGCCCAAAAGACTGATGACCTGCATGTGCCATCTAGTGGTGAGAGAGACAACTGCCAGAATAGAAACCTCCCTGATTTTTCAGATGTGTTTTAGATGGGAGAGTGGTGAGTAGTGGGCAAGGGAAGAGGAGGGAGACCGGGCCCCCTCTGTGTGCTTTGTCAGGAAATTGAAACTGCTGAGGATTAAAGAGCCTCTAGGCAGGGCCAAGGAGCAGGTGATTCAATGGCTGGAAATGAAGATGATTTATCAGAATCTGAAGAAACAATCAAAAAATAGTGAAGAATGAGGAAGGCACTGGAAGTGGAAGGGTTAAGAAAAAAAACTGTTAGTAAAAGTAAACAATGAAAATGGACCTAATTGAAGCAAGTAATCACTTGAAAGGTGCTTAATGTAGGTTGATCACAGATGTGACCAGCCATTTTTTAAACATTCACATTAACTGTAGAAAGAAGCTTAGAGTCCAATGTTTTTATTTTACTTGAGAGAAAACTGGGGCACAGAAGCATTGAGCATCTTGTTCAAGGTCATACAGCCTATGAGCCCCAGGTCCAGGGTAACTCCTAGATCAGTCCTCTTTCCCCAGCACCACCCTACTCCTAACTGTATATAGCAGATGCTCATTTGGGCTTTCATTTTGCACACAGGGTTTCACAAGAAAAATGAGGTCATTACATAAAAATGCTGGATCCAGCATATTTTCAATGAATTATTACTAGCTGGTTTTGTAGCTACCCCCCTGACCTACCCCCAAAATGTCAGGGTGGTGGTTCAAAGCACTGGCTTCGTTAATCTTCACCATGTGGCAAGTCATCAGTTCACAATGATAGAGAAGGATTCCAGAAGCCAATGGCAGTAGGTGAGGGAGCCCCAATCTGGGGAAGAGAAAGTAAATTCACTCATCTACCATGTTAACCTAGCATCTGCTCTGGGCCAAGTTCTAGGCAGTTTGCTGGGGTGGCAATATCAACAATGCACTGGCCATGTCTGGAGCTATACGTATCCCATCTCCCTGTACCCTGACCTGTGTTCTTGGACACAACTTCAGCTAAAACTGAGGCATAGCTTGGATCTGGAGGGCCCTTGAAGACCTAGCCCAGGGATCTGTAGTCTCAAGTTGAATGTCTTGGAAACAGCCTGAAGTCAGGAACCAATGAGGGGGCTGGAGATACTGTCTAAAAAGGAACTTGAGACATTCCCATACTGGAAAGCACAAATATGGAACATTTTACTCATCTGAAAGAGTTCTATTAAACAGCACTGGCCAAGAGTGCCCTTTCCTGGATTTTCTGCTCCTCTGAGTCCTACCAGTTCTCCTAAGCCCTTCAGCAGCTGATATCAGCAGAGACTGATATGAGTCACTGATTCCTGGAAAAGACAGAACTCTGGTACAATGGCTGTTCCAAGTTGATGTCCTCAGAGGTACAAATGACACACCAGAGACAGAAGTTGTTTCTTAAACTTTCCGGGCTTCTGTGCTAGTAACGGGTGCCAGATGGGGCAAAAAGAACAGAAGGAATATTGAGGGGCTCAACCTTTGAGATCAGAAAGACCCAATTTCCTACCGAGGTTCTCCATTACTAGTTGGGTAATCTTTAGGCAGAGCCTTTGGGCACCAGTTTTCTTAGCAGCAAAAACTGAGAACTATGATTGTCACAAAGATTAAATGAGACAGTGGATGAGACAGTATCTGGCTCATGGGTAAGTGTAGATTTTTTACTCATCTCTTCTTGCGTCCTTTTGGATGCTAATTTCCACTCTGCCAAGGATAAGAACCACATGTCACCTTCTCATCAGGTGACAAGTGGAGGCTAGTCATGGCTAGCTGTTCCACTCATTCTCTTAATGAATATTTGTTATGAAAACAGCAATGGCCAGGTGTGGTGGCTCACATCTGTAATCCCAGCACTTTGGGTCACCTGAGTTCAGGAGTTTGAGACCAGCCTGACCAACATGGTGAAACCCCATCTCTACTAAATACAAAAAATTAGCTGGGCGTGGTAGCGCATGCCTGTAATCCAGCTACTTGGGAGGCTGAGGCAGGAGAATCACTTGAACCCGGGAGGCGGAGGTTGCAGTGAGCCGACATTGCACTGGACTCCAGCCTGGGCGACAGAGCAAGAATCCGTCTCAAAAAAAAAAAAAAAGAAAAGAAAGAAAGAAAAGAGCAACTGCCAGGCCTTGTGTTCTGCATCATACAAAGATAGAAAACACATCCCCAAGAGGAGGAGCTCACTGTCTCTTGGGAAAGACTGGTAGGCAAACCAGTAGTTACACAGCAGGGGGACAAGAAGTGAATTGAGAGTGCACAAGGAGAGCACAGAGGTGATGATATTTCAGCCAAGACAAAGTGTGAATAGAAGTTTGCCTGATCAGCAAGCACATAGGAGAGGGCATGCCAAGCAGAGATAACAGAACTTGCAAAAAAGGAAGACTGGAAAGTGAGGTAAATCCAATTACGAAGGTCTCTGAGCACTGTGCTGAGGAGTTTGAGCTAAAACTTGTAGGGGACACAAAGCCTCTAAAGGAAAGTCAAGTCATCATATTTGAGTACTGAAAATATTCCTATACTGCCAGTGTGGATATGGTTTAGAAGAGGCAAGACTAGGCTGGGTGCAGTGGCTCACACCTGTAATCCCAGCACTTTGGGAGGCCCGGCGGGTGGATCACCTGAGGTCAAGAGTTTGAGACCAGCCTGACCAACATGGAGAAACCCCGTCTCTACTAAAAATACAAAATTAGCCGGACGTGGTGGCGCATGCCTATAATCCCAGCTACTCATGAGGCTGAGGCAGGAGAATCGCTTGAACCTGGGAGGTGGAGGTTGCGGTGAGCCAAGATTGTGCCACTACACTCCAGCCTGGGCAACAAGAGTGAAACTCTGTCTCAAAAAAAAGAAAAGAAAAGAAGAGGCAAGACTGGTAAAAGGAAAGCCAGTCTCAATTTGTTCCACTCTCCCCTACTTCACTGTGTTCCAATCACAAGGGACTTCTCTGAGTTCCTTGAATTGCAAAACACCAAGCTCTTCCCCGCTCAGAGCCTTTGCACTTGCTGATCCCTCTGCCTGGACTACTCTTCTCTTGGCTGTTACACAGCTTCCTTCTTCTCAGCCTTCTTCAAGCATTTCAGACCAAACATTTCTTTCTTTCCCTAATCAATCTAATGTATCAATTTTCCTCCATTATTCTCTCTTGTAGCATCCTGGGGGTGGGGGTGTTCTATTTATCGCAATTTGACATTTTATTCTTATTTGTATTATGTGATCAGTAACTGTCTTCCCCATTAGGCTGTAAACACCATGAAGGTAAGGTTGTGTCTGCCCCTGTTCAACACCATGTCCCAGCACTCAACACACTGCCTGGCACGGTGCTAACACTCAATAAACACCGGATTTATGAGACTGTGAGTACAGCCGAGATGATCATGGCTTAACCAAGTAAGTAGCAGCAAACCTGGGAAAAAGAAACTAATGCTACACGAAGTAAACAGGATAGGTCTTGAGGCAGAATATGGCCTGGAGGCAGGGAACTTAAGGACTTGCTAGAATTAAATCAAATGAAACACTTCAGCTATGATAAGACACATCCTTTTTATTTATTTATTTATTATTTATTTGAGTCTTGTTCTGTCGCCCAGGCTGGAGTGCAACGGCGCGATCTCGGCTCACTGTGACCTCTGCCCGGTTCAAGTGATTCTCCTGCCTCAGCCACCAGGGGATTACAGGCGCATGCCACCACGCCCAGCTAATTTATTTTTATTTTTATTTTTAGTAGAGATGGGGTTTCACCATGCTGACCAGGCTGGTCTCGAATTCCTGACCTCAGGTGATCCGCCCGCCTTGGCCTCCCAAAGTGCTGGGATTACAGGTGTAAGCCACAACTCCCCGCCGAAATATCCTCTTTATTTACATAGGGCATACAATGCCTTTGTAACTTTTAACCTATTCATTTACATAAGGCATACACCAACTAACCAATGGAAACCTCTAGAGGGTATTTAACCCCCAGAAAATTCTATAACAGCGCTCGTGAGCCCCCATGCTCAGCCTGCTCCCACCCTGTGAAATGTACTTTCGTTTTCAATAAATCTCTGCTTTTGTTACTTCATTATTCCCTTGCTTTGTTTGTGCCGTTTTGTCCAATTATTTGTTCAAGACACCAAGAACCTGAACACCCTCCACTGGTAACAGTTTGAGACAAGTATCAGAATCAGTTCCACCTGTACCAAGTTCTAACGGCACTTCTAGCTGTATAGCCTGGGCAGGTCAACCACCTTTTATCCACCATGCTCTCCGTATTCCCCTCGTAAAATGATAACGACACCCTTGCAGCTTGGCTCAGCGAATGTCCTCAAACGCACAAACAACGCTAGGGCTAAATGAGCACACCCGGTAGAGCAGCAGCCGCTCCTCGAGGGCGGAAGTCACAGCCTGATCTAAGTACGGTGGGTAAAATGGATCCCCCATATGCGCAGCGCCATGGTCCTTTGTAACCTCATAAAGTGTCCGATGAGCAGCAGGGGCTGGAGGATAATTTAGGGCCAATATCATTTGTTTCTTTTACATTATTTCGCCATTTCTCAGAATTCTAAAATTTGTTTAATTGAAATATCAGCTTGAGGGATGCTGAAAACTGTACAGAGTAAAAGAAGAATCTCTGCTGAGGGATAACCAAGAGGTAGAGATGGGAAAACGTTCATGCGCAGCACCCCCTGACGGAAGGGAGGAGCTGGTGTGGAAGATCCGCGCAGCCCCGCCTCTTTCGCGGTGGTTCCAGTCCCACTTGGGACCCCCACGCCCCGGGAGTGCTAGCGGGACTCGGAGACCTTCACGTTACTACATTGCCCAGGGGACCCCGAGGCGGGCCTGGTTCTCCTCACAAAGGGAGGGGCCGAGCCGTGACTCGCTTCCTCGCCTCGAAATGCGGGTTGTTTTAATCGAGCAGGTTTCGCCCTTCCCCATCAGCCTGTGAAGCTCCCAAAAACGTCCGGCCAACGGCACCAGTCCCATCTAATCAGCCAGGAGGAAGTAGGCGCCGCAAAGCCCCCTGCGAAATGTAGTTTCCAGGAAGACTTCTGGGAAACAGAGTCCGAGGCAGGCGACAGAGCGCTCTTGCAGCCAAATAGAGCCGGGCTAGGGGCGCGTCACGTGACCTGTGCAGCCAACTGTTCCGAGACGTGGCCTTTGCCTGAGCTGCTGTTAGGAGAGGTGCTCAGGTCTGGGGAGTAGCTCCTACCATCGCCTGGACTCGACTTCTGGACTGGCCTCCAAAAGTCGACACAGCCCCTGCGTCTTTCCTATTCCCCAAACCGGCGCTGACCTCATATTTGCATACACTGAAACTTGTGGCTCTCCTTGACTTGGGTTGGTAGGCTCTATAGGACCTCACCATGTTCTCTTACCCATGGTTTCTGCAGCAGCCAAAATGATCCATTCCATGTGCTTTAGAGCCTTAGGGAATAAACCATTAATCAAGTCATTTGATTGCCTCATCTTTGAGGACATTTTTCACTACCTGTTCACACTCCTTGTGCTCACCCATGACTGTCCCTCAGAAACTTAAGTCCTGGGACCCTTCTGCATTCTATTAGTCTTCTCCTAGTTTCATTTCTTCTCCTAGCCAACTTAGATCCTAAGAATCCTCTCCTGCCTTATTTCCTTCTGTAACAACCTCAAATCCTGAATTAATACAGTTGTCTAATTTTGGGTCTACTAGGTGCAACTGGAGGGGAGGAATACATCTCCTAAGCTCACAGGTTGGTGCCACTAAAATCAAGGTTTCAGACTTCAACTAAGCCCTAAATACAACCAGCTGGTTGCAGCACTGTGGGGAAGGAGGCTAACCAATAGAGGAAAGGGATTCGCTGCCAAGAGTCCTGGTGGAAATACAAGGCTTTGGAAGGACTATCTTTATTGCCTCCCACCTCACCCCTACACTTCATGTTTGTACTAGAATGGCATGAGAATGAAATGTAGAACTGATGCAGGCAAACCCAAAAACTGGGGCTCAGCTTGGGAGGGTTCTTGGCTTCAACCAGGAAAGAATTCAAGAGTGAGCCAACAGTAAAAGAAAGCAAGTTTATTTGAGCAACATGTACAGGAAAATGGCTGCTCCGTAGACAGAGCAGAGCTATCCCATAGGCAGAGTGGCACTCATGGACTAGCTATCTTTATATTCACTCTTAGTTATATGCTTAATAAGGAACAGGTTATTCACAAACTTTCTAGAAAAGGGGCAGGGAGCTCCTGGAACCATATAAAGTAACTTCAAGATGTTGCCATGGAATTTGTAAAGTGTCATGCACTTGTGGGAGTGTCTTTGTGCGAATGTAGTAAAACTCCTAGTCCTAGCTGGTTTGGGCTGGTTTATTTGCTACATCCTGTCCTGATCAGCAGGGTTATGACCAGTGCTCAGAAAACAAGCCCTGCTGATCTGCTACCTCATTACCCTTTCAGAGATTATATACTCCTCTTTAATCGTAAAGTGTTGTAGAAGGATGGAGGTCCATCCTCTGTCACTGCCTCCTACTGATTTTGTGGGCATAGTGTCCTCCTCTTGTGCCTGTGGGGACTTATGAGAAACAGGTTTAATTCTGGACAAGTGTACCCATCTAGTGACTCCCTGAAGTTTAACAGCAGTGGGGATGCTTAACAATGCCTGGTAGGGTACCTTCCATTTTGGTTATAATTGATCCTCGTGGGATCCTTCTTCCCAAGTTTTTAATAGGACTCTGTCTCCTGGTTGAACAGGGGAGCTATTTTTTTTCGTTTGTGAAAAAGGGAAATACCTTATTTCCATATTCTTGAAGGGCCTTTTGAACCTGGTCTAAGTTAATATGAGTAAGCATTCTGTGTGTCTCCTCATCAAACAGGAAGCCTGAAGTTAAAAAAGGGCCCCCCATAGGCCATTTCAAATGGGCTAAGTTTTAAGGTTCCCTTCAGAGCCATCCTTATGCAAAAAAGGGCCATGGAAAGGAGAGATACCCAGGTCTCTGAGGTCTCCTGACAGTTTTGCTAATGTCCTATTTAAAACATGATTGTCTTTTTCTACCTTACCTAAGGATTGAGGCCTCTAGGAGGAGTGAAGATGATAGATAATGCCTAAGGCTGAGGAAACCTGCTGGGTCACCTTAGCTGTGAAGGAAGGTCTCTTATCACTTTGCAAATATGTTGGTAATTCAAAACTTGGGATGATTTTTTTAAAATAACAATGTGGACACTTCCAGTGCTTTTTCTGTCCTTGTGGGGAAAGCTTCTATCCGCCTGATGAAATTGTTATAAGTACTAGCAAATACTTCAGTCCTCTGTATACGGTGGCATCTGGGTGAAACCTATTTGCCAGTCTTCCCCATTGCAGGCTTGAGTAGGGGTGGGGGTATAGGGTGGCTTCCTGAGTTGTTACAGGCACAGAGTTCACAGGCCCTGGTGGCCCTTTTTATAGTCCGGAATAGCCCCTGCTATTCCAGAATAGGTAAGTCCCTGCCTAACCCCGATGTTAAATGGTTTACTGATGGGAGTAGCTTTATTCATGAGAGAGTAAAGAAGGCAGGCCAACAAGAAGTTATTGAGGCCAAAGCTTTACCTCCTCACACTTCTGCTAAAAAAGTGGAATTAATCACTCTAATTAGGGCTCTCTGATTGGGAAAAGACTTGAGTCAATATATTTACTGATTCAAGGCACAAAAATTGCTTGAGCCCTGGAGTGGAGGTTGCAGTGAGCCGAGATCATGCCATTGCACTCCAACTTGGGCTACGCAGTGAGAATCCATCTCAAAAAAAAAGTATGTGTGTGTGCATATATATGTGTGTGTGTGTGTGTGTGTGTATGTGTGTGTGTAAACCATTTAACATCAGGGTTAGGAAAGGACTTATCTTTAAGGTCAAGCCTGCTAGAGTAGGTCTGTTCCATGGTTTCCTCCGTTCTCGGGACATTGAGTCCAGCAACAGAGTAGCAGGATTTAAAACCTGACATACTTTAAGGGTAAACTCTTGGGTGTGGAACAGAGGGATCTAATATTTGAGCAACTGACTCCCTGTTAGCCATTAATGTCCTTTTGCTCTAGGACCTAGTGTACTTGATTGAGGAGGGAAAGTAATGACATCTAATTTTTGTCCCAAGGAAGACTTCATGGCTTTTTTTTTTTTTTTTTGAGACAGAGTCTTGCTCTGTTGCCAGTCTGGAGTGTAGTGGCATGATCTTGGCTCACTGCAACCTCCGCCTCCTGGGTTCAAGCAATTCCCCTGCCTCAGCCTCCTGAGTAGCTGGGACCTGGGACTACAGGCACATGCCACCACACCCGGCTAATTTTTTTGTATTTTAGTAAAGATGGGGTTTCACCATGTTGGCCAGGATGGTCTCGATCTCCTGACCTCGTGATCCACCCGCCTTGGCCTCCCAAAGTCCTGGGATTACAGGCACGAGCCACCGTGCCTGGCTAACTTCCTGGCTTCTTCTACCAATAGAATGGTGGTGGCCACAGCTCACAAGCATCCTGGCCATCTGGCCACCACCTGATCTAGCTTTTTAGAAAAATAAGCCCTGGTCTAGGATTATTCCCTAGCCTTTGAGTTAGAACACCCAAAGCTGTCCCTTGTTTTTCAGCCACATAGAGAGTGAAAGGTTTTTCTAAGTTTGGGAGTCACAAAGCATGGGCCATTCCCAGATTTTCTTTTAAGGTTAGGAATGCCTGTTGGCAGGTTCCATCCCAGTTCAAAGGCTCGTGATCATTCCCTTTTAGAGCTTCATAGAGTGGTTTTGCTATGACCCCAAACCAGGGAATCCAGATATGGTAGAATCCACCCATTCCCAAAAAGGTTCTTAACTGTTTCTTAGTCTGATGGCGCTGCAGTGCCAGAGTGGTCTCTTTTCATTCCTGGCTATTGTCCTTGTTCCAGGAATAAGCATGTATCCCAGGTATTTAACCTTTTGCACAGAAGTCTGGGCCTTGTGGGAGAATACCCGATACCCTTATTTTCCCAAGAAAGTAAGGACCTGAATTATATTTTTATCAGAGTCGTCCCTAGTAGGGCTGGAAATTTATAGGTCATCCACATATTTTAGGAGGGATCAATTCATTAACTGTAGTTCCCTTAATTATTTTGCCAATACATCCCCAAAGAGATGAGGACTGACCCTAAAACTTTGGGAAAAGGCATTCCAGGTAAACAGAGATGTAGCATGAGCATCTGGATCAGTCCATTCAAAAGTTAAAATATACTAGGAGTCTGGGCGCAAAGGTATAAAAAGGAAAGCATCCTTTAAGTCTCATACCGTGAATCAATTAGCATGTTCAGAGACTTAGGTCAATATTGTATAAGGGTTAGGAACTATTGGGTAGACTGGAACTAATGCCTCATTAACTCCCTTCAGATCCCGAAGAAATCTGTATTTCTCACCTGGTTTCTTTACAGGCAGGATGGTAGTATTATATGGGGACTGACAGGGTTGTAATAATCCTTACTTTAGAAACTTTTCTATCTGGGGCTGTATCCCTGCTTTTGCTTCAGGTCTCAAAGGATATTGTTTTTCCCATGGGTAAAACATTAACAGCTCTATCAGGAACTTCTTTGTCCCAGACAGAAGAGTCTACTTGAGAAGTAATATGCGGTGGAAGGAAGGTCTTTTCTTTACCTGTAGTAAGTCAAGCACTTAGAGCTAGAAGTAGTGCCCCTTCCCGGCCTATTGCCTTTTTGTGGGGCTCTCCAAATTGAACTGTGGCCTGTAATTGGAAAAGTAAGTCTCTTCCCAGTAAAGGAATACTGCACTGAGACATAAGCTAGAACATGTGGGAAAACATATGATCGCCTACAGTGCAACCAAGGGGATGGGTGAATCTCCTAATTTTTGGCTGGCTATCAATCATGTACCTTGTATAAGGTGGTACTCTTGTACCACCAGTATGGTACAAGAGTAGGAAGACAGTGGCCCTGAGAAATGGGTCAGAACTGAGAAGGCTGCTCCCATATCCAATAAGAACTCAGTATTCTTACCTGCCACATCAAGAGTTACCCACGGCTCCTCTGTGGAGATGGTAAGGTGTCCAGTGGGAGCCATGGGGAACCTCAGGTCCCGTCAGTTCTCTGTTGTCTTGGCCATTATGGGTTTGAGTGGCCCAGATTCCCCTTGGAGCCTGAGGCAGTCCCTTTTCCAATGGCCCTCTTGCTTATGGTAGGCACACTGATTCTGGCTCAGGGGCCAGCAAGTTGGGGGCTATCGTCTGGGCAGCCCAGACACCGATCTTGCAACACTTCCCTGGGATGAATAACCTCGAGGCAGCAGGTGGCTTAAGGCAGCCACTAACAACTGGGCTTTTTGGCTTTTTATTTTGGTTTTCTCTGCTTCCTCTGCTCTGTCCCTGTTGTTGTAAACCCAATGGCCATGTACAAGAGTTGACTCATGGGAGTTTGAGGTCCCATTTCTGCCTTTTGTAACTTCCTCATAATGCCAGGGGCATATTAAGTAATTAAATGCATACCTAGGAGAGCTCACCCTTCCAGGGAGTTTGGGTCTACACTTAGCATATTTCCTGCTTGCCTCAACCAAACTGTCCTGAAATAGAGTGAGATTTTTGTCCTTCCTCGGAGTTACTTCTCTAACCTTGTTGTAATTAACTAGCTTAACCACACACTTTTCCATACCTACTGTTAAACAAGTTACCATGTGATTTCTGTGTTCAAGATCTTGGGAACCCCTCTGGTAATCCCACTGAGGGACCAGATCTAGAGCTGCATCTCCCCTCACATGATAAATGGCATGACCTTAGTTACCAGTTGCCACTCCATTTGCATATTCATGAGCAGTACCCAGAATCCTTTGTTTCTCCTCTGCAGTACAGCAGGTAGACAATAATATTTGCAAGTCATGCCATGTTAAGTCAAAGAACACGATCAACTGAACAAATTTCTCCGTAAACTTTCCTGGATCCTCTGAAAACCAACCAAATTTCTCCTTGCGTAAAGTCAAATCAGACAAAGAAAAAGGCACATGGCTGAGCACAGTGGCTCACACCTGTAATCCTAGCACTTTGAAAGGCCAGGACGCGCAGATCGCTTGAGTCTAGGGCTTCAACACCAGAGTCAGGCATCCCAGAGTCAGGACAACAGGGGACCTCTCAAAATTAGAAAAGAAGGGGTTAAAAACAAACACGGAAAGTGTCTTGCCTTACATTGAACAGAAACAATTGCCCAAATATCTAAAGGAAAGACCACAAATGCAACAACAAAATAAGTGTAAAAGTAAAATGGCGGTCATTAGCCACTAAAGAGAAAAAGGAAGGTCCAGGAGAAAGGGTGACAAGGACATGCCAGGCCTGCTGCCATTCGGGACACTCAGATGATGGGGGACAATGAGCTACCAAGCCAGAGACTCAGTTCCCATTTCCTGGCTCACCCAAAAAGGTCAATATTGAGGGGGAACAAAGGGAAGACTGACCTTTGTGTGTGGAAGTCAAATGGTGCTAATCTGTCTTTATTTGGGGTTTGGGTGAAGGTTTCCCTCAGGTTCCCTTGTCTTGTGAGTTGCCAGGAAAGATGATGGCTCTGAAAAGAGTCCTTTAGGCGCAGCTCTACAGCGCAAACTGCCCTAGAGTTACAGCTTCATAGTGTTACAGCTCCACAACTCCGATCTGTACTGAGTCACTTTGTCCCATTCATCTTGTTCCCATTGTTTGTCCCATCTGGGTCACCAGGCTGATACAGGCAAATCCCGAAATTGGGGCTCAGCTCAGGAGGATCCTTGGCTTCACCCAGGAAGGAATTCAAGAGTGAGCTGACAATGAAAGAAAGCAAGTTTATTTGAGCAACAGTGTACAGCCAAGTGACTGCTTCATAGACAGAGCAGGGCCATCCCATAGACAGACTGGTCTGGAGTAGCACTTGTGGATTGCTGGCTACCTATATTTATACCCATTCTTAATTATTTGCTAAATAAGGGGTGGGTTATTCACAAACTTTACGGAAAAAGGGAAGAGAGTTCCCAGAATTATATAAGATAACTTCCAGGTCATTGCCATGGCATTTGTAAACTGTCATGGTACTGATAGAAGTGTCTTATGCAAGTGCATTATAATTGCTGGTCCTACCTGGCTTTGGGCAGTTTCTTTGCTACCTACCATTTAGATAGACAGGGTCCTGACCAGTGCTCAGAAAACAAGTCCTGCTGATCGCCTACCTCAAAACAAACCAAAACATTAATTGTGAGAATATTCTAGAAAGACAAGTTGGTAAGAAAGAAGATACTGTAAAGACTCAAACAGAAATGTAACATAACATGTAAAGAATGAAATAAGAAATAGCAAGGAAATACAGCAAAGATGCTAAATTGGTGTAAGTTAAGAGTTAAATGAACCCAGAGAACAAATGATAAAGTCCTTTAAAAAGCACTATGATGGAAAGAATGGGGTGTTCCTGGTGGAAGGCCTGGCACAGGTAATGTTTTGTTAGCTTTCCAGAAAGATTAAAAGATTATGCCCAAAGGATTCCCTTGAGAAGTGGCAGGTGTAAGAGGACTCTGGAAATCAGTAAGTAATCCAGCTTCAAAAAAATAATTTTTAAAAAGTAGTCTCTTCTTGAGGAGAAATGGAGATCCAAAACAGATGTTTGAGCACATCAGAGGCCCCTACTGTTCTGCATCTGCAGAGGCAGAATCTTATGCAGTCTGGGCTCCTGTTGTCACCGAGGCCATTAAGCCATCTCTGAGCACCGCTGGGGGGCCACGCACAGCCTGAACCCTCTCCGGGAGTGTGCTGCCAAGCACTGGAGAGGAGATTTAGTTTGGTTTTATTCTTATCATGATCATGTTTTATTAATTTATATCTTTCATTCCTCTATAACATGAGGTCCATTTGTCATCAGTGAAATACCTCAAGCCAGATATATACTGTTTTCACATACCATGTAATATTTGATACGATTAAGAAAAGCCGTGCTTGCTTTAGCAGCACAAACACTAAAATTGGAACAGTGCAGAGATTAGCACATGGCTCCTGTACAAAGATGACACACAAATTCATGAAGCATAAAAAAGAAAGAAAAGAAAAGCAGTAAACTGGTGAGTTAACAGTTAACTGGAAAAGGTATCGCTTTGAAGGCAATTCAATTTATTACCCGTCTACATATCAACCTTACCACCTGATTCTAAATTTAAATACTTGCTGTTTACCAACAGGAAATTACAACTCCATTTACATGTGTCTCTGGGGAAACAGCATGCAAAGAATGGCCACATCTTCTTTATATATGCAAGGCAAATATCTGGAACAAAACAAAACAATTCTGGAATCCCACATGACATTAATATTTTAGGAGTAGATCACAAGATCCCCAAAGAAGAAAACAAAAAAAAAAAACTTCACATTATAGAAAAAGAAATCACATACACATCAATTTTGAGTAAGATAGAGCAATATATCTCAAACTACTTGTGCAAAACCAGTTGGTTTTTTGTTCATTTTAATTTGTTTCAACCAATACTTTTGAGAAATAAGAGTTTGTTTCTAGAAAAAAATGATAATACAGTAAATTATAGAATACAAAATACAAGTCTCACTTTTTAAATTATTGATTCAGCATAAATAAAATCACTCTAAAATTGCAGTAAAAGTTCCCAAACACTTAGGCTCAGTTCTCTATTTAGTTGATGGCAGACCAGATCACCAACCCACACTTGTCCAAGGACCATATTTTGAATACACTGAGATAAAGCATCTAAAAATGGAGATCTTAGCCCAGCACAGTGGCTCACCCTCCTAGTCTCAGCTACTCAGGAGGCTGAGGCAGGAGGATCTCTTGACCCCAGGAGTATAGGCTGCAGTGAGCTATGATAACACCACTGTACTCCAGCCTGGGCGTCAGAGCAAGACTCTGTCTCTTTTTGTTTTGTTTTGTTTTGAGACAGGGTCTCGCTCTGTCACTCAGGCTGGAGTTCAGTGGTGTGATCTCGGCTCACTGCAACCTCCATCTCCTGGGTTCAAGTGATTCTCCTGCCTCAGCCTCCCAAGTACTGGGATTACAGGTGCCTGCCACCACACCGGTCTAATTTTTGTATTTTTTTTGTAGAGACAGGGTTTCACCATGTTGCCCAGGCTGATCTCGAACTCCTGAGCTTAAGCTATCCACCCGCCTCGGCCTGCCAAACTGCTGGAATTACAGGCATGAGCCACTGTGCCTGGCAGATACCCTGTCTCTTAAAAAAAATTAAAAATGAAAAAGTCATAAAAATGGAGATTTTCCAGGCCAGGCGCGGTGGCTCACGCCTGTAATCCCAGCACACTCAGAGGCCGAGGTGGGCAGATAACAAGGTCAGGAGATCAAGACCATCCTGGCTAACACAGTGAAACCCCGTCTCTACTAAAAATACAAAAAAATTAGCCAGGCATGGTGGTGGGTGCCTGTAGTCCCAGCTACGTGGGAGGCTGAGGCAGGAGAATGGTGTGAACCCAGGAGGTGGAGATTGCAGTGAGCGGAGATCGTGCCACTGCACTCCAGCCTGGGCAACAGAGCAAGACTCTGTCTTCCAATCAATAGAAAAAGAGGGAATCTTCCCTAACTCATTTTATGAGGCCAGCATCATCGTGATACCAAAGCCTGGCAGAGACACAACAAAAAAAGAGAATTTTAGACCAATATCCCTGATGAACATCGATGCAAAAATCCTCAATAAAATATTGGCAAACCGAATCCAGCAGCACATCAAAAAGCTTATCCACTGTGATCAAGTGGGCTTCATCCCTGGGATGCAAGGCTGGTTCAACATACGCAAATCAATAAACGTAATCCGTCATATAAACAGAACCAAAGACAAAAACCACATGATTATCTCAATAGATGCAGAAAAGGCCTTTGACAAAATTCAACAGCCCTTCATGCTAAAAACTCTCAATAAATTAGGTATTGATGGGACATATCTCAAAATACTAAGAGCTATTTATGACAAACCCACAGCCAATATCATACTGAATGGGCAAAAACTGGAAGCATTCCCTTTGAAAACTGGCACAAGACAGGGATGCCCTCTCTCACCACTCCTATTCAACATAGTGTTGGAAGTTCTGGCCAGGGCAATCAGGCAGGAGAAAGAAATAAAGGGTATTCAATTAGGAAAAAAGGAAGTCAAATTGTCCCTGTTTGCAGATGACATGATTGTATATTTAGAAAACCCCATCATCTCAGCCCAAAATCTCCTTAAGCTGATAAGCAACTTCAGCAAAGTCTCAGGATACAAAATCAATGTGCAAAAATCACAAGCATTCTTGTACACCAATAACAGACAAACAGAGCCAAATCATGAGTGAACTCCCATTCACAATTGCTTCAAAGAGAATAAAATACCTAGGAATCCAACTTACAAGGGATGTGAAGGACCTCTTCAAGGAGAACTACAAACCACTGCTCAACGAAATAAAAGAGGACACAAACAAATGGAAGAACATTCCATGCTCATGGGTAGGAAGAATCAATATTGTGAAAATGGCCATACTGCCCAAGGTAATTTATAGATTCAATGCCATCCCCATCAAGCTACCAATGACTTTCCTCACAGACTTGGAAAAAAAACTACTTTAAAGTTCATATGGAACCAAAAAAGAGTCCGCATTGCCAAGTCAATCCTAAGCCAAAAGAACAAAGCTGGAGGCATCACGCTACCTGACTGCAAACTATACTACAAGCCTACAGTAACCAAAACAGCATGGTACTGGTACCAAAACAGAGATATAGACCAATGGAACAGAACAGAGCCCTCAGAAATAATACCACACATCTACAACTATCTGATCTTTGACAAACCTGACAAAAACAAGAAATGGGGAAAGGATTCCCTATTTAATAAATGGTGCTGGGAAAACTGGCTAGCCATATGTAGAAAGCTGAAACTGGATCCTTTCTTTACACCTTATACAAAAATTAATTCAAGAAGGATTAAAGACTTAAATGTTAGACCTAAAACCATAAAAACCCTAGAAGAAAATCTAGGCAATACCATGCAGGACATAGGCATGGGCAAGAACTTCATGTCTAAAACACCAAAAGCAATGGCAACAAAAGCCAAAATTGACAAATGGGAAGTAATTAAACTAAAGAGCTTCTGCACAGCAAAAGAAACAACCATCACAGTGAACAGGCAACCTACAGAATGGGAGAAAATTTTTGCAATCTACCCATCTGACAAAGGGCTAATATCCAGAATCTACAAAGAACTCAAACCAATTTACAAGAAAAAAACAAACAACCCCATCAACAAGTGGGCAAAGGATATGAACAGACACTTTCAAAAGAAGACATTTATGCAGCCAAAAGACACATGAAAAAATGTTCATCATCACTGGCCATCAGAGAAATTCAAATCAAAACCACAATGAGATACCATCTCACATCAGTTAGAATAGCAATCATTAAAAAGTCAGGAAACAACAGGTGCTGGAGAGGATGTGGAGAAATAGGAACACTTTTACAGTGTTGGTGGGACTGTAAACTGGTTCAACCATTGTGGAAGACAGTGTGGCGATTCCTCAAGGATCTAGAACTAGAAATACCATTTGACCCAGCCATCCCATTACTGGGTATATACCCAAAGGATTGTAAATCATGCTGCTATAAAGACATATGCACACGTATGTTTATTGTGGCACTATTCACAATAGCAAAGACTTGGAACCAACCCAAATGTCCAACAATGATAGACTGGATTAAGAAAATGTGGCACATATACACCATGGAACACTATGTAGCCATAAAAAAGGATGAGTTCATGTCTTTTGTAGGGACACGGATGAAGCTGGAAACCATCATTCTCAGCAAACTATTGCAGGGACAAAAAACCAAACGCCGCATGTTCTCACTCATAGGTGGGAATTGAACAATGAGAACCCTTGGACACAGGAAGGGGAACATCACACACCAGGGCCTGTTGTGGGGTGGGGGGAGGGAGGAGGGATAGCATTAGGAGATATACCTAATGTAAATGACGAGTTAATGGGTGCAGCACACCAACATGGCACATGTATACATATGTAACAAACCTGCACGATGTGCACATATACCCTAGAACTTAAAGTATAATAACAAAAAATGGAGATCTTCCAGAAGCATATCATATATTACTCTCTGGCTCAAATTTTCATTATTTTGACGATATTGACTATTTTGAAGTAGTAACAATATATAGTTTAAAAGGTCAACCAGGAGGGCAAGATTTAAAAAAACAGGAATCCCCTATATTTTCTTTCACTTCCCAACTCCCAATTCCTGCTTCCTTTCCTTCTATGTTTCTGAATAAGCATATGATGCTACTTCAGTGACATATGTCATTCCACATAATACAAATAATTATACAAATAGTCCAAATAATAATGATACCCATCACCCAACTTAAGAAATAAAGCATTAAATCTACAGTTTTAGCTCTGTGTTACCCTCCTTGAGTTCATTCCTTCCTGCCAAAAGGGAACCACATCCTGAATTTGGTATTTGTTATTCCTATACATATTTTTATACTTTTGCTATTAGGTTGCTGCAAAGGTAATTGCAGTTTTCGGGCCAGGCGCAGTGGCTCACGCCTGTAGTCCCAACACTTTGCAGGGCCGAGGCAGGCAGATTGCCTGAGGTCGGGAGTTTGAGACCAGCCTGGCCAACATAGCGAAACCCCGCCTCTACTAAAAATACAAAAATTAGCCGGGTGTGGTGGTGCATGCCTGTAATCCCAGCTACTCGGGAGGCTGAGGCAGGAGAATCGCTTGAACCCGGGTGGTGGAGGTTGCAGTGAGCCGAGATCGCACCACTGTACTCCAGCCTGGGTGACAGAGCGAGACTCTTATCTCGAAAAACAAAAAAGCACCAGCCTAATAGATATATGTCTCTATTGTAAAATATATATTACTTTTCATGTTTTTAAGTTTTATAAAAATGGTAAATACTTTCTGAAACTTGTTTTTTTAACTTAACATTATGTTTTTGACAGTAATTCATAATGACACATCTAGCTGTGGTTCATTAATTTCTTTTGTTGTACATTAATTTCTTTTGTTGGTTCATTAATTTCTTTTTGTCTCATTATATGAATATACCACAATGTATGTACCCATTTGCCTGTTGGTGGACATTTGGGTGATTTTTCTCTTTTTTTATTGTTACAAACAATGTTACAATGAACTTTCTTGCAAATGTCTCCTCTTGTACATGTTAGGAATGGTAGTGCTGAGTTGCAGGACATAAGCACCTTGAGCTTTAGATATTGCTTGCTGAGTCTCCAAAGTGCTCTTGCCAATTTACACTTACTTCTGCAGTGTATGAGAGTTCCCATTGCTCCATCTGGCTACCAACATCTGAAATTGTCAGACTTTTCCATTTTCCCAATTGGATGGATTTAAAATGGTATTTTATTGTGGCTTAGTGTGCGCTTCTCTGATTCTTCATGAGATTATCTTTTCATATATTTATTGTCCATTTTGGTTTCTTATTCTAAGATTTACCTGTTTGACTTTTACCCATTTTCCAGTTTTTTTTAAATTATCGATTTATGAGTTATTTATATGTTCTGGATTCAAATCCTTTGTCAATTATGTATATTGCAAACATTTTCCCCCAATCTGGAGTTAGATATTTCTTTCTTCTTCTTTTTTTTTTTTTTTTTTTTTTGTAAAGATGGAGTCTCACTATGTTTCTCAGGCTGGTCTCGAACTCCTGGCCTCAAGCAATCCTCTCACCTCAGCCTCCCAAACTGCTGGGATTACAGGCATGAGCCACCATGCCCATCACCTTTTCACCACGTTAATGATGGTTTTCAGAACTCAGGTGTTTCTAATTTCATTGATGTTAACTATCAACCTTTTTCTTTATGAGTTGTGTTTTTTGTATTTTAGTAAATCTTTAACCTAAGAGCGTAGATATATTCCCACATTCTAAAAGTTTTCTAACTAGGTTCCTGAATTCCACTTGGAATTTTATTTGGTCTGAGAATTCCAATTTTGTTTTATTTTTTCTATATGAGTAACTAATTACTCATCACTTTTTGAAAAGCCTATCTTTTCTCCACTTACCTGCAATGTTGCTGTGTCATTTATATCAGATATCAATCTATGGGTGTGTTTTTGGGCTCTGTATTCTGTTCTGATGGTCCAGTTACATATCTTTGTTTCAATGGCACCCTTTTATTTTTCTTTTTTTCTTTTATTTATTTATTTATTTTTTTTGAGACAGTGTTTCGCTCTTGTTGCCCAGGCTGGAGTGCAATGGCACGATCTCAGCTCACCACAACTTTGGCCTCCCGGGTTCAAGTGAGTCTCCTGCCTCAGCCTCCTGAGTAGCTGGGATTACAGGCATGCGCCTCCAAGCCCAGCTAATTTTGTATTTTCAGTAGAGATGGGGTTTCTCCATGTTGGTCAGGCTGGTTTCGAACTCCCAGCCTCAGGTGAGCTGCCTGCCTCAGCCTCCCAAAGTGCTGGAATTACAGGCGTGAGCCATGATGCCAGGCCCATACTGCCTTAATTACCATACTTGATATGTCTTGTTGTATCCTAGGGTGAGTCCACCCATTTTCTACTTCTCACTGTGTCTTATCTGTTCTTATACATTTCTATTTACATTTTAGAATCAGCTTAAGTTCCAAAGAAATGTTAGAATGTTGATTAGAACTGCAGTAAAGTCGGCTGGGCACAGTGGCTCACACCTGTAATCCTAGCACTTTGGGAGGCTGAGGTGGGCAGATTGCCTGAGCTCAGGAGTTCGAGACCAGCTGGCCAAACATGATGAAACCCCATCTCTACTAAAATACAAAAAATTAGCTGGGCGTGGTGGAGCGCCTGTAGTCCTAGCTACTCGGGAGACTGAAGCAGGAGAATCACTTGAACCTGGGAGGAGGAGGTTGTGGTGAGCCGAGATCGTGCCACTGCACTCCGGCCTGGGTGACAGAGCGAGACTCTGTCTCAAAAAAAATAATAAAATAAAATAAAAAGAGAACTGCAATAAAATCTATATATTCCTGTGGAGAATTGACATCTTTATGATATTACATTTTTATGTCCACGTTCATAATATGTTTTTCTGTTTATTTAATAGGTTATACTTAAGATTTTTTCATCACTTTCTAGAATTTTTTCATAAAGGTTTTAAACCTCTTTTGTTAGCTTTATTGCAAGGTACTTTATCCTTTCTTTCTTGACGTTATAAATGACATCTTTTTTAAAATTGTATTTTCTGTGTCTGAACTGCTTGAAAACAATTGAATCAATTTGCTAAACTCTCCTATTGATTCTAAAAGCCTTTTTGTCAATTATCTTGGCTTTCTCTATGTAAACAATCATATAACCTGTGAATAATTACATGGAAGTGATGTGAGTCATATGCAATAGGCAAAATAACAGCCCCCCAAAAATGTTCATGTCCCAATCCCCCAAATCTGTGACTATGGTACTTTACATGACAAAATGGACTTTGTATATGTGACTATATTAAGGATCTTAAGGTGCAGAGAGGTTTCTGGATTATCCAGGTGGGCCCAATGTTCTCAGAAAGGTTCTTTTAAGGGTGACGCAGTTTTATTTCTTTTTCTTGTCTTCACTGGCTAGGCTCTCCAAATACAATGTTGGATAGAAAGGTATTAGAGGACACCTTTGTCATCTTCCCGATTTCAAAGTGAATCCTTTTAAAACTTTATTATTATGCATTCTATCTGATGTAAATTATTAGAGGGTTTTCATCAAGTTAAAGAAATTTCCTACTTCTAGTTGGCTAAGATTGTTTTTAACTTAACTGCTAAGTTTCATCAAATATTTGTTCCGTGCCTATCAAGATAATCATGTAGATTTTCTCCTTTAGTCTATATTGTGATGATTTATATTAATACATTATTTTTAAGTTGGATTGATTTTGCATTACTAAAGTAAGACCAGCTTGATTCTGCCATATTCAGCTTGCTAACATTTTCTTTAGAACTGTTGTGTCTGTGCTGATGAGTGAAAGTGGCTGTAATTACCTGTCTTCTATTGTGCTCATCTAGTTTTGGTTCAGAGTTATATAGCCTGTACTTCTATTTTGGTTGATTCTTTTCACTTTAGAAATTCCTGTAAACATACTTCCACTTGCCTTTATTTTCCCATATATATTATAGTTTCTGTTTCAGTCAATATTTCACATTATCAGAATTACATAACTATTACATGCTATCGAGCCACATGATATATTTATATATCCTTTCCTGCACAACTTTCGGACTTAATAAATAGCCTCCTTTTTCTTTTCTTTTCTCTCTTGCTTTGTTTGTTTGTTTGGGGCTTAGTTTCTTAAAACTGCCACACAAAACTGTAAATCTTGTCTCAGTACACTGAAATATTAGGAAACTGACCACGTGCATGTTTTTCATGGAGAAATCTCTCCTGGAGATCTCTTGTTGTTTTTCTCCAACCTGGATCTCTTGTGCTCTATGCCTACTTCCAGCAGTTTTGGGGGGACTTCCTTGGACTAACATTCTTTATATTCTTTTTGTTTCTTTCCTGTATTGGAATCTGTGTTTCCATGGTTTCCATGATTTCCTCTATTTACTGGCTCTTTTTGGTGGAGTACATTTTCTCATTTTGAGAAAGGGTAGGTGGAAGATAAAATTTTTGAGGTCTAACTTGTCTGAGTGTGTCTTACTTCTGCTCTCTCATATATTACTTTGTCGAGTCTAGAATTCTAGGTAGTAACCTTGTTCCTTCAGAATCTTAGAAGGGCTATTGTCTTCCATTTCCAGTCTTGCTAATGAGAACACCAACGCAATTCTGATTCTTAGTTTTTGTATGTGAGCTATTTTTCCTGCTGTTATGATAGTCTTTATCTCTGATGCTCTGAAATTTCACATATGCTTTGGAGTAGTATTTTCTCCCTCATTGCACTGGACTGTTAGGCCCTTTTAATCTGAAAACTCACATCCTTAATTCAGGGAGACTTTATTATATTATTTGGGATGTGTGTGTGTGTGTGTGTGAAAGAGAGAGAGAGAGAGAAAGAGCGAGAGCGAGAGAGAGAGAGAGAGACTTAACATACAGGTAATTTAAGTTATGAAACATAGTAAAACAAATTCCCAAGAACCTAGCACCCAACTTAGGAGATGGAACATGACCAATGCCTTGAACCATTGTGTACTGACTTTTCCTAATCTCATTCCATCTTCTCCCTTGCCTGCCATGCCTCGCCCCCTACCAGCTACATAATCACCCTCATGACTTTTTCCCCAATTATCTTGCTTCCTTTTATTGCTTCACTAAATATGTATGCATTGCTAATCTATACCTCACTTACTTTTGCTTGATTTTGAACGTCATAGAAATGGCATTGCACAGAGAGAGCACTCTTCCATGGTTTGCCTTTCATTCAGCATTGTTCCTAAGAATTACCTATACACCTGGTTCACTACCTTTTTATTGCAGCGTAGCAGTCTGCTGTGTGAAGATACCACAATTTAGTTATGTATTTTCCCAACAACAGGCACTAGGTTATTCCCTCTTTAAAAATTCTATCTTGTCTACAAATGTGATCATTTCTTTCCCTCGTTTTCTCTCTTCTTTGTGAAACTTAGTTATTAGATCTTCTGGTCTAAGCCTTGAATTTTCTTACCTTTTCTTTCTTTTCATTTTCTGTTTCTTTATATTTTTCTTCTACTATCTCAGAGAATTCCTCAAATTATATTTTAATTCATCCGTTGATTTTTTAAGATTTCTGCTATCATATTTTGAATTTTCCTTTTTTTCAACATTTATTTTGGATTCATGGGGTTCATATGCAGGTTTATTACATGGGTATATTGTATGATGCTGGGGTTTGGGTTACAGATGATCCTGTCACCCATGTTGTGAGCATATTACCCAATAGATGGTATTTTGAATTTTCAAGAGCTTTTATTCTTTGGATATTCCTTTTTGTGTGTGTGTGAGACAGAGTCTCGCTCCTGATGCCCAGGCTGGAGTGCAGTTGCACGACCTCGGCTCACCACAACCTTTGCTTCCCAGGTTCAAGCGATTCTCCTGCCTCAGCCTCCCAAGCAGCTAGGATTACCAGCATGCGCCACCGTCCGGCTAATTTTGTATTTTTAGTAGAGACGGGGTTTCTCCATGTTGGTCAGGCTGGTCGCAAACTCCTGACCTCAGGTGATCCGCCTGCCTCGGCCTCCCAAAGTGCTGGCATTACAGGCATGAGCCACCATGCCCAGCTATATATTCCTTTGTATAGCTTACTATTTCATAGTTTTCATAGATACCAGACTTACAAGGTTTAGGATTTTCTTGAAATTTCATTTTGCTTTCTGCAGTCTGTTTTCCTCTACTGTGGCTGGTTGGGTGGTTGGTTCATTTATGCCTCTGTCTTTCATGTTAAAGCTCCCCTCTGATGTCAAGTGATGCTAATCTACCTACTCAGACATAATAGTAAAGGGACCAAAATGCTAATTTCGAGTTCTGTGTGTATGGGTGAGGCTCATCTGCCAGTGGACTTCACAGTAGGCTGATCAGGTGGGGACCCAGCTGTTTCACTGGAGAAACCTATGTTAGTAGGTCTTTTCTCTTGGCCTAGTCAGTATCCCCAGAGGAATCTTCCATTCTTCTTCCTGGAGGCTATAAGCTCTGCCATCATGCTGGCTGCTGAGCAGGGAAGGCGAGTTGGAGGTTTTGCCATCCACAGGTAGGTGTCCATTTAGTGCCCATTTTCAGTATAGTTCCCTGTTCTCAACTGCACCTGACATCCCCAAACGCCAGCATCTCCTCATTTGAACGTCCCATCCCCTCCAGCTATAGGGGGGATAGTTGCCTGGCTTGTGTAGAAATGGGGTAGACATCTGGGAGCCTCACTGCTTCCTCAAACAGATAGCCAAGATGTCTCTTCTATTTTTCAGCCCCACCCCTTGAAGCTTTGTCATTGTCTGGGGTAATACCCGAGGTTCATTGCCCCATGCCAAGGAAATAAAGGACACGGACACACACAAGGAGTGAGTTTAAGAGTGAAGGTTTAGCGGCCGGGCGCAGTGGCTCACGCCTGTAATCCCAGCACTTTGAGAGGCTGAGGCGGGGAGATCACGAGGTCAGGAGATCGAGACCATGCTGGCTAACACGGTGAAAACCCGTCTCTACTAAAAATACAAAAAAATTAGCCGGGCGGGAGGCGGAGCTTGCAGTGAGCAGAGATGGCGTCACTGCACTCCAGCCTGGGCGACAGAGCAAGACTCCGTCTCAAAAAAGAAAAAAAAAAGTGAAGGTTTAATAGGCAAAAGAAAGAGACAGGAAAATAGCTCTCTCTTCTGCAAGAGAGAGAGGCGCCCAAGCGGAACTTCTGGCCTGCGGCGGAGTGCACAGGGTTTCATAGGCAGGCTTGAGGAAGCGGTGTCTGATTTAGAAAGGGCCCTAAGGTTGGTTGGACCAAGTGTGATGTTTATATCGCATGTGGGGAAGCCGGCCACCCCACCCTAATCTTCTTTATGCAAATGGAGTCTTTGTCTGCCCGGGGCCATGTTGTCTGCTCCCGACTGCACACGTGGTTGGCAAGCAAAAGGGAAGATGGAGTCATCATTTTGAACATACCTGGTCCCCAGGTAGCCCCTTTCCTATTGCCACAATGGCCAGCATTCACCCATGCAAGCTTCTAGCCTGCCTTTCTATGTCTGCAGCTTGATTTTACTGGCTGCTCTTTGTTAGAAAAGAAAATGATTTGGAGGCTGCTTTTCATTAAAAGGAAAAGCTTACCGAGGACTTCCTTACCCTTACTATCTGCCTAAATAATTCCTTTTTAACTGGTCCATCACACTCATCCCCATCTTCAGGGATATTTCAATAGGGATACTTCAGTAAAAAATCTTCTAGCTTCTTTTCACTGGGTACCACCCCCCTTTTTAGGTTTAAATTTTAACTTTCTCTGCTCTTCTAAGTAAATTACCACTGACTTAATTGATCACCTTCCAAAATTTTCTTGACATTCATGATCTATTTCTATATCCTCTCTAAAACTCTTTGTCCTTATACATTTATGGTTTTATTTGTTATCATTTCTCCACTGTCATTTTGAGGCTTTGAGAGAAAGAAGATATAAAGGCATATGTTTTTAATGTCGCTACCCATGAGGCAGAGATGTTAGAAGGTGGGCAACTACCTGAGGGGAGAAGCATAAGAAACTGCAGGCAGTCTGTGGGCCTCACTCGATGTCTGCAGCAGCCTCTGGTTTTCAGGGGCCTCCATACCACTGGCCGACTGCCTGACACAGTCAATATTCAGTTATGTGGCAAGTCAAGAGGAATTGTCTGCATGTGTGTTCTGACCAGTGACACTTTCACAAAAAGCAGCTAAGGAAGGTGCTGTTGAACTGGGGAAAGAGAATCCAGCTCAGAGCAAGCAAAAGTCTATTGGAAAAGCATTGATTGCCAAGATCTGGATAAACCTCTCCCACATCATTCCCTCATTACTGGAGTTAAGGCTGGGGAAGAAGGAGAGGGAGGCAATCTTGAGTGCTATTGAGAAATAGCCCAGCATAGCAGAGTTCACAATAGCAGCCCCAGCTCGGACTCCCGGAGTCAAGGTGGACATGACTCCAGGACCTGAGGTTGAGTTCCTGAAGGAGGAAAACAGCAGATTTCCCATCCCCAGTCAGAGGGATCCCCAAAAGGGCAGGACTTGGTTAATGACTACACCCGCTACCTTGCTTCCAGTGTGGGGCAGAGAGCCCCAAACAGGAGAGCTGTGTCTCAAACAGGATAAGTTGCCTGCTCCCTTGCATCTAGCAAACTCAGGGCAGATAGGGCAGGTTCTGAATGAGGACAGTGTGGTAGCTCCTGTGCACCCAGGGCTCTGTGACGTGGGGTTGGGGCATTTTCTCAGAGATAACCAGAGAAGCCCCCATCTAGAAGGGGAGCTGAGCAACTCCACGTGGAATTTCTGAGGAACGGACCCCTGATTTGATGTGAATGCTCACCCCTTTCTTCTGATGCCCAAGCTGCAGTCATCCTGAGAGATAAGTCATGCCAGACAGGAGTCAGAAAATGGGAGAAGGGCCTGGAGTAGCTCTTGTCCTCCTGAGTAAGCAAGCCAGCTCCAGTATAGCTGTTGCTTTTTTTTTTTTTTAGAGACAGGTCTCTCTCTTTTCCAGGCTGGAGTGCAGTAGCACTATCGTAGCTCAATGCAGCCTCCACCTCCTGGACTCAAGCAATCCTCCTGCCACAGCCTCCCAAGTAGCTAGGACCACAGGTGCTCACCACAACACCAGGATAATTTATTTTTTTTTTCTACTTTTTGTAGAGATGGGCTCTCCCTATGTTGCTCAGGCTTGTCTTGAACTCCTCGCATCAAGCAATCCTCCCACCTCAGCCCCACAGAGTGCTGGGATTACAGATGTGCGCCACCTCACCTGACCAAGCTGCTTTTGTTTTCTACAGAGTGGCAGAACCCACATCAGTGAGGAAATTGTTCACACAACTGTCTTTCCACTCATGAAGTTGAGTAAGGGAGGGAAGAAGGAAAGACTTACGGCAGACACTGTTGGTGCCTCGCCCATAGCCCCTTTAGATCCCTGGACCATTTACTGTGTCCACCAGCTTCCCATGCGCCTTCACACCCAACAGCCTGCACCTGCATCTCTTGGTGAAGAGCCTGGAAATTAACATACCCCTGGGACAGCCCTTAACAAGTGACTGACAAACATACGAATACAATCCTCCAGCTCTTGCTCCCTGGTGGGGGTAACTGGAAGGTGTCTGCTGAGTTCCCAGGAGAGACTGAGCCAAAGCAGCCCTCCCCGGACTCTGCCTGCTGCCGTTCCTTTGCCTGGCCTTCTTTCTCTCCTGGTCCCACTTTCCCGCCCACTCCCAACTGGTTTTTTCTAGGAACACTTCTTAAATAAATAATTTTTATAGGAATCCTCTTCTCAGAGTCTGCTTCCAAAAACTCAACCTAAGACAGCCTCCTATTTCAGAGTCCTTGCTGGTTCATTGCTACTAAAAAATTGAAAAACCAGGTAGCCCTTTGTTTATCAGTCACGTTAAGGATGCTGTGAGTGTAACAAGGTAGACTCCGAGGTGAGGAAAGGATGGAGACTTCAACTGCTTCTTTAAATTCAAGGCAGAGAACTGGGCCTCTGAAGGGAACCTGGAGTGGTAAGGAGAGGAGGGAGCTGGGAGTGTGTGGTGGAGAAGGGCTGGGCAGGGTGTGAAAGCTGTCTGTTGCACCGAGCCTTCAGCAAGGCTGCTGCTCACACAGACTGTGTGGGTGTGAGGTTTGGGGCAAGGGTATCCAATGAAAAGGCTGCTTGGGATGCTGCAGTGCAGAACAGAAGAGCGGGATGGAAAAGCAAAGCAATCCTCCAACTGAACTCAGTCCGTGGCAGCAGAAACTCTGAGCCACCGAACTGAACTCAGTCCGTGGCAGCAGAAACTCTGAGCCACCGAAGGACATTATCCACCATGAGCATGCCACACCCACCCACTCCCACCCCCCTCACACACCAATCCACCAAGAGGTTGAAAAGAATAAAATATGTCCCCTGAGATCTGGATTATGCATGCAAATAATCAACTTGAAATAATTACTGAGGGGTAAGTTCTCAAATCATCCTAAGAAACTATCCAAAGGCATCTATAACCCTAAAACAGGATTTCCTAATGATTATCCATTAACAGGATCCCACAGCAAACACAGGAGTTAATGGAAGGTGGGTAATGCAATTAGAAAGTGAATTCCACACCCATAATGCCATAATTCGGGGCTTAGAACACAGCATCCAGCATCCTTCCCCCTACCTATGACCTGAGCCCCTTCCCTGCTCCCCCAGCCCATAACAGAGCCAGCATAGCCTGGGACTTCCTCCCTTCTCCCCGACCACTGGTGACTCAGCAGCCTGTGCTGATAGCCCTGCTCCTGCCTGCCCTCCCACTCCACAGCCCTGCTGCTAGCTGTCCCCTCCGTGTGGCCTGGGTCCTAACAGTGGGTGCTCCAGGGCCGGTGAGTTCTAACGAAAACAGGGAGTGGGGGACCTGCCTTTGAATCCACTCTTGTCTCTGACTCTTTCTCCCTTTTGAATCTTTATTGCACAGACATTGATTCATCACATACCACTCAACAGTCTCTGTCCCTGTCTCTGTTTTTGTTTCTTTCTCCATCTCTCCCTGACTCCATTCCTGCCTCCCTCCTTGTCCCTTCCTTCCTCTGTCTCTCACCACATCTTCCTTTCCCTCTGCCTATCCCTTCTCCCAGTCCTGGCCTCTTTAAATTAAATTGGTCTATGTCTCTGAAGACAGATGACACAGCAAATTTGGCAGTGCCCACAGAAACTCACGTTTCTCAATATAGTTTGTACTAACACGTTCACTGTTTTCTGCTATTATAAATAACCGTGTAATCAACATTACTTTAGATCTCTATCTACATATCTGATTAATTCCTTCAGGCTGCTGTACTCCCTAGATATGGCATTGTTAAGTCAAAGGGTACAGACATTTTTAAGACTTATTGCAGGTATATTTGGAAAAACACTTTTTACAGCAATGTCATACATGTAACTGGACTTCTTTGAGATCATACAATTTCAGATTTAAAATGGGGTCATGTGTTTTTCCAGGGTCCCTGAAGACATTCACATTCTGAATATCTCTGCAGATCAAGTGGTTTCTTAAGGACCTAATCCCCTTTCTGCAAACTTCAATATTAATGTATCTCTCAATTTGTTCATCAACACATGTGCCAAGCCTAGTAATGACCTTGGACCACACCTTGGCGATTTAGAGCCTTTCCAGAATCATGGGCGACTCCGTCCTTTTTATGGGCTCAATTTTAGTATTTGGTATTTTTAAAATCAAAAATAAAATGGAAGTTTTTAAGTACTATGAGACAGAATGTGATCAAAGATCATTCCACCACCCATTTGTTCTTTACCCAGACAGTACCAAGCAACGTTGAACACTCACCTACACCGCCTTCAGTCTCTGTTGGTTGAGACTTCTCCTTTTTTAAAATATCTAAACAGCTTCAGATGTCCTGTAATTTTTAGAACACTTCACTGCTTCAAAGAAAGGAGGTGTCTGGGCCTCTTTTACTCCTCTCCTAGGGTAGAATTCGTGGGCCATGGTGCCCACCCATATTCTTTTACCTCATTTAAGATAGGTTGAATGGACTGGCCCCTCTTTATTACCCAAAGACAACATGAAAACAAGCATTATGTTTTTCACTTGCTGCAATATATGCTCACAGATCTTGGTGTAACTTGCTCAATAATCACAATTTTTAGCTGTAAGACAAGTGTCAAGGCAGGTGTTTTTTAGCTCCTCAAAGTTCTCCCAGAACATTTACGTCCACTTGGAAGTTCATAATCTAATGTGGGATACAAGCACATCAATCAGATAATCATAATATAGTATAATAACAGCTTTTAAGCAGTTGTACTATAGGTGGGATTTGGGGGGGAGAACTCAGAGAATAAAGGGCAAGAGACCTTGAAAGCTATGCATCTGGCAGCTACTGCTGCATAACAAACACTGCAGCAACCTCAGTGTTGAACAATACATATTTGTAAGTTTCTCATCCAGGTGACTGGAGGTTTGCTATGCATTGACTCTGACTTTGTCTAGGCTTATACAGGCTGCACTCCAGGCCATGTATTTGGCTCAAGTCTGTTCCATGCATTTGGGGCCTCCTTGTACCTGTGGCTACCTGGTCATCATGGCAAAAAATAGGCATGCAAGAGACTAAGCCCAACATGCAAGCACATTTTAAGCCTTTGCTCACATCATGTGTACTAACATCCCATTGGCCAAAGTAAGTCACATGGAGAAGCTCAAAGTCAAGATGAAAGGAAGAACATTCCTCCATGGATATGTAGTGAGAAACAGTGAATATTTGCTGAATAATAATCTAATCTACCATGAACCAGATCTTGAAGAACCAAGGGGTATTTGTTCTTCTCTAGAGAAGTGGAATATTCTGTTCCTTAGGAAGGACCACATCAGGAAAAGCAGACAGATACAAAGATGCAAGGTACATTTAGGAATTGTGGGTGACTCAAAGGGCAGAAGCTTAGGACACTTGTGACAGATGTTGAGGACACGTAGCAAGCAAGCTGAGGCAGGATCTCAGGGTTGGAGGAAACCCAAAAGGTCTAGACAACTTGGGGCACAGTAAGAGTCCTGCCTCCTTGTTGGTTTTTTTTGTTTTTGGTTTTTTATGGTTTTGTTTTGTTTTGTTTTGTTTTGTTTGAGACACAGTTTCACGCTGTCGCTCAGGCTGGAGTACAGCGTGCAATCTTGGCTCACTGCAACCTCTGCCTCCCAGGTTCAGGGGATTCTCCTGCCTCAGCCTCCTGAGTAGCTGGGACTACAGGCATGCGCCACCACACCCGGCTAATTTTTGTATTTTTAGTACAGACAGGGTTTCGCCATTTAGGCCAGGCTGGTCTCCAACTCCGGACCTCATGATCCACCTGCCTCTTCCTCCCAAAGTGCTGGGATTACAGGTGTGAGCCACGACACCCAGCCCTTGTTCGGTTTCCAGGGGACTCCTCCCCTATCTCTTGAAGTGTCTACTACCTGGTGAGGGGGAAGAAACTTTCATCAATCCTCTACGTTCTCTAGGCAAAAACATTACCTTCTCTTCACCATCCAAGTGTAGAACCCTACTAACCCTCCCTTTCCTCATCGCTTCTGCTACCCAGCATAGCATGTAATAAATCCTTATGGTATATAATCCAGAATGTGTAAGCAGCTGGAATTCTTTCCTGAAAATTATTTTTTTCTGATAAGGCATATTTATTGAAAGAATGACACAAAATGGTGAATGTTAAAGATCTACTGCCTGTCTCCAGAAATAGCCACACTTCACACTTCCAGATTATATGTAATATAATTACATAAATGGAATCATATTTTCTGTGGTTTAACCAGCTGTTTGATATCAACTTAAAACATCACCTATCACATTCTTTTTCATGACTGTGTAGTATTTTATTATATGGCTATGCCATCATTTATTCAATCCATCTCCCAATTTTAACCACTAGAAATAATACTCTAAAGGCTATCCTTGTAAATACATCTTTGTTTGCTGATCTAGTTAATTTCCCAAGTGTAAATTGCTAGAAGTACAATTTTTTGTTCAAATGTATACCCATTTTAAGTGTTCATACATATTGTCAAATTGCCTGCCAGATGGTTGTACCAACATGCATTCTCAGTAGTGGTGTCTGAAAGTGGCTTTTACTCACACACTCAACAGCGCTGGGTATGTAACACATTGTTGATATGAACAATTTTATCTCATTTCTTATTATAATAGAGCAATGACTTTTTTATTTCTTTGTAAAAAAATTTGAACTAGAATTCTCTTAGCAAAGCTATCAATAAGTATGAGGGTAGACCATCGATATTTTAGGAGAAAGGAATTATTAAAGATAAAAGCTAAGATGTCAAAATAACCAGACTTGATAAATAAAACTAAGCTTCTTCTTTAAAAAGACGAAAATGAAGAAGAAAAGGAAAAACTACTGTTAAGCATAAGCAAAAATTAAGAAATAAATCACAAGTAACACAATGCCAGGGCTCAGGAGTAGGGTCTTTATCTCCACATATTAAGAATAATTAAGCTATTTGAAAATTTTATGTTAAAATTGATGTTAATATACCTGAACATTTACCTAAAATGAATGGTATCCCATAAAAATATAAGCTCCTAAAATTGATTCTAAGAAACCTATATAGGCTAGATGCAGTAGCTCATGCCTGTAATCCCAGCAATTTGGGAGGCCGAGGTGGCAGGATCTCTTGAAGCCAGGAGTTCAAGACCAGCCTGGGTAACACAAAGAGACCCTGTCTCTACAAAACATGTTTTAAAAAATCAGCCGGGCATAATGGCAAGCACCTGCAGTCCTAGGTGCTTGGGAGGCTGGGCCAGGAAGATCCCTTGAGCCCAGGAGTTTGAGGCTACAGTGAGCTATCATAGTGCCCCTGTACCCCAGCCTGAGTAACAGAGCAAGTACATACCTCTAAAAACTAAAACAAAACAAAAGGAACCTATACTAAAATCCATTGATAAAACTGAAAATGTAAATAATCTATGCCCCTAGGTAATTCTGCCCCAGATGGTTTTATGAGTAGGTTCTAGGAAATCTTATTAAAAATACCATTTGTATGTTGTTTAAACTAGATATTTAAACTAGCATCAAAAAAGATCCAATTTCATTTTATAATGCAAAAATCTAACCAAGCACTTGCTGGTATGAAAGTCTTAAATAAAATATTAGTAAGTCATACCAAGCAGTATATTAAAAGAGTTATGTACCATGACCAAGTAGTGTTTATTTCAGGAAGAATGATTGGTTCAACATTAAGAAATCTTTGTTGAACTAAGCATCCTGTAATACATCAGATAGTGAAAGGAAAAAAACCATATGATCATCTCAATATATGCCCAAATGCATTAATTAGAGTATAACCTCCATTTCAGATGATGATAATAATGACAGTGATGACAAAAATAATGATAAACACCTTACTAAGCAAAGAACAGAGGGCCCAGGGACACTTTTTAAAATCAGAAGCCACAAGCAGCAAACTTAATGGTAAAACATTAAACAAATACTGGAGGCGTTTCTATTAAATGGGATGCTCACTATTATTGCCATTAATCAAAATGTTTCTGGAGTCTCAGAACAGTGCCATTAGGTAAGAAAAAAACAAAGGAAATACATATTAAAAGAAACAGCAAATTATTTGTATTTTCAGGCTACAGTCTTTTCTTCTTAGAAAATCCATGAAACCCAACAGAAAATATTACTGAAATTAATAAGAAAGGTCAATAAATTGGTTCAATACAAGAAATATAAATCTATGACTTTCTTATATTCCAAAAATAGCCACTTAGTAAATTGTACTAAAAAGAACTTCCATTCATAATTGCAACAATAACTGTAAATAACTGTGTGTAACTATGACCAGAAATACAGAAAACTTACATGAAGAAAATTCTAAAATATTCCAAACAAGATAAAAAGTTGGAGAGGTATACCACATTACATGGTATAAATATGTTAGCTTTCCCTGAATCACTTTATGGATTTAATACAGTTGCAGTCAAACTACCCAGGGGATTATTTTTGGAACTTGAAAGACTGATTCTTAAGTTGTCTACAAGAATGCATGCGTGCAAAGCGTCACGAAATTTTTGGGTGGGATCATAGCCACACAGAATAAAGACTACATTTCCCATTCTCCTTTGCAGCTAGATGTGTTCATGTGACTAAGTTCTGACCAATGGGAGCATTTTGTTGCGCATCCAGAAATCTTTAAGAGACAATTTACATATACCCTTTCTCCTTCCTCTTTCTCTAACCTGCTACATGGAACGTGAAGTCTGAGGATGAAACTGTGCAGGCTGGACTTTCAAGATGTTCACATTCTAGTAATGGCAGAGCAGAAAGCTGGAAGGAGCCTGGGTTCCAGAGATTTTCATGAAAGAGAGAAACCACATCAGCTCCAGATTAACACGGAGCTTAACATGAGAGAGAAATGAACTACGTATCTTATTTGAGCCATTGTTATTTTGGGCTTTCTTTGCTCATAGGTGAATCTAATACTATTAAAATAACCCTTCGTATTTCCCCCCATGCTTATATAATTATTTTCAGACCTATACAAACAAACGTACACACACATAAGTTTTATACAGTTTTCTGTCATTGTTTTCTGGGAGAAAAAAAAAACCTTTCTTCATCTTGTTTTTTCTCAGTCAATACATTGTGAAATATTATCCATGTTCATTGGTATAGCTCTAATTCATGGTTTTCATTTTTTGTTTGTTTTGAGATGGAGTCTCACTCTGTCGCCTAGGCTAGAGTGCAATGGCAAGATCTCGGCTCACTGCAACCTCCACCTCCTGGGTTCAAGCAGTTCTCCTCCCTCAGCCTCCCAAGTAGCTGGGATTACAGGCACCTGCCACCACGCCCGGCTAATTTTTGTATTTTTAGTAGAGATGGAGTTTCACCATGTTGGCCAGGATGGTCTCGAACTCCGGACCTCAGGTGATCCACCCGCCTCGGCCTCCCAAATTGCTGGGATTACAGGTGTGAGCCACCACACCCAGCGTAATTCATGTTTTTTGATGGCTTCAAAAAAAGTATCAAAATGTATGCCCTTATTCTCCCATTAGTGGGCATTAGCTTTCTTTCTGGGTTTTTTTTTCCCCTTCACAATTAACAAGCAATACATCTACATCCTTGCATACTGGTGCTCTTGTTTCTAAGAGATAGAATCCTAAGAGTAGGCTAGCTGGGTGAAGGATATATTAATTTTAAATTTTAATAGCTATTACTAGGCTTTCCAGAAAGCCTGCATCACTTAGATTTCCATTGGCAATGTATGAGAGACACTTTGCTACATCCCCACCCGCAATAGCTCCTTTTTACTTTTTTGCAGTCTGGTGGACATAAAGTGGTGTTACCTCAATTTGCTTTTCCCAGACTATTAATCAAATCTGACAATATATTACTCCTATGTCTTCTTTTCATAATTATCATCCATTTATTCCTTCATAGAACAAGCTCACTTTATTCAATTCAAACAAAAACCTATGGGATTCTAAATGGAATTACAATAAATTGATATATAAAATTTTTGTATTATGCCTTCCCATCCAAGAACATGGTAAACTTTTTATTGGGTTCTTTTATGTCTTTCAATAAACTTTAGAGTTTTTATATAGTTTTTCCTGTGCCTTTCCTGTTAAATATATTCTTAACTATTCTGTAGTTTTTGAGGCTATTATAAACATTTTCCCATCCCACTTCTAAGTATTTATTGATAGACTAAAGAAAATATATGGATCTTTTTTGTATATTTACCTTCTAACAAGCCATCATCAAATTATCTTATTCATATACTCTTTTTTTTTCTACTGAAACCTCTTGCATTTTCTTGTTAATAACAACAGAAAAAAAGGAGTAGGTTTAGCTCTTTATTTCCAATATTTATGTTAGCCATTTCGTTTATTTTTGGCATTTTCTAGAACCTCCAAGACGATGATAACTAATAACAGCCCATGTTTCTTATTTCTTATTCCTCTCCTTCAATTGCTGGTGTTCCTACACTTCTATCCTTGATTGGACCTCATCACATCTTACTTAAAGGCAAGAATAATGTCTACTTTGCCAACACTCTATCCCTGGCTTTCAGAATAGTGCTAAGCACATACTATAAAAATGAAAAATACATATATATATTTCAAGAAGGAGGAAGTGGCCAAATGTTGAGTTCAGCTAAGATCAAATAAGATAAGGATTCAAAAACATGTTTTTGATTTAGCAACAGGAACGTCATTGATAAACTTAGTGATAGTATTTTAATGGTAGGGGCAGAAGCCACAGAACGAACATTAGGAAATAAGGTCAGCCAGGCCTAAGGGGAATTTTTGTGCAAATATTTGAGGGCCTGAGCTCCCCTAGTGCTTATGGGATACCGAAAAACCTTTCAGCAAGGCTGGAGCTTATGGTACACATGGCAATGAGCAAGAGTCATACTAAGCACTGTGCTTTACCCTGGAAGACATAGACAGCTGTGAAAGAACTGTAAAATAAAGAGTTATAGCATTAGGGTCACTTTTTAGAAAGAAAATAAAGTACCATTTCTTGAATTCACTCACCCATTTTTCTCCATTCTCACTTGCATTGCCTTTCCTTGGATCACCCCATCCACCCTCTCCACACATTTGAATTGCTGCAAACAACTTCCGGGTCTCCTTCTATTCATTCTCATCTCTCTTCAACCCATTCTTCACACCAGCTTCCACAGTCACCTCTGCTTTGTTATGATTTTCTTTCCTTTTGTGTTTCAAAGTAATATTTTCTAGATTTCAAATCTAATAATACAATTTCTCTGCTTAAAACACGTTATTAGGAGTCAGTAAAGAACTACCCTGACTTCTATATGATGCGGGCTTCCCAGGTGAGTTCCCAGGGATATCTGCTTCCACCCTTTGATTGGCAGAATATCTACCTGAGGAGTAATATGTTCTTGGGGCTCCTAGGGGGAAACTTAGTTTCTGCTCTAGTGAAACAAAGCTAAATGAGATCCAATGACCATCCTTTGAGGCTTAGGGGTACAGATTTCTTCCTCAAAACTGCTTTTCAACTCCACTCTAAAGCCAGTTCAAATGGTCCTAAAAGTAACTGTGCTTGTCCCATTCCTTTGCTGTATGTTCCCTACAGAAGGCCCTGACAGTCTTATATCTGCTAAGATAAGAGGATAAGTTCTCTGAAAGTTCTGGTCTGTAGATCTGTGTCTGAGAGAGGAACCAGGCAGATTTGGATAGGGTTTGGGGAAGAGATTCCTTCTCAGAAGACTTCACATTCCAATGAGTTCAAGGCTGAGATTCAGTAATAATAAAGGTGACTATGATATGATAGGATGGTTTTGCTTCCATATATTTTCTCCCTTTTCCTTGAAGCCTGGTGCCTCATGAGGCTGCGATATTGGAATGAGCTCTGAAATCATGTAAGTCAAGGTTGGGAAGCAGATGACACTTTTTTTTTTTTTTTTTTTTTTTTTTCTGAGACAGAGTCTCATTCTTGTAGCCCAGGCTAGAGTGCAGTGGAGTGATCTGGGCTCACCGCAACTTCCGCCTCCCTGGTTCAAGTGATTCTCCTGCCTCAGCCTTCTGAGTAGGTGGGATTACAGGCATCTGCCACCATGCCTGGCTAATTTTTGTACTTCTAGTAGAGACAGGGTTTTGCCATGTTGGCCAGGCTGGTCTCGAACTCCTGACCTCAGGTGATCCGCCCCCTTCGGCCTCCCAAAGTGCTGGGATTACAGGTGTGAGCCACCGTGCCCAGCTGACACCCTTTTAACATTTCAAGAGAAATAAATCCATTTATATAGCAAATACTTGTATGTGCAAGACATTGTTCTGGGTGCTAGAGATACTGCAGTGAGCATGACAATCAGAAATCCTTACAATTAAGGCACCTACATTCTCATGGCAAGAAGGGACAGACAATAAGTAGGTAAAATGTACAGCACATCAGATAGTGATCAGTGCTATAAAAAAAAAAAAAGGAAGATGGGGTAGACAGTCTTATAAGGGAAAGGGGTTTGCCATAGAACGGTCAGGAAAGTCCTCCCTGACAAGTTGACATTTGAGCAAAGACCTAAAGGAGTCAAAGGAATGAGCCACATGGCTATCTGGGATCAGAACATTCCAGGGTAAGAGAAAAGCAAGTGCAAAGACCTTGGGGCTGGAGTATGCTGGTAGCTTCATGAAACTCAAGGAGGTCCATATGGCTGGAGTGGAGTGAGAGGAAGAGTAGCAGGGGATGAGGTCAGATAAGTAATGGAATCAGATCACGTAGAGTCTTATTGGCCATTACAGCACTTTATCTTTTACTTCTTGTCTCACCAATGGTAGAGGTGGTGGTGAGACTTGTCAGATTCTAAGTATATTTAGAAGTTAAAGCTGATGGAATTTGCTTATAAATTAAATGCAGGATGAGAAACCAAAAGATTGGTCATGGATGACTCCAAAGATTTTGGCCTGAGCAACCAGAAGCATGGAATTGCTATTTGCTGACTTGAGGGAAGATACAGGATAAGCAAGTTTTAAAGAAGTCTGGAATTCAATGTATTCTTTTTGAGATGCTACTAGACACCTAAAAGAGGATGTCAAGCAGGCAGTTAGATGTATGAGCCATAAGTTCTTGGGAGAAGCCTGGGTTGGAGATCTAAACTGGGGAGTGTTTAAAGCCATGAGGATTGGATGAAGTCACCAGGAAGTAACTGGATATGGAGAAGAGTACCAAGGATTGAGCCTGGGGAAATTCAACATTTAGATGGGGAGATAAGGAAGAGCCAACAAGGAAGACCAAGAAAGAGTAGTTGTTGGAGTGAAAAGAAAACCAGGATAATGCAATGTCATGGATGCTAAGCACAGAAAGTGTTTCCAGGAGCAAAGAATCATCAGCTGCCCAGGATGCTGCAGAGAGGTTATAATAGTCAAGTCAAACTAGATGCTGAAATAGAGACATCCCCATATCTCAGTGGTGTCAACAACCTAACTTTGTTTCTCATTCATGTGAAGTATATTCAGCAGCAGAGGGGAAGGATGAAAGGAGGGAAACAGCAGCTCTCTGCTCCATGACAGCAGTCAGGGTCTTATGTTGATCCTTATCTTCAATTTGTGGCTTCCAAGGTCACTCTATCCAGCCAGTAAATGGAGGTGAGAGATGAGGATGGTGCATTGGTTAGAGTCTGGCAAGAAACAGAGGACACACTCAAATTTGAGAAAGGTTTAATAAAGAGATTACTTATAAAGGTGTGAGCAGGGGCAGGAAAGCTATCAAAGGATTTGCTATAACCCAGAGATGATTGACAGTAGGAGCTTTTACCACCCCTGGGTCTGAAGAGGCAAGAGAAAATAATGGTTAGTGGAATTGGGAGAGAGGAAGAGCTATGTGGGGTGAGATGCCTAACTGAAGCTTCAGTAAAGGAAGTGGCCAATTCAAAGCAACCCTAAAGAGAGGAAGCCAAGGGAATAAGTACCCTGACCTCATTCTCCTTCTTCCTCCCAGTCTCCTACAGATACCTCTGATTGACTTGACCCAGTCAGAAACCAGAAGGCTCATTGATAAAGTATCTAGTGGTTAGGCTCCTAAGGCAGGAGTAGAGTGGAAAAAGGTGAATAGAGGAGGGCAGACCTCCAGCACAGAAAGGTTTTGTGGGTCAGGCTTGAAAGTTACATAAATCCCTTCCACCCACATTCCACTGGTCAGAACCCAGCAATATCACCACACCTAGCTACAAATAAGTCTGGAAAATGTGATCCAGCTGGTGCCCAGGAGAAAGAAGAGACTTGGAACAGCTAACCTCTCTCTACCACGTGGTCAAGAAAGATGAGAACTGAGAATTGACCATGGATTTAGCAATATGGAGGCAATTGGTGATCTTGATAATTCAGTCTTGCTAGAGTGGTAAATGTGAAAGACTGATTGGAGTGGGTTCAAGAAAGGATGGGAGGACCAGGTATGGTGGCTCACGCCTGTAATCCTAGTTCTTTAGCAGGCCGAGGTGGGAGGATCACTTGAGCTCAGGAGTTCAAGACGAGCCCGGGCAACATAATGAGACCTTGTCTCTACAAAAATAAAATAAAATAAAGTAGAATAAAACAAAATAAAATAAATTAGCCAGGCATGGTGGTGGGTGGTTGTAGTTCCAGCTACTCGAAGAGCTGAGATGCAAGGATCACATGAGCCTGGGAGTTGAGGCTACAGTGAGCCAGTGAGCCGTGATCATGCCACTGCACTTCCCACACACACGGTGGGGAAGAGTCATGGAGGTCTTCTTCAGCCTGGGCAACAGAGTGAGACACCGTCTAAAAAAAAAAGAAAAGGAAAGAAAATAAGAAAGAATGTGAGAGGAAGAATTGGAGGCAGCAATTGTTAAAAACAGCAACAACGACTTCTTTCAATAGGTTTTGCTACAAAAGGAAGCAAAGCAATGAGGTAGTAGCTCGAATCATTGTGAGATAAAGAGTTTTGCTTTTGTTTTTTTCCACAATAAAGAAATAGCAGCATGTTTTTATGCTGATGTGAATGTTCCAGTAGAGAGAAAAAAACTGATGATTCAGGAAAGAGAGGGAAAAATGCTGGAGCAGTGTCCTTGAGTAAGCAAGAAAGAATGGGATCTAGCAATAAGTAAAATGTTGGCCTTGGAAAAGAACACAGGTAGTTAACAATGAAAACTGAATATATGGGACGGGCGCGATGGCTCACGCCTGTAATCCCAGCACTTTGGGAGGCTGAGGCGGGTGTATCACAAGGTCAGGAGATCGAGACCAACCTGGCTAACATGGTGAAACCCCATCTCTACTAAAAATAAAAATAAAAATAAAAAAAATTATCCGGGCATGGTGGCAGGCGCCTGTAGTCCCAGCTACTGGAGAGGCTGAGGCAGGAGAATGGTGTGAACCCGGGAGGCGGAGCTTGCAGTGAGCCAAGATTGCACCACTGCACTCCAGCCTGGGCGACTGAGCAAGACTCTGTCTCAAAAAAAAGAAAAAGAAAAAAAAGAAAACTGAATATATGGACAGAGCCCTGGCAGGAAGTAAACGTGGTGGGGGAGGTTGTTGACGCTCTTTTCTAATGACCCGTATTTTCTCAGTGAAACAAGATGCAAAGTTATTAGCTGAGAGTGAAACTATGGGAAGAATTGTTGGCGGTTTAAGCAGAAATGAGGAAGTACAACATATTACCTAAAAGAATGTGAGATTGCTACCCAGGAGTTAATCGTCCCTGCGGAGAGGGTCCAGTTGCCTCTGAGTCCACTCAGCTGGGGCACTTCAACCATCAGCTTCTTTAACTCCCCACTTTCTCCCCTTAGGGGACCAGTTGGAATCTATTAGCCCCCTTGATCCTCACATTCTCACTTGGAGCCAGTTCATAAAGTTCATAAGGCCACAAAGAGAGAAATTTGGTAACATTGCTAACACGTATCAAGAGCTGGGCACATCCCATACTAAGAAGGTTAGGTACTATCACTTCCCTGTACTAGCCAGGTGAAGGCCTCCGGCCCTGCCTTTTTTCCTCAATCTGTAGACCTCTCCTTGTCCTAATCCAGCTTCAGAACTGAATAATAATAATAGATAACACGTGTGAGCACTTACAAGGCACTACTCCAAACACTTCACATTTATTTAATCATAATAATTCTATGACATAGGTACTATTGTTATCAACCTCATTTTATAATGAGGAAACTGAGGCACAAGGTAAGTAACAGAGTAGGTACCTAAGCTGAATTTGAACTCAGGCAGTCTGGCTCAGGGCCCATGCTCTTAACCTCTACATACGTATCTATATGTGCTGAACGTGTCAGAGTGATAAACACTCCAGGGAGCTGGGCTTGGGCAGAGTAAATAAAATTTTAGAAAGACTGCAGTCAAGTAGGTGGGGATGAGTCTCTGTGCTTGAGAGAGGGTTGGTGAGGGATTGCTGCTGACAGAAGAGTGACCACATGGTGACCCAGAAAGCCTAGTATCAAAGGGCAGAGCCAATATCAGTACAAAGACAAGTTGAACAGGCTGAAGAAGACCTTCATGAATCTTCCCCACCCTGTGTGTAGACCCTGCACCAATCAGCATAGGATGCTCGATTTAATCTTGATTTGCTGTTCTCCTGGCTTTCATATGTGTTTCCCTTGTTTCCATGATATGGGAGCATATGCTATGATGGGAGCTACAATCATGACATGGTAAAATGGTTCCCAATCAATGAACACTTCATCAATGAACAATAAACTTTATGAAGAACTTTATCAATGAAAAAATCTATCAATGAGTGCAGAACAGGGCATGTTACTGACATTATGTAGTTTAATGCTTATAACACCACTGTGAGTTACACAGCATTATTCCCATATTCAGATAAGGAAAGGGAGGCTTAGAGAGGTTGTACTGCAATACCAAGGTCTCATAGGTAATACATGGTAGAGGCGGAGCTTGAGCCCAAGCTTGCTTAGAGTCTGAAGCCTGTGCTGGCTACACTGTACCAGCTGCCTCTCTATTTTGAGATAAAGCACCAGGAGCACTACAGAACCCCTCAGGGCCCCCAAGGGCCTCTGGGTCAGGGCTCCTGGGTGAGAGGGACTCCCTTTAATGAAGGCAATTGAGAAACAATCCTCCTCTTTATTTGCCTGTAACAGGGGCTCAGAAAAGCTAATTATCTTCCTGTGAACCAGTTAACTATTCAATTTTCTCCATTTGGGTAATTAATTATCAGAGTCAAATGCAGGATCCAGCTAATCTTAGAACCATGCAGCTGTAGGGTCATCTGGGGAACAAGCTCATTTGAGAAAGGAGGAAGGGCAGGCGCCAGCATTTGACATGGCTTAGAGAGAGGGGGAGTGTTGAGGGACCTCGGACTGGCTGGAGTGGAGGGTAGGGAGAATGCTTAAGGCAGGCTGGCTGGGATTCCCTCAGCACCAGATAGCAGAATAGTCAGTGTCCAAACACAGGAGGACAAAGATGCTATTGCAGCTGCCAGTCCCATGTTGGAGTATTGAGGAGGGGGGCACTTCAACCATCAGCTTCTTTAACTCCTCCCTTTCTCCCCTTAGGGGAACAGTTGGAATCTACTAGCCCCCTTGGTCCTCACATTCTCACTTGGAGCCAGTTCATAAAGTTCATAAAGCCACAAAGAGAGAAATTTGGTAACATGGCTAACATTTATCAAGAGCTGGGCATATCTCATACTAAGAAGGTTAGGTACTATCACTTCCCTGTATTAGAGATGAGAAAACTGAGGCTCAGAGAGGAGATAAAATTTGTTCAAGATTTCGTGGTTAGGATATAACAGAAGCTGGGATTTGAGCTCAAGTCCTGAACCCATGATCTCACTGCCTCCTAAAGTGCCATGCTATATGTACAATTTTAATATGAGCAGCACCAAAGTGAAGATATTAGGGTATTTGGGGCATCAAGGGTTGGAGGAGTACTTGGTTCACTAAAACAAAGTCAATTGGTTAAGGATATTCAAATCCTCAGCAAGCAGGGAGGGGAATGCTCCTCCCATCTGCAAATGCAGAGGGTATAGATTCTCGCCATTATTTATTCCCATGTGCTCCAGGGGTATCAAGAAAGATTGGAGAATACCTGGCCATAGACTTTGTCCCCTGGGCCAGTTGCTGGGGGTGAGGATTGGGGTGGGGATGAGGGTGATGATAGTTTTACTGGCCATTTAGTATATGCCAAGAAGTGTGATTAACTCATTTTGTCCTTACAACAGTCCTTGAGATCCCCATCCACATTGTACAGACAGATAAACTGAAACACAAAATTTAGTCCCTTTCCCCTGGGAGAGGAAGTTGGATTCAAATCTAGGCAATCTGACTCCACAGCCTATCAAATCAACTGGGCCCTGGCAGAGAGTGAGAGAGACAGCCAGAGCTGGTGAGGAGCCTACCCCAAACCATGGACAGCTCCCCAGTGGCCCTGTGGTTGAACAGCCCAGTTTCTGATACTACTTCATTGCGCTCCCTGACCACCACCAATGTCACCCATTGTGAAGCACTCTGCTCCCTTCCAGAAGGGAATTCTCCTTGGACTGACTCTTAGGGAACAGATCCTCTGGCTTGATTCAGGTCCCTAAGAAGCCCTATGGAACTGGTTCTTGAGCCAGGCATATCCCTCCTCAGGGTTCTGAACACCCATCCTCTGAGACAAAAGGATTTTCTCTAGGGTAGGTCAGGCAGGGAACTGCTACCCACATCAGCCCAACAGTCTGTCTCTGCCCACTAGTCCTGCTCTTCCCACGCCCACCACCCTTCTCCATTACTATGGGAAAGCCAGTTTCCTCAGCCTCAGTTCTCCATCTGTACCTTTACCATCTCTGCAAAAGCCCAGGGCCAAAACAGTCTCCCCAAATTAGGTCTTCCTCCTTTTGACAGCCCTTATGGGAGTTTCCAAGTTCAAAGCCAGGCTCCCTGGCCCAAGCTGCTGGCCCAGAGCCCCAGCAGGTGCAGCATGGTTGCTAAGCAACATCTCCGAATCTCTGTGTGTTCTTGTCACATGATGATTGTAGCTAAGGAAACAAGTCCTCTGGCATCCCAGGACGCAGCAAGGCCTAGGCAGCGGTGTGTTACCTGAGGCCTAACAAAAATCCTGCTGTCCTGTATTCCTGACAAGTTGTGGTTCCCTAAACTGCTATAAGAGACTATCAGGTTGAATTTTGCCTTTTATCCAGGTACTGGCTCTTAGAAGAGAAGGCCTAAATTGGAATCTTAGTCACTTGCTGGACACTCATGGAATCCAGTTCTTTGGGGTGGTCAGTAGGAACAATGCCTTTAGAAGGATATATTAATAGGCTCAGATTCAGGAGACAATCACATATCCCCAATTATCCCATTCTCTATCCTTAGATTCCATTGTAGAGGCAAAATGGAAAAGGCTTGGCTTGAACAATGGGAAAGCAGAAGAGGGGCTAAAGACAAGAGCATTGTTCCAGGGTTCCAGGTCTACGGTAGCACAAGAGCCAGACAGGGATTTCCTTCCAATGCCAACTTGTCGCACCCACATCTCAAACACTAGAGGAAGGTGGATGCCACATCAGGGGATGCTACTGTCTTCTTGGAGGGCCTGCCTCCCCAGTCTTCCAGTCCATACTTCCTGGGGCTTCTTCTCCAGGATTCGCCTAGAAATAAGGAAATCTCTTTGAAGGACAAACAGCTAAAGAGGTAACCAATAGCAGAGGAAATATAAGAGATTTTTTTTTAGATGGAGTCTTGCTCTATTGCCCAGGCTGGGGTGCTGTGGGGTGATCTCGGCTCACTGCAACCTCCGCCTCCTGGGTTCAAGCGATTCTTGTGCCTCAGTCTCCTGAGTAGCTGGGACTACAGGCGCCTGCCACCACATCTGGCTAATTTTTGTATTTTTTGTAGAGATGGGGGTTTTAGCATGTTGGTCAGACTGGTCTTGAACTCCTGACCTCAGGTGATCCACCTGCCTCAACCTCCCAAAGTGCTGGGATTACAGATGTGAGCCACCACACCTGGCCTAAATATAAGAGAACTTGAGCACCAATGAGGAAGGCACAACAAGTGAATAATTGGAATTCCAAAAATAAAGAACAGAGAGAGCCAATGGAAGGAAATTATCAAAGAAATAACTGAAATCTATCGAAAATAATTGAAATATTCCAGAAAAGAAAGGCATGAGTTGTTTCCAAAGATTCCAAAGAGTGGCCAACATAAACTCTGGAAATATTTCCATGTCAAGTCACATCTTTTAGAAGCATCAGATCACTGGTGACAAAGAAAAGATGCTAAAAGCTTCCAGAGAGTAAAAGCAACTTTCATAGAAAATGTCAAAAACCATAATGGCATCAGACTTCTCAAGTGGCAGATCCAACACCATGGGGCAAGATCCACTAAATATCCAAGGAAAATAGTTTTATCTGTTCCATTACAGCTGTTTTCATTCTGACAGCCTCTTTTTTAAAATGATCATCCCCCCTTTCATAACATCCTGTCCTTTTCTTCATGAGTGCAGTGTCTAATACCATCTTCTTCCTACATCATCCCAAATTCCTCAAAATTGCATGTAGTAGTGTGCGTCTTTATCTTTCACACTGGAGCCTTTCTTCAAATACTTGGGGATGTTCTCTTTGTCACCAGTGATCTGATACTTCTGAAAGATGTGACTTGGGTCAGGTACAGTGGCTCATGCATGTAATCCCAGCACTTTGGGAGGCCGAGGCAGGTGGATCACCTGAGGTCAGGAGTTCAAGACCAGCCTTGCCAACATGGTGAAACCCTGTCTCTACTAAAAATACAAAAATTAGCCAAGCGTGGTGGCAGGTACCTGTAATCCCAGCTACTTGGGAGGCTGAGGCAGGAGAATCACTTGAACCTGGGAGGCAGAGGTTGCAGTGAGCCAAGACCACACCATTGAACTCCAGCCTGGGCAACAAGAGTGAAACTCCATCTAAAAAAAAAAAAAAGAAAGATGTGACTTGAGATGGAAATATCTCCAGAGTTTATGTAGGCCACTCTTTGGAATCTTTAAATTTGGAAATTCATGCCTTTCTTTTCTGGAATATTTCAATTATTTTCAATAGATTTCAGTTATTTCTCTGATAATTTCCTTCCATCGGCTCTCTCTGTTCAATGACTAACAGAAATTCTTGAGTTTGCACAGAACAACAGATAAGAAAAGAAATAACTTGCTGAAATGCTGAACTTTCCTCTGCTTATGAGATAACAAAACTGGCTGGAATCAAACGGAACCAATATGGCCAACTAGAATCTGTGCAGAACCAGTTTGCTGAATCGCAGCTTGAATTTCCGCCACATGTTTCATGCTAACTCCCCCCAAATTTGCACATGTGCTCCATGAGGTAGCATAAAAAGATAACTGCACATGCCCAAGGACTGTCCAGACCTCCCCTCTTCTTCCACCAATCACCTGCTAATCCCAGAACTCACTCCCTAAACCTTTCCTAATAAAATGACTGCTTGAAAGCCAGCGCAGAGAGACAGGTTTGAGCTGGATTCCTGTCTCCTTGTTAGTCAACTTACAATAAAAATCTTTTCTTTTCTCAAAAGCCCGGCGTCTTAGTAATGGCTTCTAGTGCATCAGGCAGAAAGCCCCTTTTGCTCTGTAATAGTTGCTTGGATAATTCGATGTTTGGGTTAGGCTTAGGTTTAAGTGTTTAGGTTGCCTGGTCATGCTTAAGAGTAAAGCATTAAAAACCCAATCAAAAGCTCTTTGCACTTGGCTTGGGCATGTGGTCTATGGGCTTCACTGTTTGGTGATCCTCCTGGATCCATTTGTGAGGTCCGCCTTCTCAGGCTGGTCATATTTCCCAGAGAAAAGTGTCTCCCACTCTCCTGCCTCAAGGGTAATAATTCTGGTTACAAGCATTCTAGCAGTTGTGAGAGAAGAGAAGAAAATGGTGGGAATCTCACAGTCAGTATGCAAATTTAAATCTGATTTCCCTACTATTATCAGGGAATATCCCAGCCCTCAATTGTACCTGGCACCCCCGATTCAGAAGCCCTCTTTTACCTCCACAAGAAAATAAACATGCAATCTTCTGCTGGGGTTGAAGAAAGGATCTAGGAATCTGCATATCAGACTTTGAACCAATCTTCCTGTTTCAGCCCCATCTGGTGCCACTAATTCCTGAGCCTTGGGGAGTTTCTGCCATGAAATCAGGTTGCTGTTTCTTGGCTTTTCTCACTGCCAGTTTAGGATTCAGCTTTCTGGGTCTGCGAAGTCAGCCACCATTCATTCATGTGCTTTCCAGCTTCTAAAATTGTATTGCTGCTTAGGGATAGGGATATGTCTGCTCTCCCACACTCTTTATCTTCGTACATTTAAACATTTTACAATTTCTTGCAGTGTTGTTTTTGTAGGGTTTTGGAAGAGAGGGTTAGTAATCAATTGCACTTGTTCAATCTGCCATCTTGAAGCAGGGGTCTTTATGCTGAAGAACAACCAGTACTAAAACATCCAGATCCAGCCTGGGTTCAGATGCTGGCTTTAGTACATGAATAGCTGTTTAACTGTGGGTAAGTTATAGAAACTCTCCATACCTTAAAGCATTCCATGAGAGTTAACTATTATTATTATTATTATTATTATTATTATTATTATTATTATTATACAGTATTTACTATGTGCCAGCACCTATAGCAAAGGCAGTGGGTCTGCCAAGATGAAAATTTCAGATGAGCTGCTGCTCTTTCCAGCCCCAAACAGGTATGACCAGTTTCCCTACTCTGGTCTATATCATGTAAATACAATATGTACCTTAAGTAAATTATCAAGCAGGTGGAAGTTCTAGCTGTGCAAATACAGCTGGTAACAATGTAAATACAGCATTTAAATGAACTAGAGGCCAGCAAGGCAGGGCAGTTGTTTTCAAATGTAGTTGAATCTCTTCTGTTGTGAGTATAACAGCCATGGGCATCATTTCCCCCAAATGACTTACTCACAGATTTATTTCTGAGCATCAAAATCATGTTGTCTATTACTTGTTTTGCAGGGCAAATGACACCATCTGGACCCTGGAAACAGCACATGTTTGGTGCAGTCACCCTCCCCCAAGCCAGCATCTTAAGCAAAGTCTCCTCCCCCTTTAAATGAGCCTCCTTCATGTTTTCCTTTCTTCTGGTCCGCTTGGTTTTCATGTTCCTCTCTCTGCTCTCTTTGTCCTGCTGAGCAGACAGCAAACCTGCAGGTTCTGTGATCCTGCTGCTCAGCTTTAAAACAAAAAACAAAAACAAAACCATGTTGCAATTTGTGAACTTTCTCTCCTGGAAGGCATGAACCATCAGCTTTCCTGAAGGTAGCTACTGCAAAGCACTGGTCTTACAGAAGAAAAGGACTGATGAGGGAAAGAGAAAGGGACACAGACAAAGGAAGGAAGGGAAGCATTCAGAAGGAGGGAGAGAGGCCAGCCGGCCCCCAGGTTGAACCACATACTCAGCCTTTAAAAAACTGGGCTTCTTTAACATGGATGCAAGTACCAGCCAAGGTAGTTCCACTGCAGATTCACCACCGAGATGAAGATGGCTAGACATTTTTCAAATGAGAGTAACTGGGCCTGTACTACAAGACGTATTCAGGCTATTAAGATCTCCATGCCCTGCCATTCCCTCTGCCTGGAATGTTCTTTCTCCAGTACTTTGTATTCTGATGGTTCTCGACCCTAGCTTCAAACCCCAAACCCCTGCTTCTAGATAACAGCCTCACAACAGATAATTCAGGGGCCCACGTATTTACAAGCCTGGGAGGTGATCCTGAAAGCTTTGCAGGTATATTCTTCTTTGGCTCCACCCACGCTCCAGTGAGCACAGCTGCATCTGCTCAGTTATGCTCTCTTCTTCCAGACACTGCCAAAAATGCTGAGATACACAAGATGCCAGGCCTTGAGAATCAATGACAGATCCACAGCTGAACTGCTTGAAGGCAGGGCTTGACCAAGTATCTAGTGTGGCAACTCTTCCAATTTTCCCACTTATAGCATGTTTTCATTTTTCAAATTTCAGAATTTATTATATCCCTCCCCTTTCTCTCTCTCTCTCTCTCTCTGTCTCTCTCTGTGTGTGTGTGTGTGTGTGTGTCTCCCCTCTCTGTCTCCCTCCTCCACCACCACCTTAAGATTCAGACATGTGCCTACTGAACACAAATCTGAATGGAAGTCTCCTCTTTGAACTAGAATTGCCCAAGACGAGGGCCCCATTTACTAGGTTAGCTTGTTCTCTGGTTTCCTTTTGGTTAAGGGTGAGTTTTCTCCCAAGAAGCCCTTATGCAAACTGATGTCTGGTTGGCAAGCTCAATACAGACATACCCAGACATGCCATACCCCCATGTGTGGGCACAGCTGATACCCACTTGATCCCAGTAAAACATTCGTAATCCCTTTCATGCTGTCATTGCTTTCGCCCAACAATTCCACCATAGAGAGTGAAGATAAGATTTTTTTTTATTGACCAGGGCCCTTGGGTGCTTCTTGAGTGTGGCTTTCAGGGACAATGACATCGCATGTTAAATAACTCTTTGCTAAAGAGCTCTGAGTACAAACAAATGTTATCCTCTAACATACCCTAAGAACAAAGTGAGTAGGTTCTATCCCTGTCCTACGCTTTGGCCTCCTGTCTGAGGATCTGTCCCCCCCACTGCATCCCCATCTCATCCATCCCCAGAATTGACTGGTTTAGTCCTGTTGGGTCCCAAGTTACTTGGGGGCAGGCAGAGCTGTCTTTGGCACAAAAGTGGAAGCAAGTCCACATGGATCATCTGGGCCCCAGCCAGTGTCTCAAGGTATAGCCACTGGATCCTTAGATTAACCACCATTTGGGTTCTTGGCTAGTTTCTTGGCTGTAGAGGAAGATTATTCTACTTGCCTTGGGCCATTTCTTCATTCCCTACTTCTGATTTTTATGGTAGGCCCAGGGTGCAAATAGCACAGTTTTCAAGCTGTTCTTTCTTTGGGGGGAATCTCTGCCTGCATTGCACATAACCTCGGGGTCCTGCTCTCCCCTGGGCAATAGCAAGCACTTAATTTATGCTGAACCCATTGGACCCTTTCCCTCTCTGGATTTTGAATCTTGAGCAGAATGATCCAGGAATGAAAGTGATGACCTTATAGTACAGCTACTCCATCCAAGCTTCCTAAAAGGACTGCTAATTCCTACTCCCTAGATCCCTGAGATGCCCTTTTTCCTCTTTCCAAAAGCTGACCTATTCAGCTTTCTTTACAATTCTGTGACTTTTCTTATAGTCTTCCAATAAATCCCTTTTTGCTTAAGTTAGCCTAAGTCTGTCTCTTAGACACCAAAGAGTACTACTGGATAGGGATGGCCCTTTCACCATCGTTCTCTGCCACCTGGGTATCCTTTCCCCAAAGCTGTTAATTTTAAAGCCAGGAAGCTCAAGATCCTCCCCCAACCCCCGCCCCCCGCCATATTCCTACAAGATCCAGGCAAACTTTGGCTTCTGATTCCTTGCACCTTCTTTCAGAAAGTGGCCATTCTCAGTTTAAATAACAAAAATCCTCCATCCGTGATCCCTTTTAAATAACACTGCATTTATGAGGCAGGGTTCAACAGAATGGAAAACAGAACCATTCAAAGTATTGAAAACAGGCAATTTAATGCTGAGATTTGGGTTTCCAAGTGACAGAAGAGCTGATAAGCCAAACTGAAGATGGTGAAGCAACTCAGAGCTTAGCAATAGCAGAAACCCCTACCAGCCCTAGGCTGTAAGGACAAAAGGAGGTGATGTTACTGGTGCTCAGGGTTTAGGGTCACTGGAGCAAACTGGGACCATGGTAAGCACATCTGATGAGAGCTGGAGTCAAGAAGAAGATGCAGCAACTGCTGAAGATGCCACCTGTGGCAGAGGCGGGGAGAAACACCTGGGGGTCTCCTTTCTTCCTGTCCTCCCATCTCTTGCCTCCCATGTTCAAGCTAGCTGTAACCCAGCTGGCAGAGGAGCCCAAGAAAGGAGGCTGGGAGGTCGGTCTCACTGTGGCACAGAGCAAAGCAGAAGGAGGACAGGGAACGGATCTGAGAGGACACAGAATGCGGACAGCACCTGCCTCATTATTTAAATTATATTTGCTAAAGTATTATTTAATGTTTAGAATAAAACGATTTTAGCATTTAAATAAATAGCATGTAATATGTGTATATCAAGGTTCAAAAGGTATGCACAATTTTAATTCCTTATTAAATTATTAAATTTGTGTGATAAATTATATATTATCACACAAAACACAATAGGGAAGTCTTCTCGACTAGAAAACGCTTTGTATCTTGATCGTGCTCTCTATGTAATCAACAGGACTGTTTCTTTCTTTACTGTTTGTGTTGATGACACTGTCTTGTACTCATAAATTGTACAGAAATTTGTAGGGAGAAGGGATACAGTAACCCCAAAACTGCAGTTTCACAGGCAGAAGCAATGCCCAGCACCCCCAAACATCCAGGCCCCAGAGACACGAGAGAAGAAACAGGGCAGTTACCACTTGGTGACTTACGAACTCAAATCACCAAGTTCTTCCCCAACCCTTCTGCCTTCTCTTCTGTAATTTCCTTGCTGCTGATGACTGTAAGGCAGACTGGCCTCACATCAGAGCCCAGAGAAGGGGGAGTGACGCAGTGACATGACAACAGTGCAATGATAAAACAGGATTCTTTTTCTTATCTAAGGTGTTAGAATGTGTATAAATAAACATTTTTGTTAGGCGATTTGTTTTAGTTTAGTTTTGCTATTTTAACTACACAAGCAAGACAACATGATCTGAGCACTCCATTTTGTCAGTCTGTGCTGTCTGAAATCGAGGCTCCTGCATTCTGTCCTAGCTTATATAATTCTGAGAAAGCAGTTCTGGTGCAGTGTTCAGGCTCAGTCCTCATCAAAGCAATGCTGGCCATCCTCCCTACAGTACTAATGAAATGATGAGTCTAGGAATGGGAGGGGGAGCGGGGAATGTCAGGAGAAGGCACAGAGTAGGCCCTTGATAATGCATACTCACAGATATTGAATGGCAGACTCAAGAGCAGAGACTGGGTCAGGGTCCCAGCACACTGGGCTCAGGTGCCCCTGCTGGCACAGACCCTGGCATTGCTCTCCAGAGGGGAGGCTAAAGCTCCACCTGTGATCCATCTGGGTCTAGGTGTGCTTCTCCAGGGCAAAGACTGGCAACAGCTGAAGCCTCCACTTGGATGTTCCATGGACACCTAAAGCTAAATGTGTTGGCACATGAATTTGTTACTCTACCGTTGACCTACCCCTCCAGTCATTTGTATCTCAGGTAATGATACCTTCAGCTATTCAGTTGTTATGTTAGAAACCAGGATCTCATCCTTGATACCACACTTCCCACCATCAGCATCACTATGCCCGTACCAGCATGTAATTTATTCTACCTCCCAAACATGCCATGAATCTGTGCACTTCTCTTCATCCCCACAGCCCAGGTCACCTGTGATTTAATATTTGGACTACATAGTCACCTCCTCACTGATTATTCTGGACACATTTTCTGCACAGCAGTCATCCGTTCATTCATTTCCAGTTGTTTGCTGAGTACCTATGGAGTGTTAGGTGCTAGGGATATGGTAGTGAGCAAAACAAAGCCGTCATCATCATGAAACTAATATTCCCCAGATTAAAGCACATCAATGGCATCCCTCTGTCCTCAGTATAAAATCCAAACTCCCTAAGACACCTTCCTCTCTAGTTCATGGCATCCCAGTATTTCCTGTGCTTACCTTCCCAGCCATATGGAATCGATTTCAGTTACCCAAATGCATCAAGCCTTCGCATATCCTAGAATATTCTAACCACCTCCCCTCACTTGCCTATCAGCTACTCACCCTTCAGTTCTCAACTTGGAGCTGTCTTGGCCAGGGTTGTTTGCCAACTGTGATGAGTTGAGTCTTGTTGGGGATAATGGAATTTGGAGGATGCCCAAAATTCCTGAGATCTGAAACCTGTCCTGCCACAGCGACTACTGCCCATCCCTTCTCCCCAAGCCTTTGAAAGAAATATGAGCCCAGAGAATAAGCCCAAACAATGCACACTTTCTTTCTCTGAGGTTCTGGCCTCTGATTGTGCTGGATTGAATAATGTGAAGGATTTTATTGACCTAGGCTGGAGGGAGACCTAACTGATCTCAGAAGAGGATATTTACTATTTTTGGCTACTAAGTATCTGTATTAGTCCGTTCTCATGCTGCTATAAGGACATCCCCAAGACTGGGTAATTTATAAAGCAAAGAGGTTTAATGGGCTCAGTTCTACATGGCTGGGGAGGCCTCACGATCATGGCAGAAGGCGAAGGAAGAACAAAGGCATGTCTTAGGAGGCAGCAGGCAAAAGAGCACGTGCAGGGGTGCTGCCATTTATAAAACCATCAGATCTCATGAGACTTATTCACTATCACAAGAACAGCACGAGAAAAACCCCATAGCTACTGCTGCTGCTGCTTTTTCTTTTCTTCTTTTTGGAGACAGGGTCTCAGTCTGTCACCCAGGCTGGAGTTCAGTGGCATGATTATAGCTCGCTGCAGCCTCAAACTCCTGGGCTCAAGCAATCTTCCTGCCTCAGCCTCCCAAGTAGCTAGAACTATAGGTACATACCACCACATCCAGCTCTTTTTTTAAAATATTTTTTTGTAGAGACAGGGTCTCACTGTCGGCTAAGGCTAATCTTGAACTCAAGCAATCCTCCCACCTCCGCCACCCAAAGTGCTGGGATTACAGGTGTGATCCCATTTTCTGCATTTCTCTCAACTTCCAGGCCATTCTGCTGTTTATCTCTTAGATCCAAACTTCCCAAACGAGGATGTGATTAAATCTGCTGATTACTATTCATAGAGAGTCCTGTATGAGGACTATAGGTCTAGAGCCACCTTCCTCAGAAAGACTAAGGATGTGGCAAACACAGAGCGAATGGAGCCCACTCTGCATTTCAGCCTCAACTTGGGCAAACCTAAGCATGTCATCTTCACTCACAGGTCTGCTTGCTCAACCTGTGTTCCTTAACTCAGTAAATGTTCCACTGTAGAGACGTGGTCTTCCAAACCAAGTCCCCTCTTGTAACCTACCTCTCCAGCCTCATCTCCTTCCACTCCCATCGTACCGCAACTATCTGAACTTCTCAATACGTATTTCAAAAAATGAAATCAGCTCTTCCAACTCTCTGGCCAATGCACTCTCCCTTCAACTACACTCCACACCAGCGGGCTTTGTTTGTACTTCTCTGTCTCTACTTGTATTTTCTTTCCTCTACAAGATCCCAACCTAGAAAGCTTTAACATCCTCTTTTGCTAGACTATGAGCCATCTGGGGCAGGAATTATGTCTCAGTAATCTTTGGGGCTGGCCAAGGTGAGTGTCAGTAAGTTTCTAAAGACTAACTCAGCAACAACCTTCAAACATCCTTCCCCTAGAGTTTAGAACAAACAGTCTTACTAGTCCTCCATCCCTTGCTCCAGCAGCTCACCTTCGAGACCCCATAGCCTGGTAAGGTCCCATCCTCCCTCTCCTCTGATGGAGTTGGCTCAGGTGTGAATGGGTCTGAGGACTGGGTCCTGAAAACACTTTTCTCCAAAGAGTGACAACAGCAGAGAGGATGCAGTTATGACCTAGGTGGTCCTTTGCCTGGCTTCCCAGGGGCTTTGGGCTGCCTGGTTGCTCCAAGTGCCTCTCTGTGAAATAAGCCAATTTCCTCCTGCTCTGTTGATTTCTCTTGTGATGCTGCAGAACTCCTGGCCGAGAGTGACTCAGCTGATTTGCCTTCTGCGTGCCTGGAGTGGTGTAGGAGGGGCAGACTGATAGGAGTGAAGCTGGAACAAAGGTTTGAGTCTTACGGTCATGAAGAGGCCTGGCCTCATGCCCATAAGACCATAGAGAGGGCTGGGAGGGTTAGGGCCTGGTCCTGTACTTACTCCAGGAACAGGACAGGGGCTGTGAGAACTCTACCAGCTCAGAAAGTGTTTAAGAGGTTACAGTGTTGTCACTGAAGCCCAGGCTTCAAGATTCTCCCAACAGGCAGCCAGAAATAGTGATAAGGAGACCAGAAGCAGGTGATACAAATCAAGAAGTATTTGGGCCCTCATAGCAAGATTGAGATGGAAGCAATCTTTCTAGAGAGCTGGGGAAGGAAGCAAATTACTCAGACAAGCAAATCAAAGTGAGATACAAAGCAGAAACCAGCTCTGTGAGTCTGGGCATAGGCTAGGTGGGAAGGAGAGACCTCAGACTCAGAGGCATCCTCATCCATTCATTATCCTGTGCTGGGCTCCGGAGATGAAGAGATGGTTGATTATGGCTCCTGCTCTGAAGGAAATCCCTGCTTGAGTTCAGTGGGGAATCCCCCAGACACATTAAACAGAAACTACCACAAAACATGGTCAAGGGGCCGGGCATGGTGGCTCATGCTTGTAATCCCAGTGCTTTGGGAGCCCGAGGCAGGAGGATCACTTATTTGTGCCCAGGAGTTTGAGACCAGCCTGGGAAACATGGGAGACTCCGTCTTTACAAAAAAAAAAAAAAAAAAAAAAGCCAGGTGTGGTAGTGTGCCTGTGTAGTACCAGCTACTCAGGAGGCTGAGGCAGGAGGACTGCTTGAGACTAGGAATTTGAGGCTTCAGTCAGCTATGATGGAGCCGACTCCAGCTAGGTGACAGGGCAATACCCTGTCTCTAAAAAACAAACATCAACAACAAAAACATGGTCAAGGCAGTGGCAGAGGTGAGCACAGAAGCTGTGGAGCACAGATGAAGAGGACTTAACTCTGCCTTTTTTCAAAGCAGGGCCTGGGGGTCCTTCACAGTGGAAAGGAGGGTCTGAGGGTTCTCCATAGCAGAGGTGAGATGGAACTTGAAGGAGGTAAAAGCATTTGCTAGGTGGGAAAGAGTAGTCCATACATAGGCATGGAGGCGTGTTAGAGCAAAGCCTATTTGGGGCACTGTAGGTAACTGGGTGGGACTAATACATTGAGTGCAAATGCTGCAGATGTTGACAGCAGGCAGAAGAAAAGACCTTATTCCTGGATATGGTTTTAGTGATCCCACCTAGCACTTAAACCAATCAAATTACAATTCCTCCTCTTAAGGAGGGGAGATGGTTTGCTGCTGTTTAGTTTGAGTTCCTTTTTTTTTTTTAAGTGTAAGAGGAAAATCTGGTCTGACCTCAGGCAGAGAGGGAAACTAAGCAAAAAATAAGAGGGAATTGCATTTCAGTGGGTACTCAGATGTCCAGGACTCAACCCCAAACACACAGGATGCTGGAACAAGGGCAGTATGACTAACTTTAACCTACCCATTGCTTCTGATGGAGCCCCTGCCCAGTTGGTATTGGTTCAGGTATGATCTGGGGCAACATCAACTGGGTCCCCAGATGTTGTAGTAGAGATTAGGTGATGGTCAAAAGAGCTGGGAGCCTTCTGGGAAGCCACTTGCATGACCAAGAGGAAAGAGCACATTTTTAGGTTCAGAGTTCAAATACAGCTTACTAGCTGTATGTCCTTAAGCAAGTTACTCAGTTTCTCTGAGCCACTGGGTCCTCAGCTATAAAGTAGGAATCACAGCACCTGCTCCCTAGGAATGTTTTAAGGACAAATGAGATAATCCATGTGAAAGAATCTGGTACATATTGGATGTTCATTTAAAGGGAATTATCTTCTGCTTCTCTCCCATGAACCTGCCTCAAGAAGCCCAGAGAAGGGGAGGAGGCTTTATTTAACATGCATAATGGGTTAATACCTGAATATATAAAGAGCTCTTTTAATCAATAAGAGGAAGAATAGCCCAATAGAGCAATAGGCAAAAGATAGATGTAATTAATAAAAATATATATTAATAGCTATTAATCATATTACAAATTTAATATCACATACATAAAAATACACAGCCATACACATATAAATTTCATTAACCAAATTGGTGAATTGTAACAATAATAAAATATAACTTCCATTTATCAGCTTGACAAAGTTTATCAAGCATTTCACTGTAAGTGCAGTGTGCTTCCTTGCACAACTGATAAATCATTTGTATTCTTTTTCTGTAAATTACTCATACCTACCTTTTGTTCATTTTTCTGACACAGTGTTAGTCTTTTTTTAATCGGTGCATAAAAAATTTTCACCAATTTTTAAAAAAAGCTCTTTATGTATTTGATTTTAACCTTTTGATTGACCTATGTGTTATAAATATTTTTCTAGTTTGTCATTTGTCTTTTGACTTTGTTTATGTTATTTTGGCTGTATAGAAGTTAAAATTTTTTTATGCAGTCAAAATCATCAATGAATGTTTTCCATTTTTGGCTTGGCAAAGAGGCTAAAGTTTCACAATATACAGTGTGGGAAAGGCTATCCCTAATATGAGATGTCTGGCTTGGGCTAGCTTAGACTGAACCCACTTTACATTTAGATCTCTTAAGTCTCACTTCTCTAGCTCTAAGTTTTATATTATGTAGTTTGTCTTTGAAGATTTGGCTTCCCAATAGGTATGAGCCCAGGGAGAAAATGATCACACTGACCTGAGTATTCTGGTCCTTTCAAAAGCTGTATTTCTCATTGGAAATTAATTGACTATGATCTGGTTAAAACATTGGCCTAATGAATTTGATTAGTATGAATCTGCCCTAGAGATAGATCTCTTCTCAGTACTGAAAAAAATCAGGTTTTTGAGCTATAAGTCTGATAGCCAGACTCTAGGCTGTAATTCACCCAGACCTTGCTGAGAAATGTTAGTCTTACCACCTTTTCTTAGAGATAATTCCCCCAACATTTCCATTACTGTGCAAATACCTTTCTCAATAATAAGCTGTGAAGGTAAATGTGCCAGAAACTCCATAACTAATAATAATTCAGAATCAACCCTACCCCCTAATTAAGTACTTGCTAGGTGCCCAACACTGTTCCTGGTGCATTTAATGAACTGTTCAACAGCCACACACTTCTGTAATGTATACGATCTTTTTATTTATTATTATTTTTTGAGATGAAGTCTTTCTGTACTGCCCAGGCTGGAGTGCAGTGGGGTAGTCTCAGCTCTCTGCAACCTCTGCCTCTCAGGTTCAAGTGATTCTCCTGCCTCAGCCTCCCAAGTAGCTAAGATTACAGGTGCACACCACCATGCCTAGCTAATTTTTGTATTTTTAGGGGAGACGGGGGTTTCTCCATGTTGGCCAGGCTGGTCTCAAACTCCTGACCTCAGGTGATCTGCCCGCCTCAGCCTCCCAAAGTGCTGGGATTACAGGCATAAGCCACCACGCCTGGCTGATGTATACAATCTTAGTTCCTAATTTACACATGAAGAAACAGGGGCCCAGAGAGATGGAGTAACTTTACCAAAATTATAAAGTCGAGAAACTGGTGCTGCCCGTATTTGAACCCTGGACTGTCTGCTTTCTTATGTGCTTGCATTTGTAATATTTGATTATGACCCTGTCTTGAAATCTCCATTTAGTTTAGGGAGCTTCAAACTATTATCCAATTATTCTAGTAACCATCCCAGTAATAAGTTGATAACCTCTTTCCCATTAACTTCTCCCTTTCTCTCTGAATTTTCAGATCTCCTGCACTAAATCATGCACGTGAGGACTCTGTGGATAACACACAGGGACCTCCTGCCAAATTCCTCTTCCCAGAAAATGTGAGCCTTCATTCTTCCACTAGCTTCATTGCGGCTGTGTTGAATTTAAACTATAAGGGTTTCCTGTGCATTGTCTTCTAGCCAGAAGGATTAGCTTTAGGCTGACACATTCCATATAAGGTCTTAAGCCTCAAGGAAAGTATCTTTCCTTTATGCTTCTCCAAAGTATCCATTTAGCTCTTTAATTTCTGAATGTGAATACAGAACTTTATTTACCAGTTTCAGATGCTTTGGTAATGCTCAAATAACTAAAATTGACCAGTCTATAATTGAATTGAGTTATTTGGAAGATATAAAAATACTGTGCAATTTCATTTCATGTGCTGCTATTTTTATGAGGGCTAGAAAACATTCTGTAGACAGAAAAGGGAAAAATAGAAAGAGAGATTGCTATTGTGCTGCAGGAAGAAGTAAGAGAGACAAACCTAGGAAGAAAGAAAGGAAATTAATAATTGATTATCACCTACTGTTGCCAGTCACTGTGCGAGATGCTTCATGTGTATCATCTTGTTTAATCCCCTCTAACCACCCAGGGACATAGATTTATTGCATCCATTTCATGAATTAGGAAATTGAGAGTCAGAAAGGTTAAGTAACTCGCTCAAGGGCACACAGCTAGTTCATGCAGAGTTGGGATTTGAGTGCAGTTCTCTTAGATCCCTAGTGTGCTGGGTACAGAAGGGAAGAACAGATCACAAAACTCAAACTGAAGTCTAGCAGATAACTGAAAAGATCAAAGTGAAACTAACTGGAGATGAGAAAAGAGAAGGATGATCAGAGTGACAGAAGAGGATGTGCTAGCCTTTGGTAAGAGGTAGGGTTTCCGAATCTACCAGCCTAGAGCAAGGCAGGGGCAGGTGGCTGGAGCTGGAACTGACGGAGTTCAGGATGGGAGATGGCTAGAACCTCGTCAAGTCAGAGAGGATGCTGGTTCAAGGACAGCCAAGTGAGGAGGATCTGAGTGAAAGCAAAGAGTTGGTTGACCTGGCCCAGAGACAGGGGCTCTGGTCTCTCTGGAGGCAGAGGGGACTCTAGGAAGAGGGAGTCCTGAACCTGCTGGTTGGCTTTTCCATTTAGGAGAAATACTCTCCCTGTCAAAGTCTTCCATCAGGAAAGCCAGACTTCATTGCCATAGTATTAATAATGCCCTAGCAACCCATCAGGATCTTTCCTGAGTGGGAATGCCACAGGAAGGTTTTCATTCATTCAAAAAAGTGCTGAGTGGGTACTTTTCCATGTGCCAGGTATGACCTAAGAGATGGGGAGAAAATGGTAGGCAAAAATATTTTGATCTCTGTCCTTATGCAGCTCATAGTCTAATAGAGGAGATGGTTACTAATCACATGAACATACAAATAAAGGCAAAACTACTAATTTAATAAGCGCTCCAAAGCAAAGGTACACAATACTATAAGAGTATATTTAGTAAGGCTCCTTTGAGAAAGCAATGCTTGTGCTGTGATGCAGGGAATTAGAAGTTAATTACTTAAAGGAAGAGTATTATATTCCAGATAGAGAAACCATCAAGTGCAAAGGTCCCTTGTTTTAACTGGTTCATCCTGGAGAATGGAGGCTTAGTCCACGTTCAGAGCTTTACACACAATTTACAGTTTATCTGGATGTCTCCTTTCCTAACTGGAAACTCCCCTAATCTCCAGCATATCCACATTTCATGTCAAAGATAGTGTTTGTCTCTAAGCATGAGATACTTTTCTTTTTCTTTATTTTATGTATGTATGTATGTACGTATGTGTGTATGTATTTATTTTGAGACAGAGTTTCTCTCTTGTTGTCCAGGCTGGAGAGCAATGGCGCAATCTTGGCTCACTGCAACCTCCGCCTCCCACGTTCAAGCAATTCTCCTGCCTCAGCTTCCCAAGTAGCTGATATTACGGGTGCCCGCCACCACACCCAGCTAATTTTTGTATTTTTAGTAGAGATGGGGTTTCACCATGTTGGCCAGGCTGGTCTCTGAACTCCTGACCTCAGGTGACCCGCCTGCCTTGGCTTCCCAAAGTGCTGGGATTACAGGCATGAGCCACCACGCCCAGCTTATTTTTTATTTTTGATTTTTTTATTTTTAGAGACAGAGTCTTGCCCTGTCTCCCAGGCTAAAGTGCAGTGGCACAATCATAGCTCACTACAGCCTCAAACTCTCAGGCTTAAGCAATTCTCCTCTTCAGCCTCCAAAGTAGCTGGAACTATAGGCACGCAGCACCCTGCCCAAGTAGTTTTTAAATTTTTTGTAGAGATTGGGTCTCACTGTGTTGCCCAGCCTAGTCTTGAACTCTTGGCCTCAAGCAATACTCTGCCTTGCCTCCCACGGTGTTGAGATTGCAGGTGTCAACCACTGCACCCGGCCATGAAAGGCTTTTTATGTATTTATGCATATATACACACGTAAATACCCATCTATCTAATCATATCTCTAACCAAGTATCTACTTATTTATGTATTCACTGATTACCCATTCATATATCTATTTAATCATTCATCATACCAATAATCAATCCATGTATTTGTCTACCAATCCACCAGACAACCATCCCTCCATGTATCTATACATCTAACACATTTTATCTCTCTGTGTGCGAATATATCCATTTATCCATCAATCCACCCACCTATTCTTTCATTTACCCATGAGTCTATCTATTCATTTCTCCATCCATGTATCCATGTATTCACTTATTCCTTCCTCTAGCCAACCAATCATTTATTCATGTATCTATTCCTCCATTCTCTCCATCACCCAACCATGTGTTTATCCATTTATCATTCATCCATTTAATCATCCAAGTATTCATCTATCTTCCATCCATTTATTTACCCATTAATGTATTCAATCATTTCTATTGCTGTGGTGACAAATTACCACAAACTTAGTGGCTTAAGACAATAAAGATTTATTATCTTTTACTTCTAGAGGTCAGAAGCCTAAAATGTGTCTGAAGGGGCCAAAACCAAAGTGTTGACAGAACTGTATTCCTTCTGGAGGCTGTAGGGGTGAATCTGTTTTCTTGACTTTTCCTGCTTGAGCTTGCCTGCATTCCTGGTCTCATCGCCTCTTCCTCCAACTTCAAAGCCAGCAGCATAGCATCTTCACATCTCTCTCTGACTCTGTCCCTTCTGCTCCACTTGTACTTATAAGGAGCCTTGGGATTACACTGGGCCCACACAGATAATCCAGGGTAATCTCACCCATCTCAAGATAAAATGATTAGCAACCTTAATTCTTTTTTGCCATGCAATCTAGCATATTAAAAGTTTCAGTAATTAAGATATGAACATCTTTGGGGGTCCATTATTCTGCCTACCATAACGTCCATCTATTTACGCATTCATCTTTCCATTCATTCATTAATACATCTTTGTGTTCATCCACCAATCCATCACTTTGGTCATCCATTCACTCACAATGTATGTATGTATGTACTTATTTATCTGTCTGTCTATCTATCTTTCTATCCGTACGTATATCCAATCCAGTTGTCCATTTATTTGTTCATTCATCTAACTAATCATTCACTTGCCCACCATTCATTTATCAGTAACATCAGCCATCCATCCTAATTTCATTAAATCCATTTATCCATTCATTCATTCACCAACCATCCATGCATCAATTTATCCATTTATTCAACCCTCCATCTAATCATTCATGAGCTACCCTTATCTGCCTTGCCTCTGACCCTTCAATTATAATAAACAGTACCCTTCTAAGACCACAAAGACACACTTTCTCTGTCTCTCTCTCTCTCCCTGTTCTTTCTCCCTCTCTCCATCTCTCTGTCCCTGTTTCTGCTCTGTCTCCCTCTCTCTCTCTCTCTCTCTCTCTCTCCCTCCACAATTTGGACCAACTTACCAAAACAGATCATTCTGCCTGGATCTTTGTCATTTCTTCTCAATCATCTTTTTATTTGATTGTAGCTCCTAACCCTGACTCGGTTTTGCCTGAGGTACTTTGTACTGGTGTATGCCAATGGATCTTTCCAGAATCTTACTTAGCTTACAGAGCCATGCCAGTACTGACTTTGTCTGTATTGACCCAGATATGCCTTTCTCCTGGTTATGCCCAGAAGGAGTGAGGGCAATAGGTAACCCTGCAATATGTGAGTGTGTAGGGAGGTACTGGGTTAAAACTGTGTGTCCCAGTATCTTTTCTGCCACACGCCCTCCCTCTCTGTGAAGAGGTTTAGATGCAACCCATACTCCTCACAATCTATGCTGGGTATTTTTTCCAAGGAAGTAAGACAAATAGTTCTGTAAAATATTTGTGGTGTGATGGTCATAAAAGCATTTTGCAACTACTTGAATAATAAAAAAATTTAAAGAGCTCAAAAACTGCCATTATATAAGAAAAAAGCTAAACAAATATGGCCAGTTTTATTTTTAACAACAAGTTTTGTTTTTTTCCCCAGGCTTTCCCCTCACAGGTACTAGTAATAAGGTGAGAAGGCATATACTACTGAAGCAAAAGGATAAGCAGTGGCAGTAACCATAAATATCACCACTCACAAACACTACCATAATTTATAGTTGTCAAAACTGTTAATGGTCTCTCATCACAGGCTGAGATGTAGATAAGTTAGACTGAGGATGGTGTGAAATTCCCAGTGCTCAGCTAAAATGCCTCCCTCTGCCCTGCTGCTCAGGAGAGCATGTCAGAATGCAAATGAATAGGAATGACATTATTATAAGAATAACTGTTCCTATTTATTTATTTATTTATTTGAGACGGAGTTTTGCTCTTGTTGCCCAGGCTGCAGTGCAATGGTGCGATCTCAGCTCACCGCAACCTCCGCCTCCGGGGTTCAAGCGATTCTCCTGCCTCAGCCTCTCAAGTAGCCAGGATTACAGGCATGCACCACCATGCCCAGCTAATTTTGTATTTTTAGGACAGACAGGGTTTCTCCATGTTGGTCAGGCTGGTCTTGAACTCCCAACCTCAGGTGATCTGTCCGCCTCGGCCTCCCAAAGTGCTGGGATTACAGGGGTGAGCCACTGCGCCCAGCCTCCTATTTATTTTTTTTTAAAGAAGGCAAATCATTCAGACTGTGGTGACTTATATACAATTAGTAACAAATTACTGGCCATAGACCTCATGAGTGATCATGTCAAGACGTGACCACTGAGAAGCATGGTTAAATGACTGCTAGATTTCTGAACATGTTTAAGGTCAAGAATCCATCAAGCTCATAAGTTGAAACTGGAGTGAAGTTGTTTGGGTGAGTTAGAGTGGCCCAGCTCCTCTCCTGGAGGTACCATTCATTTGTTGGGTATGCAGAAGTGCTGAGACTCCTTCATGGAGCTCAACACTGGCCCATGAGGGCATAGTTTATACTACTTCAAAACCTTTCAAGAAAAATGTAATGGAAAATGTGATGTTATCAGAACCTTGGCCAAAATAATATTTCAGAAATGAATGAGGAAGGACAATTCCTTGTGACTGATCAGCAGTCTGGTCTGGGAAGATATCACTCCTCAACAGTTGGATGATTCTAGAGCCCTGAGTCAAAAGATTTTGAAGGAACTAACATTTCAACAATGTAAGATCACTGGTTTATAAACATAAGCTCTGGCCAGCACTAGGACATCAGTGAATTATACATAAAAGGTTTATACTTTGAGCCTGGGAAACATAGTGAGACCCTATCTCTACAAAAATAAAAATAAAAAATAAAAAATTAGACAACACAGTGATGCATACCTGTAGTCCCAGCTACTTGTAGGATCGCTTGAGCCCAGAAGTTTAAGGCTGCAGTGAGCTATGATCATGTTGCTGTACTTCAGCCTGGGTGACAGGAAGACCCTGTGTATAAAAATAAAAAATAATAATTTAAAAAAGGCACCTCTGAGAAACTGCCTACACAGGGCTCATACCAGTTTTACAGATGAAATGACTATAGCAAAAAGTCAATGTCCCAAGATACCAATTAGGTTTCATACTGTGAGCCATTCCTAGTTGACTAATAATGTTTGCCTGGCCAGGCGCGGTGGCTCACACCTGTAATCCCAGCACTTTGGGAGGCCAAGGCAAGCAGATCACTTGAAGTCAGGAGTTTGAGACCAGCCTGGCCAATATAGTGAAACCCCCGGCTCTACTAAAAATACAAAAATTAGCCAGGCATGGTGGCAGGTGCCTATAGTCCCAGCTACTCAGAAGGCTGAGGCAGGAGAATCACGTGAAGCAGGGAGGTGGAGGTTGCAGTGAGCTGAAATTGTGCCACTGCATTCCAGCCTGGGTGACAGAGCAAGACTCCATCTCAAAACAATATATAATAATAATAATAATAATAATAATAATAATGTCTGCCTGGAGCTCTGAGTTGATAGGAATTCTGGGGGTTAAGTACAGGATTAGCAAGAAAGAAGGTGGTAAATTAGCCAGAATTTCTCCATGGATATGGAGGGAGAAGTAGAAACAGGTGTGACACCATTTCCCATCATTTTTCCAGTGTTTTCCATCATTCAACCAACATTTGCTGAGCTCTGCAAGGTACCTGTCAGGTGTTGAGAATACTGGAGAAGAACAAAACAGATAGTTTTAAAAATCTATCTAAATAACTGGAGCCCAAAATCCAGTTATTTTTATCATCCCACTCTGTTCCTGATAAAAGATCTTGCTATGTCTTCATCAAAAATTCATTTCCTCTTCTTCCTGGGTACATACAAACTACATTATTCAGCTTCTCTTGTGGTTTGGTGTGGCCATGTAACTGAGTTCTAGCCAATGACACATAAGCAGAAGTGATATGTGTGATTTCTAGGCTTTTTAAAAGGGGGTGTGTCCTAACCACAATCTCTTCTTGCTAGTTGGATGCAGAAGATGACAAAACCCTAGGGGATGATGTAGTTATGGCGTAGAAGGAATCCCCCTGAATCACTAGGTAGAGGATTGTGACTTGTCAACCAGAAATACTTTCCTTTAGACTGGGCATGGTGGCTCACCCCTGTAATCCCCGCACTTCAGGAGGCCAAGGCGGGCAGATCATCTGAGGTCAGGAGTTTGAGACCAGCCTGGCCAACACGGCGAAACCCCATCTCTACTAAAAGTACGAAAATTAGCTGGGCGTGGTGGCATGTGCCTGTAATCGCAGCTACTCAGGAGGCTGAGGCAGGAGAATCGCTTGAGCCGGGGAGGCAGAGGTTGCAGTGAGCCAAGATCGCGCCACTGCACTCCAGCCTGGGTGACAGAGTGAGATTCTGTCTCAAAAAAAAAAAAGAAAGAAAGAAAGGAAGGAAGGGAGGGAGAGAAAGAGAGAAAGAAAGAAAGAAAGAAAGAAAAGAAAAGAAAGAAAGAAAGAAAGAAAGAAAAGAAAGAAAGAAAGAAAGAAAGAAAGAAAGAAAGAAAGAAAGAAAGAAAGAAAGAAAGAAAGAAAGGAAAATACTTTCCTTGAAGTACTATATAAGCAAGCAATAAACTTCTTTTTGTTGGAGCCATTATTCTTTTGTGTGTATATTTATTATAGCAGCTAGTGAATATTATACTACCTAATTTGCTCTAAAGTGACCTGGCCTCTTTCAGCCTCCTCTCAACATGCTTTCATCCACTACAGTTGGCACTTAATCCATATTTTCAAGTTAAGTTAGGTGGATACCCTTCATCCTAGCCCAGGAATCTGTGTTTGACAGGGGGCATCAAAGGCATGTTGAAGATCCCTGCTTTATTCCATTCCTATGAAGGAATGACAGTCATGTTTCTTTTTGGCTAGAATATCTTTCATTGTTGCTGTTGGACTCCAAAATTGGCGCTGTAATGACTCCCCAGAGTTGTCATGGGCTCTGAGTCACACAGCCCAGATTTAGCCACAGCTGGGTCCCCTACGTCGGTGGAGCTCAGACTTCAGCATGCATTTAAGCACAGGCTTCTAGCCCCACCCCCAAACTTTCTGATCCAGTTGGTTTGGGTTGAGTCCAAGAATTTGGATTTTTACCAAGTTCCTAGATGCTGCTGCTGGTCCAGGAACCACACTTGGAGAACCATTAAGCCAGTAAAGCTAAGCTGTTGCTGTTCATCCTTTTTTTTTTTTTTTTTTTTTTGACACGGAGTCTCACTCTGTCACCCAGGTTGAAGTGCATTGACGCGATCTTGGCTCACCGCAACCTCCACCTCCCAGGTTCAAACGATTCTCCTGCCTCAGCCTCCTGAGTAGCTGGGATTACAGGCACCTGCCACCATGCCTGGCTAATTTTTTTGTATTTTTAGTAGAGATGGGGTTTCACCATGTTGGCCAGGCTGGTCTCGAACTCCTGACCTCAGGTGATCCACCCACCTCCACCTCCCAAAATGCTGGGATTACAGGTGTGAGCCATCGTGCCTGCCCGGTCCTGTTCTTTTTTTTTTTTTTTTTTTTTGAGACGGATTTTCACTCTTGTCGCCCAGGCTGGGGTGCACTGGCACAATCTCGGCTCACTGCAACCTCTGCCTCCCGGGTTCAAGCAATTCTCCTGCCTCAGCCTCCTGAGTAGCTGGAATTACAGGCGCCCGCCACCACATCAGGCTAAATTTTGTATTTTTAGTAGAGACGGGGTTTTGGCATGTTGGCCGGGCTGGTCTCAAACTCCTGACCCCAGGTGATCCGCCCACCTCGGCCTCCCAAAGTGCTGGGATTATAGGCGTGAGCCACCACGCCTGGCGTCATCTTTTAAAATTACTATAAGACATCTGAATTAGGGTTCTCCAGAGAATAGAACCAAAAGGACACACACAAGCATGCACACATGCACACACACACACATACACACACAAGAAGATTTATTATGGGAATTGGCTCACATGATTATGGAGGCTGAATATTTCCACTATCTGCCATCTGCAAGCTGTAGAACCAGGAAATCCAGAGGTTTGATTCAGTATGAGTCCAAAGGCCTGAGAACCAGGAGATCTTATGATATAATTCCTAGTTCAAGCTTGAAGGCCTGAGAACAGAGAGTAGAGGTGAGGGGAGTGCAGGTGTAGTTTTCAGAATCCAAAGCCTGAGAACCAGGAACTCCAATGTCCCAGTTCAAGGAGAGGGGGAATTTACTCTTCTTCCATATTTTTATTCTCTTTGGGCCCTCAACAGACGATGCCCACTAACATTGGTGAGGGCAATCTTCTTTATTAAGTCTACTGATTCAGATGCTAATTTATCCTGGGAACATCCTCAGAGACACACCCAGAAATGTTTCTCCAGCTATCTGTGCGTCCCTTAGCCCAGTCAAGTTGACATATAACATTAACCATCACAGCATCTGTGTTCTGTAAATGTTTTTGTTTGTATGCTTTGTTGGTGCTTTCTTTTCACTTTTCCTTCTGTCAAATCCTAGCCTTGTTTTTGCTTGTGATACCTAGAGCGGGAGCCTAGGAAAGCTAGGACACTGGACTGAACTGCTATTTGTGTGGCAGCTACTGCTGCACTTTGGCACCTGGGCTTGTGGCTGACAGACAGAGATGGTGATAGCTCTAGACTCTGCAGCCTTCCTTCCAGTGATGTGCCTCAGTTTTACTATTTGTAAAATGAGGGTAATAACTTTTTCTTTGTAAGAATTAAATATTTTATACATGTAAAGCATTTAAAACAGTGCTTGGAACAAAGCCAGAGGCATCACATTACCCAATATTAAGCTATACCATAAGGCTACAGTAACCAAAACAACATGGTACTGGTACAAAAACAGACACACAGCCCAACAGAACAGAATAGAGAACCCAGAATTAAAGCCACACAGCTACAGCCATCTGATCTTTGACAAAGCTGACAAACATAAGCAATGAGGAAAAGACTTCCTATTCAATAAATGGTGCTGGGATAGCTGGCTAGCCATGAGCAGAAGAATGAAACTGGACCCATACTTTTTAACCATATACAAAAATTAACTCAAGATAGATTAAATATTTAAATGTAAAACCTCAAACTATAAGTAAATCCTAGAAGAATACCTAGGACATACCATTCTGGACATTGGCCTTGGAAAATAATTTATGATTAGGTCCTCAAAAGCAATCACAACAAAAACAAAAATTGACAAGTGGGACCTAATTAAACTAAACAGCTTTCACACAGCAAAACAAACTTTCAACAAAGTAAACAGACAACCTACAGAATGGGAGAAAATATTTGCAAACTATGCATCTAAAACAGGTCTAATATCCAGAATCTGTAAGGAACTTAGACAAATCAAGAAAGCAAAAACAAACAACCCCATTAAAAAGTAGGCAAAGGGCCAGGCACAGTGGCTCAGGCCTATAATCCCAGCACTTTGGGAGACCAAGGCAGGCAGATCACTTAAGCCCAGAAGTTTGAGACCAGCCTAGGCAACATTGTGAAACCCCATCTCTACAAAAAACTACAATGTGGTGGCATATGCCTGTAGTCCTACCTACTCGGGAGGCTAATGTAAGATTGCTTGAGCCCAGGAGGTTGAGGCTGCAGTGAGCCATGATCGCACCACTGCACTCCAGCCTAGGCAAAAGAATGAAATCCTGCCTCCAAAAAATAAAGAAAGTAGGCAAAGAACATGAACAAAGATTTCTCAAAAGAAGAAATATGAGTGGCCAACAAACATATATTAAAAAAAAACCTCGACATCACTAATCATCAAGACACAAATCAAAACCACAATGAAATACCATCTTACACCACTTAGAATGGCTATTATTAGAAAGTCAGAAAATAATAGATGCTGGCGAGGCTTCAGAGAAAAGGGAATACCTATACACTGTTGGTGGGAATGTAAATTAGTCTAGCCACTGTGGAAAGCAGTTTAGAGATTTCTCAAATAACTCAAAACTACCATTCAATCCAGCAATTCTACTACTGGGTGTATACCCCCCAAAAAATAAGTCATCCTACCAAAAAGACATGTGCACTCATACATTCGTCACTGCACTATTCACAAGAGCAAAGACATAGAATAACCTAGATGGCCATCCATGGTGGATTGGATAATGAAATGTGGTACATATACACCATAGAATACTATCTAGCCATAACAAAGAATAAAATCATGTCCTTTGCAGCAACATGGATGTAATTGGAGGTCATTATCCTAAGCTAACTAATGTAGGAACAGAAAACCAAATACCAAATGTTCTCACTTATAAGTGGGAGCTAAGCATTGGGTACAAATGGACATAAAGATGGGAACAATAGACACTGGGGACTACTAGTGGTGGGAGGGAGGAAGGAGGGAAGGACTGAAAAAACTCCTATTGTGTGCTATACTTACCACCTGGGTGACGGGATCATTCACACCCCAAACCTCAGCATCACACAATATTCACATGTAACAAACCTGCACATGTACCCACTGAATCTAAAATAAAAATTGAAATTATTTTTAAAAATTTTAAAAGCAGTGCTTAGTTCATATTAATTATGCAATAAAATTAGCTATTATGAACTGTCAATGTAACAGTGCATGTTTTAGTAACATGGGGGCATCATTCTCTTCAACTTTATTCCCTTCTGGCATATATTCCAAAAAGAAGCAAAAGAAGTGGTAGGAGCTGGACTTCCTGGCATCCAGAGATTTAACTACAATCATGAAAGCATAAGAATCATTCACAATAAATGGAATTGGATGGAGAAAAACAACTTACTGCCATCAGTTTCGTTCAAATTGCTGATGGTTGATCTGGAGTTTTCTGTTACGAACAGGCTTTGATACAAGTAGGCAATGCAAGTGATACGGTTTGGCTCTGTGTCCTCAACCAAATCTCATGTTGAATTGTAATTCCCAATGTTAGGGGAAGGACCTGGTGGGAGGTGATTGACTCATGGGGGCAGATTTCCTCCTTTTTGTTCTCATGATAGTGAATGAGTTCCCATGAGATCTGGTTGTTTAAAAGTGTGTAGCACTTCCCCTTTCTCTTTCTCTCTCTTTCTCTCTCTCTCTCCTGCCGCCACGTGAATATGTGCTTGTTTCTCCTTTGCCCGTCCACCATGATTGTAAGTTTCCTGAGGCCTCCCCAATCATGCTTCCTGTCCAGCCTGCAGTAATGTGAGTCAATTAAACCTCTTTTCTTGCTAAATTACCCAGTCTCAGGTAGTTCTTTATAGCAGTGTGAGAACAGACTAATACAGCATGTTTGCTGAATGGGACTGAAATGAGTCATAGAATAACCTAAAATATCTGGATGTAGATCATATGTTAAGAAAACACTTAAAATGTGGGGCAAATTTATACAAAGCACATTTTAAATATACAGTAACTTAATGATGGCTGTCAGTTGTATCACCCAAGGAAATACTGTTATCTATTGCTGCATTACAAATTATCTCCAAAGCTTGGTGGCTTAAAAACAACAATAAACATTTATTATCTCACATAGTTTTCATAGGTCAGAAATTTGAGAGTGACTTAGGTTTTCATGAGGTTGCAGTCAAAATGTTGGCTGGGGATGGATGCAGTCTCATCTGAAGGCTTGACTAGGCATGGAGGATCTACTTCCAAGATGGCCCATTCACATGGTTCCTGACAAGAGGCCTTGAGTTCTTGCCACAAAGACTTTTTCCATAAGGCTGACTGAATGTCCTCATGTCATGACAATGGACTCTTCCCATTGCAAATTACCCAAAACAGCAAGACAGATGCTGCAATGCCATTTATGACTAGCATTGGAAGTTACACTCTGTCACTTCTGCAATATCCTACTGGTTACATACATAAATCAGGTCTATTCAGTACAGGAGAGGGCAGTATAAGGGTTTGAATCACAGCAAGTGAGTATCACTGGGGGCCAACTGGAAGGACAGTTACCATGCTTCACCTCAGCAAAAACATGGAAACTAATTAATTTTTTAAAACTATAGTTTTTTGTTTCTAGTATGTAAAACTGTGTTGCTTATTTTTATTACCAGTTTTCAGACGGTAGCCTCACCAAATTGGTCAGTAATGTTGATGGTAGAATTGCACACATAAAGAAAAGGATTCTACAGCAACTTGAGGCTTAGTAAAAAGCTTAAGAACTTTTTTGTTGCTGTGGTTTTTTTTGTTTTTTTTTTTTTTTGTTTGTTTGTTTGTTTGTTTTTGGAGACAGAGCGTTGCTCTATTGCCCAGGTTGGAGTGCAATGGTGCTATCTCAGCTCACTGCAACCTCCGCCTCCCAGGTTTAGGTGATTCTCCTGCCTCAGCCTCCCAAGCAGCTGGGGTTACAGGCGCACACCACCATGCCCAGCTAATTTTTGTATTTTTAGTAGAGACAGGGTTTCACCATGTTGGCCAGGCTGGTCTCGAACTCCTGACCTCAAGTGATCCACCCGCCTTGGCCTCCCAAAGTGCTGGGATTACAGGCATGAGCCACAGCGCCCGGCCTTAAGCAAGTTTTTATGGCTGAAACTGTCTAATGGTCATTGCAGGAAAGTACACTGCTGAGCAAGAATGAAGGATTTACGAAGCTGTTTCAGGGTAGCGTGACCAGCGTTTTTGAAAAATCCTGCCCAAGAACATTTGAGGTGTGATTTTCCATAAATCATAGTAACTGAAAGGGACCACAGTCATTTTTATATATAACCTTGGATTTAAAAAATCAAAATAGCGGTAGTGCTATACATGGGTGAGAGTGAGAGCTCTGTGGCACTGTAAGAGTTAAATCAGTGAGATTAATACATGAGGGGTAGAGGCCATATATCAGTAGAAGGCACTCCAAAAGACAGAAGGTTCCCCAAGCCAAACACAAGAACAGAGATTGACTTCAGTTAAATCAATGGAATTAATATGTTTCAAAACCTGCAGGTCGACAAAGGGGGAAAGTCTATACAGAACACGGGGAAATGGGAGGCAGAGGAAAGGCTGCGATAATTATATATTAATAACCAATTTGTTGAGCAGTTGCCATGTGCAAAGCACTTTGCATGAATCATTTAATCCACACAACAACCCTATTATTGGAATCATGAAACTGTAAGTTAAGTGACTTTCTTTTTTTTTCTTTTTTTTGAGATGGAGTCTCACTCTGTCACCCAGGTTGGCATGCAGTGGCACAATCTTGGCTCACTGCAACCTCCATCTCGCAGGTTCAAGCAATTCTCCTGCCTCAGCCTCCTGAGTAGCTGGGATTACAGTGGTGTGTGCCACCAAGCCCAGCTAATTTTTCCATTTTTAGTAGAGACAGGGTTTCACCATGTTGGCCAGGCTGGTCTCAAACTCCTGACCTCGGGTGTTCCACCCACCTCAGCCTCCTAAAGTGCTGTGATTACAGGCATGAGCCACCATGCCTGGCCTGTTAAGTGACTTTCTTAAGGACACTAGTGGTAGAGCTGAGATTTGAACCACATCTGTAGGGCTTCAAAGCCTGTGGGCTTAACTAGTCTTATCCAGCTTTGTGCTGGAGAATGGAGCTTCTGGCAGGAGGATGCCTTGTGGCAGATTCACCCCTACAGTAGAGATACAGGGATTGGACCAGTGTAGTTCCAGAATACTGGCTATTAGCATCATCCCCTCAGTTCCAGGTTCCAGAAATCACCTTCTGATCATGTCTCCTCTTCCCACAGAGAGAGAACAAGGTCAGGGTCTGACAAGACAGGCTGGGCTGCTTGGCAGGTACAATTCTCAAGGGAACTAAAAAGGATATTTTTAAGATGTTTAATCATGAAATATTTCAAACATACAGAAAATAATATAAGAGATGGGCCGGGAGCAGTGACTCATGCCTGTAATCCCAGTGTGTGGGGAGGCCAAGGCAGAAGGATTGCTTGAGTCTAGGAGTTTGAGACCGGCCTGGGCAACACAGCAAGATCCTGTCTCTGAAGAAAAAAAAAAAGAGAGAGAGAGAGATGACTGAAAAGGTACCTTTACTGACAGTGCGTTGTGCTTGCTTCACAGTTTTCAAAAACTCTGAGAGATTAAAACACAGAGACTTTATCTAAGCACAAATAGGCCCAAGACCAGTGTGTCTATAAACTGGCTCAGACATGTTTGCAAGGGCAGCATTATTGGAAATAAGTATATGGCTTCTTAAGATATTACTTTGAAAGACAGAAATCAGAGTGACTACATTCTCACACACTTCAGAACTCAGCTCAAGGGCAGCTTTCCTGACCTCCTTGACAAAGGCAGATCCTTCTAGCATAATCTCTCACAGCATCTTATACCCCTCCTTTATAGCACACACTTACCACTGCTGTGATGTTACGTTTGTTCGCATGACTACTGGACTAATGCCTTTCTCTTCTATAGACTGCAAGCTCCATGAGGGCTGAGTTTGTGTCAAATTTTATTCACTACTGTATCCTTGGCATCTAGCACAATACTTGTCAGTAATAGGCACTCAATAAATGTCTTTTCAGTGAACGAATTCAGTTTTAAACACCAGTCTCCTTAGGCATCTACCCAAGAGAAATGACAACATATGTCCACACAAGGACTTCTACTTGAAGGTTTATAGCAGCATTATTCATAATAGTCCCAATGTGGAAACAATCCGAATGTCCATCATTTAGTAAGTGATAAATAAAAGGTGGCATATGCAGACAATGGAGTGGCATATGCAGACAATGGAATGCCATTCAAGCAATTTTAAAAAGTACAAACTGACAAAACACTCTACAACACAATGAACCACACAATTATTACATTAAATAAGCCAGACACAGAAGACTACATATTGTACTATTCTGTTTATACGAAATTTCTCAAAAAGGCAGAACTCCAAAGAAGAAAGCAGATCAATGGTTTCCCAGGCCTGGGGGTGGGAGTGGAGATTGACAGCAAGAGGGAACAAGGAACTTCTGAGGGTGACAGAAATATTCTAAAACTGGATTGTGGTGATGGTTGCACAACTGTATAAATTTACTAAACATCGTCAAACTGTATACTTGCAGTAAGCAAATTGTATGGTATGTGAATTATACCACAATAAAGCTGCTAAAAATGTTTAAAAAATCAATCTCCTTACTTAGTCATTTTATCCCAATTTAGGTTCTGTGGAACATTATTTCTGTGGGGCATTATGCCAGAAACTGCTAGTTGAGTCTCTCAACTCTTTAGTGACAGACCCAATTTTTAACTTGGCACATAGAAAAGCAAAATAAAAGACCAGATTTCCTAGCCTCCTTTGCAGCTTGGCATGGTCATGTGACCAAGTTCTGGACAATGAGACAAAAGTAAAATGTGTAGTATTTCCAGGAAGGTTGTTTAAGGGACTCAACTCCACTTTTTCCACTTTGCCTTTCCTTTTTCCTTCCAAGGACATGTAGACTGGTGCTCCAGCAGCCATCTTGGACCATGAAGTGACCTTGGGAATGAAAGCTAAGGATAATGGAGCAAAAACATTGAAGCCTGGATTCCTGAAGGTACCGGACAGCTGCCATGCCACCCCTGGACGGCCTGCTTCCCAAATTTCTTTTATTTAAGACAGAAATAAACTTTAATCTTATTATATCATTTTCTCATATTTATGCAGCCAAATTGAGTCCTAAGTGATACCAGTTTTTTTGTTGTTTTTTGTTTTTTGTTTTGTTTGTTTGTTTTTTTGAGATGGAGTCTCACTCTGTCGCCCAGACTGGAGTGCAGTGGTGCAATCTCGGCTCACTGCAAGCTCCCTTTCCCAGGTTCACGCCATTCTCCTGCCTCAACCTCCCAAGTAGCTGGGACTACAGGCGCCCACCACCATGCCCGGCTAATTTTTTGTATTTTTAGTAGAGACAGGGTTTCACCATGTTAGCCAGGATGGTCTCGATCTCCTTACCTCATGATCCACCCACCTCGGCCTCCCAAAGTGCTGGGATTACAGGCATGAGCCACCGCGCCTGGCCGTGATACCAGTTTTAATAGGTGTTCAATGAAAAAAGGGTTCTGTGGTCAAATAATTTTGAGAACTATTACATTAAACTTTAACAGATTTCATTAATGTAGGACCTCTCAGGGTTTTTAATATGTGAACAGAAATCTCCAAGAACCTCCAGGAGGGGCTACAGTATACTCAACTTCCCAAACTAACTTGTCCCCAAAACCTCTTTTTAGTGGAACATCTTATGGGACAAATAACTTGGGAAGAATGAAATGCTGCTTTAAAAATTTTTTGTATTTCTGACTCTCCCTTTCTAATCCATCCTTTTCCAGGTAGCTAGAGAGATATTTGTTAAAGATAAACTTGATGACATCACATTCTTGTTTTAAATCCTTGAATGATTCCTGTAGGATAAATTTCAAACTCCTTCATGTAACATACAAGACTTTTTGTGATCTGACCCTTGCCTTCTCTCTAGCCTCACCCTAACCATATCCATGACCCTTCTGCTGGGCTGAGAACAGACTCTATTTTCCCTAGTTTCTCTACCTCTACACATGCTACACCTCCTTCATGGAACACTTTCCACTTGCCACCTTGCTTGGCATTCTACCTCTGATCTTTAAGACCAGGCTCAAGTATCAGCTCATTCACTCTTGTCCATATTTCAAGAAATGCCTACTATGTGCCACGCATTGCAATTGTGCTTGAGTTACAAGCACAGTCCCTGCCCTGGAGTGACACGGAATCACATGAAGTTAGACAAGTACTGTATCAGACAGGTAACAGACAACCTTCACATTTCAGTGACTTGACACTGTGACATTTTATCTCTTGCTTACAACACAATCCAGTGCAAGTGAGCACAGACGTTCTAGTCCATGCAGTGAGCCACCACTGCCATTTTCTGGGGCCTCTGAGTCCTCCACTCAATATTTTTGCATCTGGCCAGGAATGAGGAAAGGAGAAGTTTGAAAGATCTCACGGGAGTTTTTGGGGGATGTCCAGAAATGGGATATATTTACCACTTCTGTCCAGATTCCATTACCCAGAGCTCAGTCACATGGGCCTACCTGATTACTGAGAAATGTAATTTTTTTATGAGCCTAGGAGGAAAATGAAATGGGCTGGTGAAAAGAGTTGTTTTTCCTGTCACAGATATATTAACAAGAACAATAAAGAAGCTCATGGTCTAATAGAGGAAACAGACAAGTGAACACAGGCATGAAAGCAAGAGAGAACAGATTCGGGTGGGATGCAACTCTTCTTTTGTGGAGTTACTATAAGAAAGTTCCAGAACTGCTGGAAGCCCTTCTGTGGCTCCCTTCAGAGCTCTCAAGGATTGCTTTTCTGGGGCCCTTTGGAAATGGGGCACACTATATGGTACAAAAATTTTTGCATCACTGGCATCACCCTTGTAGCATCAATCATCTTTCATTCCAGCAGCTGCTGTGGCATCAAGCTCTGCGTGGGCACCATCTGACTTCACACAGCTGCACCCTGACAGCACTTTGCCTTGTGGCCCTGCCATGTGCCTCTTGCTAGGTTCCCTGTTGACACTGAGTTTTGGGACACTGCAGAAGCCCACTTGGCACCTATGCATGAACAACTGGTATGAGTCTTTATCCAATGAGATGAGCTGATGGATAAATTTCCTTCCCTTCCCCCTCCCATAGGCTATTCTGAGACTCATTTTATATTTCTCAGAGGATAATCCCTTGAGCAGAAGCAATCAGCCATACTTAGTGGAGGCCAGATTAATAACCATCCTGGTACTGGCTCTTCCTTCGCCTCCACTTTACTCCTTTTGCTTTACTCCTGCCCTGTAGAATCAGGCTCTGTTTCTGGAGACGCAGGCGAAGACACTGCCATGAATGGGTATAGCTAAAAGCAACTTAGCTGTCTCTGTTTCCCTTTCCCCTTCAGTTCCTCCCCACTGGTTCCTGGTGAAGTACCTTGGGTCAGACTCCACTAACTCCTCTCAGTTCTGCAGACCTGATTCTCACTGGATAAGGTCAAGCCTGCCACTTCTCCTAAATGTAGTCCCCAGACCATTCCTTTGCTTGTACCTGTCCCACTTATTTGTGAATCAGTCATATACTTCTATTGATTTCTTTTTTGGTGACTTAATATTGTGTCTCTGTGTATATCTAACTTCTTATGTGCTACTGACTTTTCTCAATGTTTAAGAACAGCAATTACTGACAAGTCCACCTTCCATCTTCCTCTTGCTCTCACACCTCCCCAGGCTGCCTCTTGCATTGGTATATACATACTGCTCTCTCTGTCTAGAGTCCCACCTCATTTATGTTATTTCAATTTTTGTAGGCAAGAGACTTTATTATGCAAAGGGAGGGCCATGTGACTCCCACATAGGACCCACCAAAACTGTCTGATAAAACTCTGCTCCCTGGCCAGGCGTGGTGGCTCATGCCTGTAATCCCAGCACTTTGGGAGGCCGAGGCGGGCGGATCACGAGGTCAGGAGATCGAGACCATCCTGGCTAACATGGTGAAACCCCGTCTCTATTAAAAATAAAACAAAATTAGCCAGGCGTGGTGGCGGGCGCCTGTAGTCCCAGCTACTTGGGAGGCTGAGGTGGGAGAATGGCATGAACCGAGAAGGCAGAGCTTGCAGTGAGCCGAGATCGCACCACTGCACTCCAGCCTGGGCGACAGAGCGAGACTCCGTCTCAAAAACAAAACAAAAAAAACAACAACTCTGCTCCCAAACTCTTTCAAGACATGAGAGCCAAGACTCCCATGGGCACTGTTGAGAGCTTTGGAACCTGTGATTCTGGTGTTTGAGCTGGAGAGGTTGTGGCTACCAGCTGCCTGGTCCTACCTCAGCTTCAGCTTCAGCTCCTGAAGCAGCTGGTTCAGAAGGTCAAGCATGCTGTCCCCAAGAGGCAGCAGCAGGCGAGTAGCCCTCAGTATACTCACTCACCAGCAGCTTGGCAAAATTGGAGATCCTCAGGATCTATGCGTAACTCTCTATCTCACCCTCAACTGGATTGTAAGCTCCTTGAGGGCAAAGATATTATTTGTCTTGTTTAATGCTGCATTCCTTGTGTCTAGAACAATACCTGGAACATAGTTGGTGCCTAATAAATATCTGTTTAAGGGAGGAAGAAAGACAAGAAAGAAAGACCATAAGACATCTTGGCCAGCCTTGAGTCAAATGACAGAAATGCACACAGATGAGAGAGATAGGCAGCAGGGGGCTGCTGCCTCTGTTTTCAAGCTGGAGAAATCTCTTGTGTCTGCCAAGAAGTGAAGAGTGTTACTCAGAAGAGAGTTAGGGCCACAGGCTGAAAGCCATCAGAAAACTGGGATTTCAAAGAAGCTAAAAATATTCTCTCTCTGGAGTTAGTAAGCCTCTGCTAAATCATTATCATGGCCCCTGACACAGTCAAAATGTGCTTATCCTAAATGTATCCCACAAACTGCTCTTAGAATCATCAGACTCAGATCATTTCTGCTTTGAGGTAGAATGAGCCTCTACAGTCAGAATCCAATCAGTTTTTTAGTGGGTGCTTAGAAAACACGATGGGCAAGCAGGGCGCGAGGAGGGCTGGTGACTGCCAAGGTTAGGGTGGGAGGGGGCAGTAATGAGACGCCATACAGAGTATTCAGCCAGGCAGGGCAAACTCTCCATACCTCCTTTCATAATTTAGGAATTTCCTAATTCCTAAACCCTGGTCTAATTTCCCTTCTTCTTCCATCTATTTTCTTTACAGCATTTATCACTACCTACCCCTTGTATTTAGTCTTTCGCCTATTCCATGAAAGCAAGGGCTTTGTCTTGTTGACCGCAATATCCCGTTTTATATCAATGTCTGGAATTTAGTGGGCACTCAAAGATTACCTGCTAACGAATGAATTCGAGAGTGTAACAATTAGTTGAATCTCTGCCAAACACTGGGCCCTGTCCTTGAGGATGCTACAAGGATGGTAGGGGCGACAGGCCCGAAAATAAATGCACCATAGCTCGACACCTGATTTCACGGAGATCTATCCAAGGCGCTGCAGGGTCCCCGGGGCTGGAAAACTCCCGGGTGCGCTGGGCCTTGGGAAGAAGCCCGTTGGGAGCCAGGAGTACCAGGGAGCCGGGCTGAGCGGCAGAAGACGCGGGTGGAGGCTGCTCCGTTCGCTTGGCCACTCAGGATCTTCTTTTCCTGACCTGCGGGTCCCTCGCTTCTCCTTGCATCTGCCCGCGTGGCCTCGGCCCCTGCGGAACCCCTGTGTCGCGGGACCCCAGCCACATCCTCCCCCACCCCCGGAGACGCCAGCCCCGGGTCTTCCAGATCACTAGCCAGCTACCTGAGAGACCTCCACCTGGGCGCTGAACCCCCGCCGGCGCCCGAGCGCGCCAGGTCCCCGCCCCCTGCCTGCGATCTGCAGCGTGCAGGACCCCGCCCCGCCCCCTCGGCCCGCGGGACCCCGGCCCCGCCCCGCCCCCGTGGCCCTGCCGCTAGTCCCGGGGGGGCGGGGCCGAGCGCAGCGGCGTCTCCAAGGCGGGGGGCACGAGGCAGGGGGCGGGGCGGTCTCAGCGCCGGCCAATCAAGGCCGCGATCACATCCATGCAAATACGAGCACAATGGAGCGAGCCCATCACTCGCCCCTGCAAGCAAGCTTGAAATGGGCTTCTGTCTGAGCGGCAGCCGGGATGACCAATGGGTCTGTGTTTTGGACCGGCGAAGCCCAATGGCGCGACAGGGAAGGCGGGCCCGAGATGGGTTAGGGTGTCCTTGCAGGGTGTCTGAGCTAAACTTCACCAAATAATAGCTGTTTGTATTTTGGCTGCTGCAGGAGCCATTTTAGGTAAGTTCTTCTCTTAACTTTTTATTTTCCTCCCTGGCCTCGGCGGACCGGCCTTGTCCGCGGGTCCCCGGCCCCGCCCCGCCGGCCGGGTTAGGGTGCCCCTATGAATGGAGCCGGGATGAGGGGCTGCGGCGGCGTCCAGGCCCGGCCGGGCTGGGGTCCGAGCGGGGCCGGCGGGCGGGCGGCCTGGCGGAGGGCAGGCGGCGGCCTGCGGCCTGGGGAGAGGGGCGGCCTCTGCCACGCCAGGCTACTGCTCCCGCTCCCGCTTTCGCTCGGGCCGGGCGGCCGTCCTTGGGAGTGCGCCGCTGCGGGCCGCGCGCAGGGGCGGGGGTCCGGGCAGACCCCGGCCGCGGGCCTGGCGGGCGGGGGCGGGGCGTGCCGAGGCCCCCCCCGGGGCGGGCGCGGTGGGACCCCCGGGCCCAGCCGCGCTGGGGCGGGGCGGGGGTGACCGCTATTCCCGCCGCCGCCCCCGCGGAGAAGTTGCTCTATTCGCGTCCTGCGTCTGTTTGCAGGGGTGGAGGAGGGTGGGCTGGTGCCAGGCTGCTGTTCCGGGAGGGGGCGGGGGCCCCTGCGCGGCCTCGGATCGCGCACCCCCTCCGCCCCCTTCTTACGCACTAGCGCGCACTCGCCCCGAAAATTGGAGCCCAGGAGGGGTCCTGCAACCCCGCTGCCAAGTTTTGTGCATTATTAGATCGCATGTTGGAGCTTTAAAAAAAGATCTATCTGTCCTCTTCAAGGTATTTATTTTCCTCGCTGTTGAGAAGTAACGGAGTCCGTTGCGCCCAGATTTCCAGGGACATGCCTATCGGATGTGCAGAGGGTTGGCAGCTACTTGGTTTTTTTTAAAGGCGTTATTAGGAAATCCCCTCACTAGTGAGATAATTGAAATTTGAGTTTGTTTGCAGCTTCAGTTTTATTTGATACAATTAAAAATGCATAAGCAGGCACTTTATATTTGTGTACATAAAGTATTCCTAGTTCCAGTTATGACTAATGTGACTGTGGTTTCAGTCGTGTGGGATCTAATAAGGCAGTATAATTCAATTTTGAGCTCGTAGGACCCTGTTCTCCAAATTAGGGTTTATGGACCATTAGTAATCTGGCCAAGGTTTCTGGTGAATCCTTGGCATCTCTGAGCATCTCTCTGGGGCTGTGTGTGTGCCTTATTTCCCACCCCCTGAAAACTCCTCGTTTCTGCTGGCAGATCCACGAACACAGAAAATACACATTTTAAATATTTACAGTTTTCAGGATGTCTGAAATATTGCCTGAAATTTGATTATTGTTTCCCAGATGGTATGTAAGAGTACCATCCCAATGGGCCCCCAATTTTGATGTACTTTGTGGAAATATGTTTGTGGCGTTTGGGGAAAAAACACCGGGGCAGACCACTCGGTTTTGCTCCCTAGGCTGATGTGAGCTGTGTAACTTATTGGGGGTCTGTCCCATTGATTTCATGGCACAGTCGAGTTTGACTGTCAGCCAAATTGGAAAATCAGGTTGGCAACCTCAGAGAGAGAGTTTTTGTGAACTTTATGGCTCTCTGGCAACAGAAAGAAGATTTGAGATCTGTGTTTGATAAAATGATTAGGCATGAATCCTCAAGTAACATGATTTATGCCAAGCAGAGCAGGTGGTTTCATATAAGCAATGCATCTTTATAACCAAAGGCCTTGGGAAAATGCGGAGTGGTAAGATTATTAATTTTGGAGTTATTTTTGTTCCAGGGCAGATTTCATAGATGAATTATAAGTTCTTTTGAATTTAAACATTTTTCTTGATTAGTGGGTGACTAAAAGCTATCCTGCACACATCTTTCCCCACCGTTTTGTTTGCTTTGGAGTCTCTCTAATAGTAACCAGACCATAGTACTGTTCTTGGTGTAGTCTGGCCATGGGCGAAGTAAATCTAGATCTGTTGCGAAATTGAGTTGTGCTTCAGTGTGGTATCACAGTCTTCCTGGAGTCACGTTTTTTATTCTGCAGCTATTTCTTTGCTTTTCACATTTAGCTCTTCTGTTACATTTAATAGCACTGCAAACTCTTTCAATATGATCATTTTTACAACTTTTAAATATTCTATATCTTTATAATTTTTATAATTTATTATTCATGTAGTTGGGGAAGTTCTCTGAACTCATCAGTGTATTAGTTAAGGCAAACCACACAAAAATTGAAAGACAAGTTAGAAGTGAAGTGGGAGAAATACGACTAACTGCTGCATTTCTGGAAGAACCTTTGGCAGTTATGTTTTTGTATTTATTGATTTACTTTTTGTATATTTCAAATACCAAAGAAAACCTGAAGCAGAATCATATCTCATTAGAAGCCACATCTTATTTGTGATTTTGCTGTGAAATTGCAGAAAACCTATCAGAAACAACAGGCGGCCCTTGGGCTACTATGTGTTGGAGAGCTCCTTGGTTTATAAAAGTTTTGAAGAAATGTTTTGGTTTTCTTGGAAGTATGGCTTTGCCCGAAGCAGCGTTTGTGGTTATGTCTTCCTGTGTTATACCATGAGGTTCCACAACATCAGGCTTGATTCTCCCTGTAGGTGCCTATGTTTTTCATGGAAAGACTTTAATTGGTAATTACTAAATGAGATCACTCATGGACCACCCATGTTCTGAATCTCTTTGAACAAGTTTAAGGATTCAAAGATTCTACCTGCAGAAATATCTTTGGTATAGGACAATGACAGTATATACATATCAACTGAGGAGGCTGCACTCTACTTCCCTCCTTCCCCTTTCCCCGCCTGGTATAAGAAGGCTTGAAATAGTTTTGTTTTTAATACATATTTAATGATTCTCTTATACTTCATTGCTCATGCAGAGCTTTAGTTTAATTCAAGTGAAAGGTGGAGTGAATTCCATAGGATTGCCTGCATTCTCCTGTACCAGGTTATTATATTGAAAACTCTTTGAAATACATAAAATGATAGCCAGAGCTGAGATACCTCTTCCCTAGAGAACTTTTTTTTTTTTTTTTGCAATGGAATGTGACATGCTTGTGAGTGGAGCAAAAAGAACTAGCATTGATTGAATACCTGGTGTTTGTCCAGTACTCAGCCAGATACTGGGGCTACAGAGTTGGGAAAAATATCTTTGTTTTCATAGCCACTTCGTGAGACTGGGCTGCAGCTCAGAGAAATGAAGTAATTTATTAAAGGCCATAAAGCTAGTCAGTGATAGAGCCAGAATTTGACCCTGATCATCTGTATCCAATACATGTCCTTTTCACCAGTAGTTCTCTCTAAAGATTTTTTTTAAAAGCTCAAGCGTACTGTTGTATTTTAGTGGTATGGTGTTAGGTTAATTAGCTAACACACCTTCCCTAAGTTCTACACGTGCATCCATTTTTACTTTTCCGTTTCAGGAATTTGTCACTGAAGAGGAGTGTTGGAATACAGTGAGGACACCCTTTTCCCCACTTTTGTCTCCATGGAGTAGGAGTGGTCTTCCTGGGGCACTTAGGAGTTCAGGTGTACCCTGGTACAGTAATAACCATGAAGTGCAGAGGGAGAACGCAGTCACTTTTTCCTTTGCCAAAATGTTCTTTTCTTTGGTTCATGTTGTGGAGGCGTTGATACCCTCATGAGAAATTCTGTTACTTCCATAAAAGTCCTGAAGGTAGTAAAATGGAGTTATTTTAAAATATCCATGCTTGTCCCTGTTTCTGAACTAAATCATCTGCATAAAATCCAAAGAAAAATGTTTGTTTTTGCCTGTAGTACCTGTATTTGTTGGTTTTTATAGTCAGTAAATAGTGATTCTGTGCATCCTCTTACATTTATTCATTATGTTGTTTGCCATCACTGTTCTGTTTTGCAACCTTTAGAATTTGTAATGGGGTGTATATGATGTAACTTAAATAGCTCCTATTTTGAAGAATCAGGATTTTTTTTTGAATTGATGAACCTTTTTTCTTTATAGTCATAATGAAGGACTTAGAAATTTTAGCAAGGAACAAACCTAAGTTTTCAACGGACTCCCATGGTGCTTTTGTTATCTATTTCAAAAGAGTTTAATATACTAAGACAGTATTTGAAAATTTCAGGATGCTGGGAAGTAGAATTGTAAGATAACCAGGACAGGAATCCAAACATAAGTAGAAAGTGATGGATGCATATTTGAATTTTCTAAATAAGTAAAGGGAGATTTCCATTTTTTTACCCCTTTATTGAGGATACTTATAAGGGATAGTCGCTGATCGCATTTTATGGATCAAATATGTTATTCTTTATCAAGTAGTTAAATTTTTAATATATTTTGGATTTTCTTATATACTATGTGACCAAGGTATTTTGGTTTTAGATTTTTTTTTTTTTTATACTCTAAGATTGTTTTTATGTAAAAGCCTGGCTTCAGGTTAAAAGTTCCAGCTACTGTAGTAACAGACATCTTTACTTCCTACCTAAAGGTTTAAGCTTTTTATCCTGCAGTTCGTGGACCCCTAGGGAGTCTTTGGCTGGTCTGTGAACGCCCCAAAATAGTATGCAAATTTTTGTTTGCATCTGCGTATTTTATAGGCGGACAATCCATTGTTTTTTATGATTCTCAAACGGATCTGTGCCTCTCATACCCCTATCGCCATACCTTTCCACCAGCATACAAAACATACTAAGGATCATTAATTTAGGTCATTCTAGAACAACTGCTTTGCATGAACAAAATCTTCTGCCTGGATGCTGACTTCTTTGGACCTTTTTTGTCCTTTAGCAGTCTCAGCCTTGATCACTTGGCCTGGGCTTGGGGAAGAACTGCATCCCTCTGGCAGCATTCAGGCATTCCCTGGGGTTATCCCCCAAATTCTTCCCTCGCTGTGATCACATGATCACATGGAAGCCATTCGTTGCCCTTGCCCTTGCAGCCTGATAGAGTTAAAGGTTGGAGTGGGAGACATGGAGGCTCTTAGAGGGTCCTCAGCCTCTCTTTTTCACACATCTGCCTCTGCAGATGGGACTAGAGGGGAGGCCATGGCAAATGTGCCTGACATTTTCTTGCTTTGAATACTGCTTCTTACTAATTCTGCTATTGCTTCATTCAATATGTTAGGAGGAAAAGGGTTTTTCTTTCTTACATTGAAGAAGAAGAATTAAAAGAAGCCCTCCATTTTTTTATATTCCCCAGACTTTTATGAAATGCTTTGCAACTTCCATTAGTGCTAATTTTTAGTGGAGTTCTTCCTTAAAATAATGTGTAGTTGAACATAAAAGCTTATTTTTAGACTGCTAAAAATTTTACAGAGAACATACATATAAAACCAGGTGTTATTATATAAAAAGGATTTTATATTAAAGTTCTCAGAGCCTTATTATTTACTTAATAAGTCAAGCAAATTGCCAAAACAATATTAGAGTAATGAAAAAATTCTGAGAGTAACTCTAGGAGGTGGTCAAACTTAAAGTTATTCTGGAGATTTTTTTTGTTGGGCCAGACCAGAAGTTGAATAGAAGAAAAATCAGTTTATTTTGTTTAATAATAGATAATAATAATTAGATTAGGGAAAATACCTAAGCTTTAGGCAGATTGCGAAGGGCATTGACTTGATTATTTGGTTTGTTCCTTCCTTAAGTGTATATGAGTAAAGAAATATATCTGGACTCTATCTACTTTGGGTCCAAGAAAAACTATCAGTATTCTAAGAAATACTTTGAAGGATTATGTCTGGTAAGCTAAGTCTAGATCATAGATTTTATTTACGGAAAGAATTTTACATAATTTAACACAGAGACTTTATTATAGCTCATTGTGTATTTTGGCTTAGAAATTCTTGCACTGCTGGCAGTCTAAATTCAACTATGGGCTTGCATGAAAAAGTTAAGCCATCATTATTGTTGATCCTGTGATAGAATCAGATCACATTGTAAGTGATGACACCATTAGATTGCTTCTTTAAGCAAACCTGGTATAATATCACTTAAGGGATTTAGGGGTATTTTGCTTAATGGAATTAACAGTTTTGCCTTGAGTTGTAAAAATGCATTGAGGAAATGATAGAGGATATGAAAGAGGTCATTAATGACCAGCTCCAGAAAGATAAGTGTAAAAATGTAAAAAAATAAGCTCTTGTGAATCAGGCTACTGAAAGTAGTCTACAGATTCCTGCAGATCTGTGGTCTGCTTACCTGTCTGACAAGGTGAGTACAGAACTTGAAAAGAAGCATGTAGATGCTTTTATAGCAGATGGTTAGAAAAATGGTTTGTTGAATCTAATTATAAAAACAGTTTATAATTGTAGTCCTTTTTTGTTTATTTTTTCCTGGAAATTCATTTTTCTGGTGTTTTATGAAAGTCTTGGCCATAGATTGGGAAAGAGCAAAACCAAAAACTACTTCTTCACTAATCAAAGTGTTGGGAAACTTCAGCATTACTTTGGAGCATGTTAGAAATGCAAGTTTTGCCAGGTGCGGTGGCTCACACCTGTAATCCCAGCACTTTGGGAGGCCGAGGCAGGTCGATCACCTGAGGTCAGGAATTCAAGACCAGCTTGGCCAGCATTGTGAAACCCTGTCTCTACTAAAAATACAAAAATTAGCCAAGCATGGCGGCATGTGCTTGTAATCCCAGCTACACCAGAGGCTGAGGCAGGAGAATCGCTTGAACCGGGGAGGCGGAGGTTGCAGTGAACTGAGATCCAGTGAACTGAGATCACGCCATCGCACTCCAGCCTGGGTGACAGAGTGAGACTCTGTCTTAAAAAAAAAAAGAAATGCAAGTTTTTGGGCCCCATTCCAGACCTACTGAAATAGACCACCTAGGGTTCCCAGGAGTCTGTGTTTTAACAAGCTATGCTGATGATTTTGTGCACATCAAAATTTGAGAAACATTGTTCTAGATCAGCACTGTTCAGTAGAACCTCCTGTTATGATGGAGGTGTCCAATATCTGCACGGGAACTACTAGCCACTGATGGTTTTCAAGCCCTTAAGATGTGGCTAGTATGACCGAGGATGAGAATTTTAAATTTTATTTAATATTAGCTTCAATTTAAATAGCCATACATGGCCAGTCGTACCAGTATTAGACAGCACAGCTCTAGACCCTTTAGCATTTCTACCCTTTTTGGAGCAAAGGTGGATTTTTTTCTGTGTCTGTGAAGGAAAATATAATAGGAAACAAGATTGTCCTTTAACCTAAAATGAGTCTAAGCAAGCCGTATAATAAAAATTGATAGTTATTTATCTATTTATATTTGCCTCTTTATTTTTATCTGAAAGTTGATTTGAATGTTCAGAAAATAGTAAGATCAGAGAATAAATTTAGATGTGTCTTGTAAGGCTTTACAAAAAGCAAGGCAGCTGTTCCAGCGGGGACTTATGACCCTTCCTGTCTATTACTAACATGCATGATGTCTTTCAACATGACTTTTGAAGCTTTTTTCTTTCATACTAAGATTGAAGATAGGCAGCTTTTAAGTATAACACTGTAGTTCTCCTGTTCTCAATACAAACTACTGACTATAGGGTTTCCCATTACTTTAGACCAGTAATGGATATTTTTACCATACAAAGTATTTCAGGTTTATCTATCAATTAACTTTATTTATTTATTTATTTATTTATTTATTTATTTATTTTTTGAGACGGAGTCTCACTCTGTCACCCAGGCTGGAGTGCAGTGGCGCGATCTCAGCTCACTGCAAGCTCCGCCTCCTGGGTTCAGGCCATTCTGCCTCAGCCTCCGGAGTAGCTGGGACTACAGGTGCCTGCAACCACACCCGGCTAATTTTTTGTATTTTTAGTAGAGACGGGGTTTCACCATGTTAGCCAGGATGGTCTCGATCTCCTGACCTTGTATTCCGCCCGCCTCGGCCTCTCAAAGTGCTGGGATTACGGGCGTGAGCTACCGCACCCGGCCTATCAATTAACTTTATGAAGGGAATCTTGTTTTTTTAAAATAACATTTACCAAGCCTCCCTTGAAAGACTGAGTCTTATCCTCTCCTCCCTTTCCAATATGTTTAAAAATTGATTTGTTAATAGAAGCAATTTCTTTGGTTCATTCGGGGTTGCATATTCTCCGTCTCCTCTCCCCATCTACTTGTAAATGGGGAATACAAATTTTAAACTCCTAAAAATCAATGATAAGATTGATTGTAGTATATTCATCAAAATCTATTGCAAAATTGAAAATTATGTTGTGATTGACAAGAAGGAGGAAATTACTGTAGAAATAAACATAGGCCGGGCACCAATGGCTTATGCCTGTAATCCCAACACTTTGGGAGGTGAGGTGGGCAGATCACTTGATGTCAGGAGTTCGAGACCAGCCTGGCCAACATGGTGAAATCCTGACTCTACTAAAAATACAAAAATTAGCCAAGCATGGTGGCAGATGCCTGTAATCCCAGCTACTTGGGAGGCTGAGGCAGGAGACTCGCTTAAACCCGGGAGGCGGAGGTTGCAGCGAGCCAAGGTCGTGCCACTGCCCTCCAGCCTTGGTGGCAGAGTGAGACTCCATCTCAAAAAAAAAAAAAAAAAAAGAAAAAAGAAAAAAAAAGGAAACACAGATCCACATGCAGAGTTGTAGCTTTAAAAATACTGTCCAGTCGTAACAAAGTGAGTCTAATCATACAGCAGTTTTATTAGATATATTTACCAGGTTTTAGATTTTCAAGCAGGAAATTGTTAGTCATTTAGGCAGTGACTCTTGAAGCATGAGAGACAGTAACGGGTGTCCTATGTGGTTTATAGACTCACAGAACATTAAAATTGGAAGGTTCCTTAAAAATCACGGATAGGGCTGCCAGTGTAGCAAAATTTATAATGCAGCAGTGTCTGTTTTGTTTATGGCATGAGTTAATGCTATATAGTCTCTCCTTGGTGTTCATTACAGATCAGCACTGTTTTCTCATTAATTCTGTTGTAAGGGTGGTTGTATACTCACAAAGCAGTGAGTGGCGGTAGGTTGTCTGGGCAGGTGCTTCTGTTTGACACAAGTGTCACTGATTATGGGGCACAACATTTTGTAACTTGCTGCTTTGGCTTTTTTGTCTGACTTTCTTCTAAGGATGTCAAGTTCTAGATCTCTGGGCATGTATTTTGTTTTTGTTTTTGTTTTATAGAAACTGGGTCTCTTACGTTGCCCAGGCTAGACTCATGGGCTCAAATGATCCTCCTGCCTCAGCCTCCTGAGTAGCTGGGACTACAGACATGCCACTGCACCCAGCTCTCTGGGCATGTATTTGAATTCTTGCTGTAGGGTTTTAAAGAAGTGGAAAGCCCAGTGTGCTGAAATTTAGATCTGATAGTTGGACAGATCCTAAGCTTAAAAGGTTTGGAGGTTCCTTACTTCAGGTTTGTTCTCATCACTGCCACTTGTCCTTGGAATGCTGTATGAGATGTTACTAAAATATTGTGATTTCATAAGCTACACACAAAATAACCACACTCTGTCCATTTTTATCTGCACTTTGTGTCTGCAGCATTTCATGTAGCAGAGCTCTCCCTGTGTGTTCTTGACTGTGTTGCATATTTACTCTTGAACTAAGTTTTGTTGTTGCCCTTATGAGTGTGGTTGTGGCAGATTTAAGTGTTATCGGGTCTTACACAGGTCACCATCATTACTAGATTCTCTGAAACCAAAGCTACTTTCTATCTTGTCGGGATTGCAGAAGAGTAGAGTTAGAAGGTACTTCTGAAGACATCTATCCATTTTCATTATTCATAATGGGATGGGGTCCTAGTCATGTAAATATTTGTGAGGTCACAGAGCTGATCTGTGGTCAAGCCTTGATTAGAATTCAATTTTCATTTTGCTGTATAGGACTTTTCCCTTAACCTCCAAGGATTAGGGTCCTGAAAACCCACGTAGGAGAATTTCCCTTAAAAATTCATGGGGGAAATATGGGATAGCTGTGCTCTGAGATTAGGAGTGAACATGTGAAAGGCTCCATAATTTTCTTAATGTTCTCTAAAATAATAAAGATACTATCAGTGAAATATTACATGTCTTAAATTAGTAAGAATGGGTATTTTAATAGCTCTTCTTTACTAGAAACGTTTTGGCACATCCCTCTCTCATATCGCGGTAAAATGCTTGTTGTACTATTTTGGTAAATCTTGTTTACTATTTTTTTGCTTAATGGAAACTTTTTGGCATATCCCTCCCTTTTATCACGGTAAAATGCTTGTAAATTAACCTTTGCTTTATTTTAAATAATGTGCATAAGATGTTTTTCACATGTGCTTATATGACTTAGGGTTATTAGGATAGATTTTTTCCCCAGATCCCTCAGTAATCATGATAATAATAGCTGTCAATCACTGAGTGCTTACTATGTGCCAGGTATGGTGCTAGACTCTTTCATCGTGTGGTCATTAGGACTCCAGTATTCTGGTTCTCTTCCTTAAGGACACATAGTAGGGTTACATTCTCTCTCACACCTTGAAATTGGGCATGGCTGTGTAACTTGCTTTGGATATTGACATTTCAGTGGAAGTGATGTGTGTCCCTTCTAGGCAGATACCTTTTCTTTTTAAAGAAATATGTAATGATTACATAGTGTAAGCAAGTAAACCTTTGCTTTAAAGCACTGAGCTTTTTTAATGAGGTGTTTTTTTTTTTTTTTTCCTGTGGAATGGTCTACTTTTGTACTGTTTCCCATGCTTATTGTTTTCTGCCCCTCCCTCTTGGCCCATCCAGATATTTTCCTTCCATGAGACTTGAGAGCAAGACCCGTGTCTTCATGGAGCCTTCTCTTTCCATATCAGCTTGAAGCAATCTCTCTCCCCACAGCACTTCTTGGGTTAGATTTTCCCTCTGTAACTAATTGGGCATTTCATATTGAATTGCCTTTGTCTTTTCTTATATTATTCATTTATTCCACAAGTGTGTGATGCCCATTTATTTAGCAAACAGTTATTGAAAATTCATTGTGTTTCAGTCATTCACGTGCCCTGGGAATGCACATGATCTCTCCCTTTGTGGAATGCACTTTGTGTTAGAAGAGACAGAAAGGTAAACTGCCACTACAAGCATCATGATCAATGTCAGATTAGAGCTATGTCCAAATTTTGTTAAGACTCAAGAAGAAGGATCAACCGTTAAGCCAGGGGAGTAGGTTAAGGCTTTTGAAAGGAAGACCTTTTAAATGGGTACTTGAAAATTGATTTGGAGTTTGATAATCAGAGACTGAGATTAGTGTTTGTGAGTTTGGAGAGCCTTTTATGCATAAGAAATGTGTTGCTGGGGGCTCAGAGGCAAATGATAAGTTCATTCTGGCTGGAGTATGGTGGAGAGCCATGGAGTACTGGTAGGTGAGGGGCTGGAGGAGGGATAGGTTGGAGATGTTGAGAAAGGCTTTAAAGATCGTGGTGAGTTGTTTGGGTTTGTGTTGGCTGTGAGGAGTCATCAGAGGTTTTAATGCAGGAAAGTGGTTTGTACTCTATACTCCAGCAGCAGAGGTTGGTTGAGTGGTGCTCAAACTTTGTTGTGTATTAGAATCATCTGAAGAGCTTATAAAAATACCAGTACCCAGGCTACAAACAGTAAAATCAGATTTTCTGAAGGAGAGGCCCAGATATTGGATTTTTGATAATTTCCCAGGTGATTCCAGTGCGTATCTGAGTTTGAGAACTACTCTTTTAGAGGGGTCTGATGGAGTAAGGAATTCAGAGGCTATTGCAGTGGACTGACTAGGAGATAAGTTTTTTTTTTTTTTTGAGATGGAGTCTTGCTCTGTTGCCCAGGCTGAAGTGCAGTGGTGCGATCTCTGCTCACTGTGACCTCCACCTCCTGGATTCAAGTGATTCTCCTGCCTCAGCCTCCTGAGTAGCTGAGATTACAGGCGCCTGCCACCACACCCAGCTAATTTTGTTTTTTTGAGACAGAGTCTCGCTCCGTCGCCCAGGCTGGAGTGCAGTGGCACGATCTCGGCTCACTGCAAACTCCACCTCCTGGGTTCACGCCATTCTCCCGCCTCAGCCTCCTGAGTAGCTGGAACTACAGGCACCCGCCACCACGCCTGGCTAATTTTGTTTTTGTTTTTTAGTAGAGACGGGGTTTCACCGTGTTAGCCAGGGTGGTCTTGATCTCCTGACCTCGTGATCTGCCCGCCTTGGCCTCCCAAAGTGCTGGGATTACAGACGTGAGCTACCACACCTGGCCAGTTTTTTGTATTTTTAGTAGAGACGGGGTTTCACCATATTGGCCAGGCTGGTCTCAAACTCCTGACCTCGTGATTCGCCTGCCTCAGCCTCCCGAAGTGCTGGGATTACAGGCATAAGCCACTACGCCCGGCCGAGATAAGTCTTTGAATTGAGGCATTAGCAGCTGGGACAAGGTGAGACAGAGTCAACCATTATTCTTTTCCTTCAGTGTTCTAAATGTTTGTCTTTTCCTACAAAATTGTGGTCCTCATGGGTGCATGGCCCATTCTTTGTACCTTGAATTCCTCATAGAGGTTTGTACATAGTAGGTTCTCAAAAACTGTTTGCCTGCATTAAAGTCAGTTTTCATTTGGTCAAGTATTCATACTTGAGTACTTTGGATATTTTCATTTCACTTCTTTCCTTTTTGTTATTAAATAGAATCTTCTTTAGGAATGAAAGTAGATAGAGATGAAATTTTGTCAATTTTACTAATAGTTCTGATTAAAATTAAAATTTACTAGTTAAAACAATAAGTCTTACACAATAAGTCTTACATGTGGTTTATCCATGCTGTCTCTCTGTATTAGCTATAAATAAGTAAATTTGCCATTAACCCTTGGTATTTGTGTAAAACTCCTTAGTACTAATACACCCTTTAAAATAAAGAATTCAGGTAAAGTATCCAACAACATATGGAAGGTTTATGTTAAAAATAACATCTAACTTGTGTTAATTTATATAATAACTCAGGAACTCAGTGTGGGATAGAGGCTGACTTGGTTTGTGCACTTGAAATTCAGTTTCTCTTTGGCAAATAAATTCCTTTATTTGTGAATGGGAATAGTATTAAAGAATGTTTTGAGGCATTTTTGAGTCAACTCTTTGTTCTCCATTCTAATGGAAGGGAGTTGGAACCTGTAGAAATTAAAAACATTTTTTATACTTAAAGGATTTATAGTCCTTTCTATCTTGAAAAGTATCAAACCTACAGACAGGTATGAGAACAATACCATGAACACCCATCCCCCCTTCACCTAGAACCACCTGTTATTAACATTTTGACAAATTTGCTTTATAACTTTCTGTCTCTCTATATATGACTTTTTTTGTGACAATACCATTTGAGAGTTACTTACAGACACAGTAATGCTTCACCCATAAATACTTTACATATTTATCCTAAGGAAAAAGGCATTCTCCTACATAGAATAATCACAGTGTAATTATATCACTCAGGAAACTTGATGTAAAACCCAATATGCAGTCCTTTTTAAAATTTTCCCATGAAAATGTTATTTGTAGCCTCCCCACCCCCAACTCCCTGTCCCCCATTAGGATCCAGTCAAGGATCCTGCATTGTATTACGTAGTCATGTGCCCATACCTTTCAGTATCAATTAGTTTGACCTGGTAGTCCGAGGATTCCAGAAATGGAAATGAAAACCCTTGGAAAATGGTGTGGCCCAGCTTCCTGAGCCTTCTTCCCTGCTTACCTCTTTCTGTGCTCCCCGCCACAGGTGGGGAATTGGTCTTCTTAGAGAAGATGGGTGGCAGAGTTCTAAAGTGGAACCTCACATCCAGTGCAGACGTGTTTGTTCAAATCTTCCTGAGACTTGGAGAGGCTTTATCTGGACAGTTATTTTCCGTTTTAGGATTAAGGCCATTTGAGTCACCCACATGCTTAGTTAAGAAATTGTGATAGTATTAATGAGACTAGGAAATGATTTTCATAGCCAACTCTAAGACATCTGCAACCTGAAGAGTTAGGAATCTTCTGCTATTCCTTGAGGACCACTGATTTTCATGACCAGTCATTATGTAGTTCCTGGGGTTTTAATTTTTAAAAAACTATTAAGGACTCCTCTAATCTTTAACTATTCCTCAGTCATATCTTATTGGTCTTATGTCCTTCTAGTTTTATACTCCTTCCTGGGCATGCTATTCTTTCTTGTTGTTTCAACTTTTGATGACTCTAGAATCTATTTTTCCATCCCAACCCTCTCCTGTGATCCAAACCTTTATTTCCAGCCATACACTCAGCAGCTCCACCTGCCTGTCCAAGTGCAAAACTGAACTCAGCATCTTTTTGTGTAAACCTGGGCACTCGTTGGATTGTTAAGCATGGGATGGAGAATGAGATGATATTCAACCAGGGGCCTAGGAACATGAGGATCACATTCTTTAGCAGCCCCTGTTCTCCCTGACACCCCCTACCTACCCACCCCCACCCTTCCTATACAAACACGCATGCGCACACATGCACACAGGAATAGGTGAACCCAGGGTAAGGCCTTGCTAACCCTGTCATTTCCAGCTGGATGTAGAATCTTGGGAGTTAGGCTTCATGAAATGAATTCTTTTTTGTTTTGTTTTGTTTTGGGACTGAGTCTTGCTCTTTTGCCCAGGCTGGAGTGCAGTGGCACGATTTCGGCTCACTGCAGCCTCTGCTTCCCCTGGGTTCAAGTGATTCTCCTGCCTCAGCCTCTCAAGTAGCTGGGATTACAGGTGCACACCGCCAAGCCTAGCTAATTTTTTTGTATTTTAGTAGAGACAGGGTTTCACCATGTTGCCCAAGCTGGTCTCCAACTCCTGAGCTCAGGCAATCCACCTGCCTTGGCCTCCCAAAGTGCTGGGATTACAGGCGTGAGCCACCGTGCCCAGCCCAAAATGAATTTTTTAAATTCAATGTTTCTCAACCTTAATGCCTTGAAATGAAGCATTCCAAAGGGTTTGCTAGCTCTCCTTACACAAGGAATTTACCTTAGGCCAGCTCCTGACTGCTGAAACTAGAGTTTTGTAATCTTGCAACCATAACTCATAGTGATAAAAACACTATATTGTGCCTAGTACACACACGTGTATATGTTTGCATTGTTAATTCAAAGGTTTTTTTCTTTTCTTTTCTGAGATGGAGTCTCACTCTGTTGCCCAGGCTGGAGTACAGTGGCATGATCTTGGCTCACTGCAACCTCCGCCTCCCAGGTTCAAAGCCTCAGCCTCCCACGGAGCTGGGACTGCTGGCACCTGCCACTCACCCAGCTAATTTTTGTATTTTTAGTAGAGACAGGGTTTCACCATGTTGGCCAGGCTGGACTCAAACTCCTGACCTCAAGTGATCCACCCACCTTGGCCTCTCAAAGTGCTGGGTTTACAGGCATGAGCCACCATGCCCAGCATAATTCAAATATTTTAATATTCAGTATTTACTCTCACCACTTGTGATGCACTCGATTTTCTATTCTCTAATCTTTTAAAAATAGTTTTGGCCAGGCACGGTGGCTCATGCCTGTAATCCTAGCACTTTGAGGGGATGAGGCAGGCAGATCACGTGAGCCCAGGAGTTCGAGACCAGCCTGGTCAGCATATTGAGACCCTATCTCTACAAAATATTTTAAAAATTAGCCCGGTGTGGTGGTGTGCACCTGTAGATCCTGCTACTCAGGAGGCAAAGGTAGGAGGATTGCCCATGATCATGCCACTGCAATTCAGCTTGAGCAACAGAATGAGACCCTGTCTCCAAAAAAAGTTTTACTGAAATATAATTTACATGCTATAAAATTGTCCTTTTAAAATTCTGGGTTTTTTTAATGTAAAAAGAAATGCTGGTGATGACCCCACTGACTTGTAAAAGCATGACAGTGCGAGGAGCAGTGCAGAGGCACAGTTGGATTAGAGACTGTCCACCAGGGAGGCAAGAAAGGCAGGCCAGCACCCAGCCTTGAACCACTGTGCTCACTGCAGTCACTGGACTGTGTTTCGTTAAACACCCTTAAACTTGAGCAAACTGGCAGTTTTACTCCTTGGTGTGAGATGAAGGCTGGGGTAAGCCCACAGGTAAAACTGCTCTGGTGGTCAACCAAGGGGCTTGCCTCATAGGAAGGTGAAATGGGCACCTTCTTTTTGTGGTTTGTGGTGCCAGCATCCCCTCTTCTCTTTGCCAGGAAGAAAGAGAGAGGGAGAGGAGGGGGTAGCGGAAAGGAAGCTTTGTCTCATTAGACAGTAGAGCCTGAAATTCTTGTAATTCATGTTACTCTATTTAACTGAGTTTATTCATGAGAATCTTTGAGAGAGTGACTGTAGGGACATGGGTATTTGATCAGTTTGCTCTCATTAATCTGCTAACCAAAAGGAGATAGAGCACCACGGAAATGAAATAGGAAACAACTAAGTTTTCATTAGGAAAGTGGAAGAGGAGAGGGACTAAAGAATGCAGTGTAGCTTTGCTTTGTTGGGTTGTGTTCATGGCCAGAGGGAGGCCCTGTGTGGTGAGGGTAATCAGCTGTGCAAGCAAGGAAGCCAGGGTGGAGAGGCTCAGAGAAGAGATTTGGTGCCGGTGCCAGGTAGGGCAGGAATATGACAGGACCAAATAAAACTGAGGGATCCCTGTCCCGTCCCAGAGCAGTGAAATAATTGGAGCAAACATTTATTGAGTGCTCACGATATGCCAGGCACTGTATCATCTCATTTAATCCTTTAACACCACATGAAATTTTGGGTTCTGTTATTACCTTCATTTTACCAATGAGGAAACTGAGGCACAGGGAGGTAAAGTAACTTGTTTGGGGTTGCACAGTTACTTGTTCTGACATTTATATAAATGCAGGGCATTGAAGATCCTGCCTTGAAGCGAGTGAACCCACTGCTTCTGGGACCATATCTGCTATACCATAGCTTCAGGAGCATACCTTTCCTGGCAGATCCCATAATCTTTGAGTCATTTAGTCTCCAGGTTGCTACCTTGAAGTTCACTCTTAGAGGCTGGTGACCATAATACTAAAAATAACACTGTCCTAGAGAATATTTATAGTTTTTTCACTCCCTCTTCATAAGTACAGACTGTGCCTTATCTAGGAAATACCACTTATTTTGGGACTCTAGAGTTGGGCATATAAATTGTAAGGCATGTCCAGTAGTAGTCGTGTTTCAAGTCACTTCAACAGACATTTTCATGCTTCTAAAGAGCCCTGCCATGTACTTCGTGCTAGAATGGCAAATGTGATCTCAGGGGAAATAAACATGACCAATATTTAAATTGAAGTGAACCAAAGTAATAGAACAGTAAAAGGAACATAGAAGGAGGGTGAGGAGGTTAGGAAGAACTTCCCAGAAGAGTTAACATCTGAGTTGGGATTTGAAGGATGAATAGGAGTTTGTCAGGCAGGTAACAGTCACAGAAAGATTAAGTGAAAATTCCTGGAAAGGTGGGCAGAGGTTTTCTTCTGATTTTATTGCCAGTGTGTCTAGATTTTTGATGTGATAGAGCCTTCAGTTGTAAAATTCCACTTTTTTCTCCTAGTGACTTGAAATGCCATTGGGATCCTATGCCTCAACAGTGGGGCTGGGTATGTTTCCAGCCAGTCATAGGGAGGGGCAAATGCTACCCATGCAGCACCTGTAGGCACACTGCAACTCTGGACAGAAGCAAGTTTCTTGTTTGTGTGAGGTGATGGTGGTGGTTAGCTTAGCTCCAGCCCAAAACTTTGACTGCAATTGCTTGACTAGATTTTTCTTCCCTTATATGAAAATAGTGTAGTTGATTGTTGTTATTTAGAAAGTATTTAGGCGTTCAGTCACAAATGTTTATTGAGCATTGATGTTTGGATGGGGGTTGAGGCAGATGAGGGCCATATATAGAACTTGGGTTTTTGAAATACAAGATAAATTTCAGTAAATGGTACTAATCTCAAGTATACTGCTTGATTATTCTTTTAGATATGTATATACCTGTGTAACTGCCACCCTCAGATCAACATAGAGACTGTTCCAACACTCCATAAGGTTCTCTTGTGACCCTTCCTGGATAAGACCCCCCCCTCACTCTACCCTACTCCGCTTAGTTCTGGCTTCTGTCACAAAGATTAGTTTTGCCTGTTATTGAACTTCAAATGGAATAATACAAAATGTCCTGTTTCGTATCTGGCTTCTTTAGTGCAAAGTATATCTGTGAGATTCAAATTGTTGGGAGGCATTGATTATAACATATGATTTGTGCCATTGAGGGTTGGGTCTGGATTTGTTGGTGGCATTCATTTATTCAGTACACATTTACAGGCACTCTACAGGGGTTTACAGATAAAAGATAAATACAGTTCCTGCCATCAAGGACTTTTCAGTGTATTGAAGGAGACAGACACACAAATGTTACAGACAAGTGCTCGGTGCCACAAAGAAAAACCAGCACTTAGAAAATTTCTCAGCAAGGCACATTTACTTCTGCAGAATGGTGCTGCCTGCACCTGTCTGATCACAAGAGCACACTGAGCAGGGTAGAGCAGGGTTTTAAATCCCTATATAGTTCCTGTTTCTGTGTCCTTTCCCCATTGGCTGGAGTTGGACCACACAGTCTAAGCTGACCCAATTGGCTAGTGTTTAAAATGGAATAAGGCCAATTAGGCGGGAAGGGAGAGGCTGTCTATTACCAACTAGTTGGGAGGGGTTGTTTACAGAGTCAGAGATTTGCTAGTTATAGATTAAGCAGAGAAACAAGTGTTCATTACAGATTAAGCAGGAAGGGCTGTGTACAGAGAGAAAGACGAAGGAAGCTTTGAAGAGGAACTTATTGTGTCTGGCAGATTTCCCCCTCTTGAGTTTATAGTTCTTCCTCTTCAAATTTTTGTAACATATCTTGGCTTTGTTGCTCCTCTTGGTTGTCTGGGAGTAGGAACTTATCCGAGTAGGGAGGGGGAGAATCGAGAGGGGTTTTGGTGGGGGCTGTTTTTATAAGCCTTTGCCCTGATCCACAAATACGAGGTATGGTGCAGCAACCTACAAGAATGAGTACACCTATAGCAATTGCAAGGGGGGTAAAGATTGAGGTTATGAGTCCCTTCCATTTTCTAAACCATTTTTCCATGAGACCAGAGAAGGGGTAATCTATTCCAGAATTTTCGGCTAATTCATTTGCTAGGGTGGTAAGGCCCAGGCTTTTGTAATTGTTCCATCGGGGGCTGTGTTGTTAGGGATAAAAGTACAGCATTGGACCCCAATCATGACACAGACTCCCACCTTTCTTGGCTAATATCATGTCCAGGGCTATCCTGTTTTCCCAAGCCATTTGGCTGTTAGGACCTAATTGTTCAGCTATTCCTTTAATGGCATCCCTAGTATAATTGACAAACTGCTGTTGATTATAGTAAATGTAATTTATCCAGTCTACACTTTTGTTTACAGTTTCCCATGAGAACAATATAGATTGAAATCCTGTAGCTATTTGATTTTGGGCTTTAAATTCATTTAACACTCCTCGTGGAACTCCGATGGCATCTATGTAAATGTAAGGGTCAGAGGACCCGTAGGGAGTACTCCTTTTTTTGTGATTGTCCTTTTTGCTTAGTCGACGAAATGCCAGGGTGGGATGGCCAATTGAATTAGGGCGCAAGTGTTGCCCCACTTATTTGGCAGAGTACCCAATAGTGGTCCACCACAGTACCACCATACATCTGCTTGGGGATGAACAAGGGCAGACTGATTGGTTAGCTCCTAGAAAGGCTTAGGCTTACTTCATCTTGCTAGATTTCCAAGGAATGCCAAGTTTTCCCCTTGCTGTGAGAGACACGAGGTGAAATTGACATTGGTACCTGGAGGACAGATGGCCCTTGGGGGCTGACCCGCAGGGCTTTTAACTTCCGGGAATAACAGCAAGAGAGTTTGGCATGCCTTATTGCCCCAGGCTGTGGGGTTTTGGAAGAGAGATACCATACAGCTCATACCCTGTTGGTCGGAGGACCATCCAAGTAGAAAGGGGATGATTTGGGTTTCTGGCCTGCCCGTTGCACAAGCGTTAACAGTCGCTTTTGTTTAGTTTGCGGACGGAATATTTAATCCGTGCTAGCCAGGCATTTGCATCTTGGTACCCTGTTTCAATAGCTAGGGTGGGTTTTAAATCTTTAACTTCTACAGTGGCTACTTTGGGAGCCATTGCATTGTAGGGAGAGACTAGTAGTTTGATTAGAAGGTTTGAAGGAGAGGGCGGAGGGGATGACGAGGCAACGAAACTAATTTTGAAAAATCCTGTAGAGTCTGCCCCTGCGACCTCTGCTCCCATACCCTAGAAACGACTTAATGAAGGGAGGAATTTTGGGAAATTGAGATAGTAATGGAAATTTGTACTGGATTACATTAGTTTTGCTGGCAATTGGTGGGGGGGCTTCCTTTAGTGAAACAATTGTATAGTTTTAGGGATACACAGAGACTTGTTGGGGAGGTCCAACCCTGATTTTTCGTAGTCCATAGAACATTGGACCAGCTATGGCAGAGACGCTCTGTTTGCAGAGGACGGGATTCCCAGTTAACAGAATTTTAAAAATAATATCCCAAGTCTAAGGGAACTCCCCAGTTAATAGAATCTGCCCAGTCTGAGAATTTCCAAGAAGGGCAAAGTAGAGAGCTGCCTTTGACTTCGCAAGTCTCCACAGGGTATAACAAGACAAGCATCAAAAGTAATGATTTGCGGTGACTCTGATGCGTTTATATTAATAATGAGATGTGGGGTAGCTAAGGGAAAGAGAAGAGGAAAAAAAAAAGGATAGACAGATTAGGCTTTTTTCTTTAACATTACTCTGATGGGGGTTGGTCCTGGGATGATGGTCCTTGACTTTGGAGAGGGCGATGCCTTTTTGACCCGGGTATGGTGGGTCAACCCCTTCTCAGTGGTTCAGACTGCTGTTTCAGTCGTTAGGAGCACTAGATAAGGGGTCCTTCCCAGGTGGGTTCGAGCTTTCCCTCTTTCCAACTTCTGATAAGGACATGATCTCCAGGTTGGTGTTGGTGAACTGCGAATTCAAGGGGTGGAGTTTGCGCTAGGAGGCCTTGAGTCCTGAGAAAGGAAAGGGTAGAAGACAGACCAAATACATAGTTTTTAAGAAACTGATCCTTTGTCTCAAATGTCGGGAGGTCCGTAGTGGAATTTAAATAAGGCAACCCATAAAACATTTCATAAGGAGATAAGCTGATGTCTTTCCGGGGAGCAGTTCGGATTTACGTCCCACCTCTAAATTTATAAGGGGCTCTTGGTGGTACTTGAGATAAAAGAAACAGAATCCCTGACCTCCCTATTCTTCTTCAAAGGCCGTAAGTGGGATGACTTCTTTTTCTTTTTCCCATTTGGGACATTCTCTTTTGAAGTGACCTATTCTTCCACATTTGAAACATTTGTTTTGCCCTCTTTCTCTCCCTGTTTTTAAGTTTCCTTGCTTTGCTTTTACATACCCTTTATATGGCCTAGTGAGTGGGGGCTTAAGTTCTTTACAGGTTTTGGACCCTCGGGTACTTTGTTGTAGAGCGGACAGCATGATTTTTTGCCTTTTGCTTTTGCTTTTCTTTATCCCTTCTTACATATACTTTTTGGGCCTCCCTCAAAGGTTCCTCTATAGGCCGATCTTTCCATTTCCAGTTCTCTATTTTTTGTAATTTCTTTGTGATATCTGGCCAACTATTAGTAACAAAATGGAGCTTTCACATCCCCTGCCCAAGGGGATCCTCTGTGTCTAAGCCTACATATTTTCTCATCTGTTCCTTGAGTCTGTTTAAAAACTCCATGGGCCCTTCATCTTTTCCCTGCTGTATATTAAATGCTCGGGAAATACTTTGGGTTCAAGGCACTGATTCCTGAATCCCTTTAACTATCATTTCCCTAAGGTCTTTCAAGTTTTCTCGGTGGGCTGCATTGTTATTATCCCATTGCGGGTCTTGGGCCAGAAATTTTTGTTCTGCTGCAGGGATATTTTGACCGGGAGGATGTTTGTGCTCCCAGACTATCATAGCAGCCCTGCGGATCATGGTTCTTTCCTCCCTCGAAAAGAGAATACTGAAGATGGACATTAACTCAGCCCAAGTGTATACTTGTGGTCCTAAAAATTGGTCAATTTGATCCGTGACCCCAAAAGGATCATCTAATAGTGGTTTAAGTTCCCTCTTCAGGTTTCTGACCTCTAAACTAGTTAAGGGGGCATTTACAAAGCCAATTCCCATTCCTCCACGTGGCACTTCTCTTAAGGGAAAAAGGGTTGGGGCAGACTCCTTTTAGGAGAGGAAAGGGAAGTTGTGAGTGTCCCTGTGGCATTGTTCTATTTCTCGTTGGAGCTTCTCTGAGGGAGGGGCATGTTTGGGCGACTACTCCATAGGAATGTGGGGTGACGGGGCCCGCAGGGCAGGGTTATATGGTGGAGGGACTGAGTGTTCAGCTTGGGGCAGAGCGGTGGGTGGGGGAAGGTTGTCTAAAGGGTCCCATGTGGTGTTAGACTGCTTGGGGGTAGGGATTCTGTTTTCAGGGGAGGTAGCTTTTGGCTTATTTCCTGTAGCTTTTAGGGGGTAGAGGAGGACAGGCCCCTGCCGCCAGCACAGGGCATAGTCTATTTCCTCCTGGGAGACAGGACTTTTGTCATTGACATATTCTATTAGAAGTTGACAAATCCAATCCTCATTTGACCCAAACTGGCCAAAAAAAAAAGCAAACTGAGGGTTCAAGGGTGGGTTCTTTGGTCCAAATAAAACAACAATATTTTATCATTTGTTGCTTTTTCTAATGTTTAGTCCTTTCATTACCCTTACAGTATTTTAACATGAGACCTGGAGGGCTATTAGAGGGAATTTTATTGTCTGTCTAGTCCTTTATATTTCCTGTCCTGCTTGGGTTATTTCCCATCCTGGAAGTTTTAGGTGTTTCCCTGAGTTTCCTGCATGTGTGGGGCTAAACCTCTCTTACTAGAGATTTCTTGCACCCTTTCTCTGGAGGCTCAACCACCCCACTGGAGGTTTCTTGCACTCCTTTGCCTTCCCTTCATCCTTCTTGGGCCGCTTCCCTCATGGGAATTTAGGTCCCTCTTAGCATTGGTGGGTTGGTATAAACCCCCGACAGGAAAGGCGTGCCCCACCTTAAGCTGTATGAGGTGACCACAGAACTGCAAATCTGGACTCCACACTTGCTTCAGACTTAATTCTGCATCTCATTCACACACTTTCAACTTCCAGGGTGTCCTGACCACCAAGGAAGTACTTCACTGCCCCATGGATTTTCTTACATTGGTCTGTGCACAGTTACTGGGTCGCCACAGTATCAGTAGGCCCTTTCCTCCTGCGTTGCTGAGAGTCTGGGTTTATTCGTCACACCAGGTGGGTCTCGATCCCTCACCCCTGAGGCCACTGCAACAAGGCAGTGGGACACATCTCCTCACAAGAGATGATCAGAGACCCTTCCCCAGAGGAGAATGGGATCCTGGACGATCCCTCAAATTGTTAGAGACAAGTGCTCAGTGCCACAAAGAAAAACCAGCACTTAGAAAGTTTCTCAGCAAGACACATTTACTTCTGCAGAAGGGTGCTACCTGCACCTGTCCGATCACAAGAACACACTGAGCAGGGTAGGGCAGGGGTTTTTATCCCTAACACAGTTCCTGTGTCCTTTCCCCCATTGGGTGGAGTTGGACCACACAGTCTAAGCTGACCCGATTGGCTAGTGTTTGAAATTGAATAAGGTCAATTAGGCGAGAAGGGAGAGGCTGTCCATTACCAACTAGTTGGGAAGGGTTGTTTACAGAGTCAGAGATTTGCTAGTTATAGATTAAGCAGAGAAACAAGTGTTCATTACAGATTAAGCAGGAAGGGCTTGTGTACAGAGCAAGAAAGACCAAGCAAGCTTTGAAGAGGAACTTATTGTTTCTGGCACAAATAATCACAATGGGTGGTAGGTCAACTTTTAGGTGGTGAAAATGGTTTTCAAAAGACTTTATAGAGGTGGTGAGTTTCTTCTGATTCTTAAAAGATTATTAGGAGTTTTCCAGATAGTCAAAGGGCATGATAGCTCGTGCACAGATGTGGAGGTGTGAAGTGGAGCACAATGTCTTCAGAGACCTGCAGTACCAGTACTTTGATTTTAGATTGGTGTAAGAATGCCAAAAACATCACTTTGGGAAGAAATTTTGAGGAAAACATTGTCATATAAGTTTGACTTCCATCTTAGGCTGGAGCCATGGGATGTGACCACTTTAGCATATGGTCCTGAAAATACCATAGTGGAGAAGGCAAAGAGTGGAAGTGAGCTGCAGCTAGGTAAAAAGGTTCCAACAGTGCTTTACTATTGATACTGTGGAACACCTTTATGAGGTTAGATAAAAACTATAGGGATGCTTATTATGAATGTGGTGTTTTTTTCAATAATTGAGATGAATTGAGGTGTTCCATTAAGCCATCAAAAATCCCATAAGGGTAGATTTAGAAGTAGCATCTCTTCTTGATCATGGGATTTTTTTTTTTTTTTTAAGCAAAATTTGTTCTCCATTGCATTAGTTCGTTAGGGCCATACCAAAATACTACGGACTGGATAGCTTAAAGAATAGAAATTACGTTCTCACAATTCTGGTGCCTGGAAGTCCAAGATCAAGATGTCAGCAGGTTCGGTTTCTTTCTTCTCTTCGCTTGTAGATAGCTGCCTCTTGCCATATCCTCACATGGTCTTTTCTCTGTGTTTATCTATGTCCACATCTCATCTTTTTGTAAGGATACCAGTCATATTGGATTAGAAGTCACAGTAATGGCCTCCTTTTAACTTACCTCTTTAAAGACCCTATCTCCAAATACAGTCACATGCTGAGGAAATAGAGTTTAGGGCTTCAGCATATGAATTTGGGGGTCAGACACTGCAGCTTATAACACCCATGTTTCAAAACTTATTATATTAAGAGTTGGGTTTTTGGGGGGTTGTCACCAGAGAAAAACAGGCTAGAAGAGCTGCAATATCAGCAGGTAGCAGTGTTGTAGGCCAAAGTCATGTGGGACCCCTGTGGGTGCTGGGCTTGCTTTTAAAGTGCCATCTCTGAGTTCTTAGTGGCTTGGGTCTGTGCATACAGAAAGCCTTTGGGTAGTATAGCTTAACTCCTTGTGTGTTCTCATAAATTAATGCTGAAAATAGAGACTAAGAAGTAAAGAAACCAAAGTGTAAAGGCCATGTGAGCATCACAAGGGAGATAATTTCATAACTTTTATAACTCTGAATTTATTCTAGTGATGAACAAACCATATCCCTCTTTTACTATTTAACCCCCCCCCCCCTTTTTGATTGGGCTGAGTTAAACAGTGTTGGCATTCTCCTTATCAAAACATTTGGATACCAAAGAACTGTTTTAAAATGCCTGAATCTTCTCCTTGGAGGCAAGAAATTGTTTTCTGTAGAAGGATTGTATTTTGATTTTTCTGTTGTTTTTGCCACAAAGAGGGTGGAGGGATAGGTTTTTTCTTTCTTGTTTAAGGAAGTCTTTTAAGGAAGTGCTTTTACATAGTCACTTCTTAAATTATTTCTTAAATTGAGTTTTGGAGGGGCACGTTTTAGATACCTGAGAACTGGAAATCTTTGATTTCAGTGTAATAGTATTTATTATAATGGTATGTGTCACAGAGTTTGTACTAAGGTATGTTAGCTCACACCCTCTGGTGTTAGACCCAGCCTAATGTAAAACAGGGAATCTTGGGAAGTCATGGCATCCCCGGGTGTTCTCATGTTGCATCCCTGCTAATGCCAGTGCTGTTCCATTGCCTTTTTGTTCCTTCCCTTAGTCATGGACTTCTTGACCACTAATTAGATTTTGCCAGGATAGTCTAGGTCAGAAGCAGGCATTTTTAAATCTTTGAACAGCAGCAAATGTAGTGTGCATGGTAGCTCCAGTTTCTATTTGTATGAATATGTGTACTCGTTGTCTTTAAATGAAGTACTACTATTGTGTCATTGTTAATACTTTTAAAAAGGAGTAAATTAATTGTTTGAAATGGATCATAGTTCAAAAGTATATCTAGATTTTACTTATTTTTGAGGAAAACTATCTTTCTCAAAAGACTCTCGTTTAAGACAGTAAACATTACCTATTACTCCAGCAAATTAAATGTGTTAACTTTCCAAGTTTTTCTATTTTGTTTTCTGCCATTTCATTCTACTCTACACTTAGATTTGACTTTACCCACTTTTCTTGTGTGTGTGGTTCATGTCCTTTTTTTAAAAAAAAGAAATTAGGTAGAGAATACCACTTACAAAAGTTTTTTTTGTTTTGTTTTGTTTTTTAAACCATGAAAATGCTGATAGTACTCAAAAGCTTTGGATATTGGGAACCTGTGACCATTGGACTCACGGGAGTCTGATTTGAAATTCTTTTTTTTTGTTTGTTTGATACAGAGTCTCACTCTGTCGCCCAGGCTGGAGTGCAGCGGCACGATCTCGGCTCACTACAAGCTCTGCCTCCTGGGTTCACGCCATTCTCTTGCCTCTGCCTCCTGAGTAGCTGGGACTACAGGCACACGCCACCACACCTGGCTAATTTTTTGTATTTTTAGTAGAGACGGGGTTTCACTGTCTTAGCCAGGATGGTCTTGATCTCCTGACCTTGTGATCTGCCTGCCTTGGCCTCCCAGAGGGCTGCGATTACAGGCGTGAGCCACTGCGCCCAGCCTTGAAATTCTTTATACCTTAGTGGAGTGGTCTGTATGTTTTATCGGCACCTTCCATCTGTGAAAATCCTTGAATGGTTGCAGCCGTATTTTCTAGACATGTCTACTGGCTTTGTTTTTTCTTTTGATTTGGAGTTTCATTCTTGTTGCCCAGGCTGGAGTGCAATGGTGCAATCTTGGCTTACCACAACCTCCGCCTCCCGGGTTCAAGTGATTCTCCTGCCTCAGCCTCCCGAATAGCTGGTATTATAGGCACACGCTACCATGCCCAGCTAATTTTTTTTATTTTTTAGTAGAGACGGAGTTTCTTCATGTTGGCCAGGCTGGTCTTGAACTCTCGACCTCAAGTGATCTGCCCACCTTGGCCTCCCAATCTCCTGGCTTTCTTTTATATATATATGTATATATATATGTGTGTGTGTGTGTGTGTGTGTGTGTGTATATATATATATATGTAAAATTATACTTTAAGTTCTAGGGTACATGTGCACATTGTGCAGGTTTGTTACATAGGTATACATGTGCCATGTTGGTGTGCTGTACCCATTAACTCGTCATTTACATTAGGTATATCTCCTAATGCTATCCCTCCCCCCTCCCCCCACCCCACAACAGGCCCCGGTGTGTGATGTTCCCCTTCCTGTGTCCAAGTGTTCTCATTGTTCAATTCCCACCTATGAGTGAGAACATGCAGCATTTGGTTTTTTGTCCCTGCAATAGTTTGCTGAGAATGATGCTTTCCAGCTTCATCCATGTCCCTACAAAGGACATGAACTCATCATTTTTTTATGGCTGCATAGTATTCCATGGTGTATATGTGCCACATTTTCTTAATCCAGTCTATCATTGTTGGACATTTGGGTTGGTTCCAAATCTTTGCTATTGTGAATAGTGCTGCAGTAAACATACGTGTGCATGTGTCTTTATAGCAGCATGATTTATAATCCTTTGGGTATATACCCAGTAATGGGATGGGTGGGTCAAATGGTATTTCTAGTTCTAGATCCCTGAGGAATCGCCACACTGTCTTCCGCAATGGTTGAACCAGTTTACAGTCCCACCAACAGTGTAAAAGTGTTCCTATTTCTCCACATCCTCTCCAGCACCTGTTATTTCCTGTCTTTTTAATGATCGCCATTCTAACTGGTGTGAGATGGTATCTCATTGTGGTTTTGATTTGCATTTCTCTGATGGCCAGTGATGATGAGCATTTTTTCATGAGTCTTTTGGCTGCATAAATGTCTTCTTTTGAGAAATGTCTGTTCATATCCTTTGCCCACTTGTTGATGGGGTTGTTTTTTTCTTGTAAATTTGTTAGAGTTCTTTGTAGATTCTGGATATTAGCCCTTTGTCAGATGAGTAGATTGTAAAAATTTTCTCCCATTCTGTGGGTGCCTGTTCACTCTGATGGTAGTTTCTTTTGCTGTGCAGAAGCTCTTTAGTTTAATTACTTCCCATTTGTCAATTTTGGCTTTTGTTGCCATTGCTTTTGGTGTTTTAGACATGAAGTTCTTGCCCATGCCTGTGTCCTGCATGGTATTGCCTAGGTTTTCTTCTAGCGTTTTTATGGTTTTAGGTCTAACATGTAAGTCTTTAATCCATCTTGAATTCGTATTTGTATAAGGTGTAAAGAAGGGATCGAACTTCAGCTTTCTACATATGGCTAGCCAGTTTTCCCAGCACCATTTATTAAATAGGGAATCCTTTCCCCATTTCTTGTTTTTGTCAGGTTTGTCAAACATCAGATGGTTGTAGATGTGTGGTATTACTTCTGAGGGCTCTGTTCTGTTCCATTGGTCTATATCTCTGTTTTGTACCCGTACCATGCTGTTTTGGTTACTGTAGCCTTGTAGTATAGTTTGAAGTCAGGTAGCGTGATGCCTCCAGCTTTGTTCTTTTGGCTTAGGATTGACTTGGCAATGCGGACTCTTTTTTGGTTCCATATGAACTTTAAAGTAGTTTTTTCCAATTCTGTGAAGAAAGTGATAGCTTGATGGGGATGGCATTGAAGCTATAAATTACCTTGGGCAGTATGGCCATTTTCACGATATTGATTCTTCCTATCCATGAGCATGGAATGTTCTTCCATTTGTTTGTGTCCTCTTTTATTTCGTTGAGCAGTGATTTGTAGTTCTCCTTGAAGAGGTACTTCACATTCCTTGTAAGTTGGATTCCTAGGTATTTTATTCTGTTTGAATCAATTGTGAATGGGAGTTCACTCATAATTTGGCTCTCTGTTTGCCTGTTATTGGTGTATAAGAATGCTTGTGATTTTTGCACATTGATTTTCTATCCTGCGACTTTGCTGAAGTTGCTTATCAGCTTAAGGAGATTTTGGACTGAGATGATGGGGTTTTCTAAATATACAATCACGTCATCTGCAAACAGGGACGGTTTGACTTCCTCTTTTCCTAATTGAATACCCTTTATTTCTTTCTCCTGCCTGATTGCCCTGGCCAGAACTTCCAACACTATGTTGAATAGGAGTGGTGAGAGAGGGCATCCCTGTCTTGTGCCAGTTTTCAAAGGGAATGCTTCCAGTTTTTGCCCATTCAGTATGATATTGGCTGTGGGTTTGTCATAAATAGCTCTTAGTATTTTGAGATATGTCCCATCAATACCTAATTTGTTGAGAGTTTTTAGCATGAAGGGCTGTTGAATTTTGTCGAAGACCTTTTCTGCATCTATTGAGATAATCATGTGGTTTTTGTCTTTGGTTCTGTTTATATGCCAGATTACGTTTATTGATTTGCGTATGTTGAACCAGCCTTGCATCCCAGGGATGAAGCCCACTTGATCATGGTGGATAAGCTTTTTGATGTGCTGCTGGATTCGGTTTGCCAGTATTTTATTGAGGATTTTTGCATCGATGTTCATCAGGGATATTGGTCTAAAATTCTCTTTTTTTGTTGTGTCTCTTTTCCTGGCTTTCTTAAGAATCCCCCCAATCACCTTTTGATTAGAAATATTTCAACAAAATAATTTTAGACCATATCCTATAAGGGGAGAAAGGGGAGATCAGGGTCCTTAGATGACATTGCATTAGAGAGTGGGAGCTAGAGTAGCATGTCTTTGGTCCTAGAAAATTTTCTTGCTCTCTCTGTTTAGTTAGACTCTTTTAGTTTGCAGGGTACAAAGATTTAGGCCTAACTAGCTTAGAGAAGTGGTGTGGAGTAGTGTAGGAGACTGAATCATTGGTCTCAATTCCTCACTCTCCTGTAGTAGTTTTCTACGTCTTTACCCTGCCATAACCTCATGTGAGATGGGTTTTTGTACCTGCCTCTTCATTTTGGGCATGGGTATATGACTTACCTTGGCCCAGTGGGATGTTAGTGGACAAGACAAAAGCAGAGGTTAGTAGTATGCTTGGGCTGATGGGCTTATCCTCTAGTGCCTCTGTCATGACTATGAGAAGAAAAACCCTGAATTGCCACAGCCTCTTCAGCCTGTTTCTCATTGTGAGACCATACAGCAGAGCCACCTGAGCCGACCTGAACTTAAAGCAGTGCCAGCGCAACTCAGATGCCTGAGTGAAAATAAAATTCTTATTGTTGTATGACACTGAGATTTTGTGGTCTGTTGTTCAGCGTTATTGTGGCAATAGATGATGACTAACACATTTATCCTGCTGGATCCAGGACAACTCCAGGGGCTTTCATAAGCAGGTTTTCTTGGATAGTCTCTCTAGGATTTTGCCATTTACACCACTCCCTATGGGTCAGCCTCACCCTTCTTTTCCCACCTACTGGCTTCCTCATCCTACCTGCTGCTACCTGCCTCTACTTTATAGCTTCTGCTTGCTTATACACTATGCTCCCTCTTACTTTTTCCATGCCCAAGGTCCCTCCCTCATGGCTCCTCCAGGGTCTCTGAATTTCATGACTTCTCAGCGTTTACTCCTATTGCTTAATGCTTTATTCTTTTGGTACATTCCATTTCAAATTTGAGAGAGTCTATTTTGCCCAGCAGGGTTTTTTTGGGTTTTTTTTGGTTTGTTTTTCACTACAGAAATGTCATCAGTTGCTGGCCTGTTCAGGCATTGACTGCTCTTGGGTTAGGCAGTCCAACTCTGGTCAGTTAGATGTGTCACTGCGTTATTAATAGGAGGCTATCCTTTGTACACGTTAGTGTCATTATGACTTACTTTGGGAAGTGAGTATTAAAGCTTGTCAGTTTTCAGTGTGATCAGTTCCCCACTTACCAGAGAGAACTTTACTTTTGCAAGCTTTTAATTTTCTGAGGCTGCATACCATTTTTTTGTTTCCTAGTTCCAAGATACTAACCTTATGGTGTGAACTCTTGGGATGAACCTTTGTCAATGAAAAGCATGAGAGAAGAGACCCTCTACTGAAAGGAAAGCTGATTCATCTGAAAGGCTTGCTAATTATTCCAAAATCCTGAATAAGCTGACTTATTCTCTTATCAACTCCAAAGAGAAGAATAAAATAAGTCAGCTCATTTGGAAGGTTTAGGCTACTTAGGCTATCAGATAGTATTTCTGTAACAGAAGAGATTGGCCAATTTAAAGTTAGTTTATAACAATTACAAGGCTATGCTTAATTAGAGTTGTCTCTAAGTATTTCTCTAAGTATGTTTTTTGGACACTATTTTAAATGGTACTTTAAAAAATGTTAATTTGCAATTGTTTCTTGATAGTATGTTGAAATGTAATTGATTTTTATATGTCAATCTTATAGCCTATGACCTTATTAAATTATAGTTCTAGAAGCTCTTTTTATAGATTCTTTGGAATTTTCTATGTTATGATTAGTTATGTCAAGTGCAAATAACCATTTTATTTCTTCCTGTTTACTCTTTATGGCTTCTGTTCCTTTTTCTTGTCTTATTGCACTGGCTAGGATTCCTCCTCCTCACATGATATTGAGTCAGTGTGATGAAATTAGATGTCTTTGTGTTGTTCCTGAATTTAAGGGAAAATAATTCATTCACATTAACTATACGTTTTTTGTCAATGCCTTTTATCAAGTTGAGGAAGTTACCTTTTGTTCCAAATTTGCTGAGAGTTTTTATCATAAATGGATTTTGAATTTTGTTACATGCTTTTTGTGTATCACGATGACCATGGGGTTTTTCCTTTGGTCTGTTGATACGGTGAATTATATTGACTGATGTTTTTGAGGATTGACTCACTCTTGCATTCCTAGGATAAATCTCACTTGATCTTGATGTATTATTGTTACCAGCAGGTCTTTGTTCTTAGAGCTCCCAAGATGGTGGTGGGCCGCTCCCAAGATGGCAGCAAGCCTTTTGTTCTCTGACCTGGGGTTCTTGGCCTCACAGATTCTAAGGAATGGAACCTTGGCCCACGCAGTGAGTTCTATAGCTCTGTTAGAAGCCATGGGTCACGGAAGAGAACCGTGGAACCCAGAGACTAGCATTCAGCTCGATTAGGATGAATCCAGGCACTTAGCTGTGCAGGAACAATGGTGAGCCTCTAGCCCGATCAGGAGTGGCAATGGGCACCTCGCTGGATCAGAAGCACAGCGGACACCCTGCCGGATCCGGAGGGGTGAAAGTCAACGGCGGGTCTTGTGACGGCGTTCAGCAGTAGTTGACAGGGAGCGAAAGCTCAGCTTGAGCCGGAACAAACACGGACCAGAAGAGTGTGCAGTTGCAAGATTTAATAAGAGTGAAAACAGAGCTCCCATACAATGGGAGGGGACCCAAAGGGGGTTGCCACTACCTGCTCAAATGCCTGGGTTTATATCCCAGTCATTGTCCCTCCTCCTGTGCTCTCAGGCGATATATGATTTGACTATTTCTTTACCTCCTGCTTTTAGCCTAATTTGTATTTTAGTGAGCCCTCTTTACTACCTGATTGGTCAGGTGTGAGCTGAGTTATAAGCCCCGTGTTTAAAGGTGGGTGCAGTCCCCTTCCCAGCTAGGCTTAGGAATTCTTAGTCGGCCTAGGAAATCCAGCTAGTCCTGTCTCTCATTATCTTTTTTATATATTGCAGGATTCAATTTGCTGGTACTTTGTTAAGGAGTTTAATGTCACTTGTTTTGATCTTTGTCTTTGGTTGATGGTTTCTTGTATTTGCTGCGTTTGATGTCAAGGTAATGCTGGCCTCATGAAATGAGGTGGGAAGTGTCCCCTCCTTTTCTCTTTTCTGGAAGAGTTTATGTAAAATTGATATTATTTCTTCCTTAAATACAGTAAAATTCACCAGCGAAGTCATCTGCGCCTGGAGTTCTCTTTGTTGGAAGGCGTTTAACTGTAAATTTACCATCTTTCATAGGTAAAGGACTGTTCAAATTCTCTGTTTCTTTTTTTTTTTTTTTTTTTTGGTGAGACGGAGTTTCACTCTTGTTGCCAAGGCTGGAGTGCAATGGTGCGATCTTGGCTCACTGCAACCTCTTGGCTCACTGCAACCAGGTTCAAGCAATTCTCCTGCCTCAGCCTCCCGAGTAGCTGGGATTACAGGAATGCTCCCCACGCCTGGCTAATTTTGTATTTTTAGTAAAGACGGTTTCTCCATGTTGGTCAGGCTGGTCTTGAACTCCCAACCTCAGGTGATCCGCCTGCCTCGGCCTCCCAAAGTGCTGGGATTACAGGCGTGAGCCACCACACCTGGCTACTCTATATCTTCTTGAGTGAGCTTCGGTAGCTTTCACTTTTGTGGAGTTATTCAACTTATCTAAGTTCAAATTTATATACAGAAATTTGCTAATAATATTCCATTATTTTCCTTTAATGTATACCTCATGATGTCTCCTCTTTGAGTCCTAATACTGGTAAATTGTGTCTTTTTCCTTTTTTTACTTGATCATTCTACTTAGAGGTTTATAAAAAACTCGCTTTGGTTTCTTTCCTTTTCACGACTTATTTTTCTGTTCTTAATTTCATTGATTTTCGTTCATTATGATTTCTTCTGCTTCCTTTGGGTTTAATTTGGTCTCCAATTTTAGTTTCTTAGGTGGAAGTTTAATTGATTTGAGGTCTTTCTTCTTCCCTAATACAAGCTTTAATGCTATAAACTTTTGTCTAAGCACTGTTTAAGTTGCATTCTGTAAATTTTCATGTTGTTTTGATTTTGATTCTATTCCAAGTATTTTCTGGTTTCCCTTGTTACTTCCTTTTTGATCCATGTATTGTCTAGAAATGTGTTTTATTTTTATTTATGGATTTTCCTGATATCTTTCTGTTAATTTCAAATTTAATTTTTTTGTAGTTGGATAATATAATTTTAATTCTTTCAAATTTGTTGAGGTTTGTTTTATGGCCAAGAATATAGGCTGTATTGGTGAACGTTCCATGTTCACTTGAAAAGAATGTATATTCTGCTCTTGTAGGGTGAGGTGTTCTGTAAATGTTAATTAGGTAAAGTTGGTTGTAGTGTTATTGGTATCTTCTAGATAGAAATTTTTTTCTACACACTATGGATTACCAGAAGTGGAGTGTTAAGTCCACTGTTAATTATGGATATGTGTATTTCTCCTTACAATTCTGTGAATTCTTACATCGTATGCTGTTAAGCTCTGATGTCAGGTGCATACATATTAAGGATCGTTATATCTTTTCGATGAATTAACTCATCATTATGTGATGTCTCTCTATTGCTTTCAATATTTATTTCAAATCTACTTTGTGTAAATTTATGTAACCTCTCTAGCTTTCTTTTGATTAGTATGTGCTTGGTATCTTTTTCCATCATTTTACTTGTAACCTATCTATGTTTTTAAAATGGATTTCTTATAGAAACATATAACTGGGTATTGTGATAATCTCAGCCTTTTAACTGGTATGTATAGACTGTTTACATTTAACATAATTATTAATATGGTTGAATTTAAGTCTGTTATCTTGCCAGTTGATTTCTATTTGTCTCTAACCTGTTTCCCCTTTCCTCTTTATTCCTGCTTTTAGATTGAGGGTTTTTTAAAATTCAATTTTATCTCTATTATTGATGTATTAGTTATACCTTTTTATAAAAATTTAGTGATTGTCCTTGGATTTACAAGATACATCACAACCTACCTTCCCATATTATACTACTTCTCATATAGTATGAGATCCTAACAATACAGTATATTTCCAGTTTTTCCTCTTCATCCTATATGATATTGTCATACATCTTACTTTTATATTTTTTATAATCTCTACAATACACTGCTACTGTTTTTGCTTTAGGCAGTTATCTTTCAGAATGATTAAAAATGTGAAAAAAAGATCTCGCATTGACTTCTGTTTTTGCCATTTCTGGAGGTATCCACTTCTTCATGTAGGTCCTCATTTTTGTTCAGTGTCATATACCTTCTACTTAAAGAACTTCGTTTACCATTTCTTGTAGTGCAGGTATGCCGACATTGAATTATCTTAACTTTTAATTATCTGAAAACTGGTTGTTTTGCTTTCATTTTGGGGAGATATTTCTGCGTTGTGAGGTGTGTTTTTTTTTTCCTTCATTACTTTAAAGAATTACTCCATTGTCCTCTGGATTGCAAAAAATCTGATGAGTAGTCTGGTGAATTTTTTATTTTAATTTTCTTCTTCCAAGGTAATGTCTTTTTCCTCCCTCTGGCTGCATTTAAGATTTTCTGTTTAACTTTGATTTTTAGCTATTTAACTGTGAAGTGTCTCAATGTGTGTTCTTTATTGTATTTATTATATTTATTTGTGTGCTTGTTTATATTTATTCTGTAGGGTTCTCTGGGCTTCTTGGAGCTGTGATTTGATGACTTTATTTTTGGAGAATTCTTAGCCTTTTTTTCCCCCCTGCCAAATACTGTTTCTGCGTCAGTCCCTCTATCCCCTTCTGCCATCTGGGACTCCAGTTACATGTATATGATGCCATTGATCATATCCCACAGCTCTCCAGCCTTCTTTCTGTGTTTCCCTCCACTTCTTTTTCCCCGTTTTTGTTGCAGTTTGGGTGATTTCTAGTGACCTATCTTCAAGTTCGATTACTTCCTTGACTGTGTAGAGTGTTCTTATGAGCCCATCAAAGGAACTTTTAAATCTCTGATGACTTAAAAAAATTATACCATTTCCATTTGATTCTTTGTCACATATTTCATCTTTCTGTTGAAGTTTGCCATCTGTTCATACATATTGTCTACTAAATTTTTTAACATATCAATTGTTGTTATTTTAAATTTCCTCTCCAATACTTACAACATCTTGGTCATCTTTCTTAGTTTGGCTCTCTTGTTTGGTTTGTCTTTTGATATGGGTTCTTCCCTGCTTTTGCTTTTTCATATGCCTTATAGTTTTTGATCGACTGGTGGACATTACTGTAGAACAATAGAGACTGAGATGGACATTAAATATTTATGTTGAGACTACTACTGTTACATTGGTATTGGGGTTTGCAGGGAGTCATATTTGTGCATATAGAATATTCAGCACCTGTTACAGGATTTGGAGTATGACTTTACTATTTTCAATTATTATAAAGTTTCACATTTCCATATTGTTTCCTTTTATAATACCCTAAAGATTTATGTTATCAAGAATTTCCCCTTGGAATTGCCTACTCCTTTATTTCTACTCACCGTGTCCGAAACTCTTCCTTAGTTATATCAGCTCTTGCATCAAATGACATTTGTTAGCAGATTTGTCTTTCTCATGAGACTGATTTCTTAAAAGCAGGTAGTGTTTTGTTAGTATTTGGATATGTAGATTCTTTAACTACATTTTAGGTGTAGGTTTTTTTTTTAAGTAATTGAATTGAGTTGAGATTATTTAATGATTTTTAGTCCTTAGAAACCCACACTGCCCCTCCCACCAACAGTTTTTGGGAAGATTGTCTCTGTGTTTCCACAGTCAACTGTGATGTATCTTAAAAATGCACTCAAGTAAGAAGTGAGGGCTGGCCATGGATGAATTTGTGAGGAAGTTGCTTTTATACAGAGAAGACATACATTTTCTCTCCTAGTTATCCATGTATGTTTTGTGTCCCTACCTTGACAATAAGGTTTTGAGGGAATAGCTGTCTTCTGCTTCTCCAGTATTCCCTTTACTACTAGCACAATGCTGGCTATACAGCAGATGCTCATTAAATATTTCTTCACAGGATTTAATGTGACTAATGGATTTTAGAAGAAGGTACTAGTAGATTTACTTTTTCAGTTTGCTCCTTGAAAACTTCAAGTGGTGATAATGGTGATTTTTTTTTTTTTTTGAGATGGAGTCTCGCTCTGTCGTCAGGCTGGAGTACAGTGGCATGATCTCGGCTCACTGCAGCCTCCGCCTCCCTGAGTTCAAGCAATTCTCCTGCCTCAGCCTCCTGAGTAGCTGGGACTATAGGCACGCACCACCACACCCAGCTAATTTTTGTATTTTTAGTAGAGACAGGGTTTCACCATGTTGGCCAGGATGGTCTCGATCTCTTGACCTTGTGAACCGCCTACCTCGGCATCCCAGAGTGCTGGGATTACAGGTGTGAGCCACCGTGGTCAGCTGATAATGGTGATATTATTTCATTATGGCAGGCCTATCATGTGCAGCTAAGAATGTGGACTCAGCAACCAGACTGCCTGGATTTGAATCCTAGCTTAGCTACTTATTAGATCTGTTATCTTTGGCAAGTTACTTGACCGTCTTGTGCTTCAATGTCCTCATCTATACAATGGGAACAATAATAGTACCGTACCTATCTCATGGGATGATTATGATGATTAAGACAAAATGCAGTAAATGTTAGCTGCTGCATTCTACCTTAATTATTAACAGTGAATATTAGACAAATCCAATTTTAAGTTCTTAGAAGATAAGTTCTTTGAGTAGAAGGACTTTAACAGTGGAAAGCCATCTATCAGTGTGGATAAATATAACTACTACTTCTGTATTAATTAAGGAAGTAACCACCTTTGCTTGGAATATTAACAGCAGAAAGGGAGCAGAGCTGATTAATTTCAACTTTGCTAGCAATAATGTTGTCTCTTCTGTCTTACCTTAGGAACAATCTGCCCTATTCCTAGGGGAATAAGATCAATAGAGAAATAAATTTCCCAGATTAGCTTTCACTACAACCAAATGTACTTCATTTTATAGCTTATTTTGAATTGTATGTTAAAACTATATTCATTCTTACCTAAAGGTAAGACATCATTTATTGTTGTTTTTATAGTGTCTCCTTTTTACCATTATTGGCCAAAACATGTTCAATAGATGTATTTTTTGTTGTCTTTTCCTTTTTTTTTTTTTTTTTGAGACTGGGTTTCACTGTGTCACCCAGGCATAATCACGTCTCATTGCAACTTTGACCTCCCAGGCTTATGTAATCCTCCTGTCTCAGCCTTCCAAGTAGCTGGGACCACAGGCATGCACCACTACACCTGGGTTCTCTAATTTTTTATTTTTTTTTAGAGATGGGGCGTCCTTATGTTGCCCAGTATGGTCTTGATCTTCTGGGCTCAAGCCATCCTCAGCCTCCCTAAGTGCTAGGATTACAGGGGTGAGCCAATCAAGAGATGTGTAAAGCAAAGAAGGGAGTCACAGAAAGGTGAGTTTAGCCTGGTAAGACATATTTGGCAGACAGCTGTTGGGAAAATATTGTTAAGGTACAATATTTTGGATTCACTATTTTCTTTACCCAACAAGAAAGGATACAAAGGACAGTTACAGAGCAAAACATAAACACTCTTTGCATAGCTTTGGTGCCTGTATTGCCTGCTGAACCCCTTTATCAAAATAGTAGTTTATAGCATTCGAACAGTGCCATCTTCTATACATGTAGTAGACTGCTGTTTTCTTAAGTTTTGAAAGGAAATTGGTGATACACTTGACCTATGAATCTATGATATAGTCAGTTAATGTTTTAACTACACTGATACCAAGTATGAGGTGATAATAGCCTGACCTAAGTTGGGAATAGTGGAAATGGAGAAGAGATTGCTGTAAATGTACTTTAAAAAGCAAAACAAAACAAAAACCCAATTTTTTTCTTTTATTGTACTAAAGATTATTTCTTTGATTGTATAAAAATATATGAGTGTTGGAAAAGCTTGAAAAGTAGAAAGAGGCAAGCTGTTGAACTCTTAGAAATATATATATCATGTTTAAAAACATGTTTTAGTGGTCAGTTTCTTTGAATAATTTTCCTAAGGGTAAGGAGGTTGGAAAAGTTCAGTTTGGTATCAAGACATCTTGTTTATACTTTGATAATAGATTTTCATTGCTTAGTGGAAAGCACACCTCCATAGGAATGTGCAGAGAATTTCTGCTGACAAGGAGGTATGCTTAAAACATCTCACGTATAGTCTTTAGAGACCACTAGTATCAGATGTTTTTGTGTTTTACAGATGTAGGCCTTCTGCAGTTTTTCATGCCTCATGGACGGTGGCCAGACTTAGGACTGGTTATGAGTTCCTGTCTCTTGTTTCTTTTAGCCTTTTAAGATTTTTTTTTTTTTTTTTTGAGACAGAGTCTCACTCTGTCGCCCAGGCAGGAGTACAGTGTTGTGATCTTGGCTTACTGCAACCTCTACCTCCTGGGCTCAAGCACCTCTCCTGCCTCAGCCTCCTCAGTAGCTGGGATTACAGGCGTGAGCCACCACGCCCAGCTAATTTTTGTATTTTTAGTAGAGATGGGGTTTCCCGCCACTGTTGGTCGGGCTGGTCTCGAACTCCTGACCTCGTGATCAGCCCACCTCGGCGTCCCAAAGTGCTGGGATTACAGGCGTGAGTCACCACACCTGGCACTTTTTTTTTTTTTTTTTTTTTTTTGAGATGGAGTCTCGTTCTGTTGCCCAGGCTGGAGTGCAGTGGTACAATCTTGGCTCACTGCAACCTCTGCCACCCGGGTTCCAGCGATTCTCCTGCCTCAGCCTCCCGAGTAGCTGGGATCACAGGCACATGCCACCACACCCAGCTAATTTTTATATTTTTAGTAGAGATGGGGTTTCACCATGTTAGCCAGGCTGGTCTCGAACTCCTGACCTCAGGTGATCCACCTGCCTTGGCCTCCCAAAGTAGATTTTTTTTTTTTCTTTCTAATGGGGGCCTTGCTATGTTGTCTAGGTTGATATCCAGCTCCTGGGCTCAAGTGATCCTCCCACCTCAGCCTCCAAGTAGCTGGGATTACAGGTGTGCATCTCTGCACCCAGCAAGAAATTTTTTTTTATTATAGAAAATTTCTTTCTTTCTTTCTTTTTTTTTTTTTTGAGACGGAGTCTCACTTTGTCACTCTGTTGCCCGGGCTGTAGTGGAGTGTGGTGGTGCGATCTCGGCTCACTGCGACCTCCACCTCCTGGGTTTAAGTGATTTTCCCACCTCAGCCTCCCGAGTAGCTGGGATTATAGGCGCCTGCCCCTACGCCCAGCTAATTGGTTTGAACTTAACATTCCTTGGTGATTGTTACCTAAATAATTATTTCACTATTGCTACATTGTAAGAAGAGCAAACTTTCATCTTGTTAATAAGTAACACGGAAATTTTTTATTAAAAAACTTTTTTAAAAAACTGTGAGGAAATTCATTTATTCGCTATACACCATATCTTTTTATGTGATTATGCCTTGTAAAAGAGGTATCATTGTGATAAGAATGTTTAAAAGTTGTAGTTTGCTAAATTAAGTGCTCCTCTATTTGTTTTTGAATGTGTTATTTTTAAACAGTTTTATGGTAACAGATTTTGATCTAGAGTCGTGTTTCTGCATTATGCATTTGTGGTTTCTGGCTACATTGGGGGCGTGGGGGGCTTGCTCCTTCAATAAAGGAAAATAAAATTCTAAAGTTTATTTGGTTGAGGAGTATGAATCATGGTGAAGACTGAAATCCATATAGGTCATTTATTCTCACTGCTGTTATCACGTATTTTTTCTATAACCTAGGATGGCTGTTGTTTAAATATCAATATTTAACCTCATGTAGTGTTTTCTATGTGCCAGACACTGTACTTTGTAATTTGCATCTACTAATTTATTTAATCCTTATATGATTGTCATGTTTTGTAGATGGGAAAACTTGAGTTAAGGAGGTTAAGTGATTTGCTCTGGCTGTGTGGCTAACAACTAGCAAGGGCTAAGATGTGAACCCAGACAGTTGATTATAGAATTTGTACTCCAAGAGAGGGAGAGAATGGATTGTCTAGTGTCTCTATTACTAGAAAAATAACTGAAGTGTACTGACCCACTAGCCTTGGAAGATAATCTGTTTATTCAACATACAATAATCTACACATATATTTGTTTTGTTTATTGTGTTTGCTACACATATATTTATTTTGTTTACACATATGTGTAGTGTGTGTAGACACACACACACTACATGTCCACGTAAAGGAGCAAATGTTTAGCGCTTTCCCTTTGGAAAGTCCTTCTTAATGTATAACCTTTTTTTGAATCTTTTTACTTGACCTTAGAGCAGAAATAGCCCCCAGATTCTATAGGAGAATCTTTGAGGTCAGAGTAGATGGAAAAATCAAGAGAAACGTAGCAGACAGCTTGAGGTCACAGATTCACACAGGATACCACTCTGACCTTTGGACTCTATTTGCACTGAAGTTAAAGCTGCTTGTTACAAAGCGGCCACCCAGATAAATCTTAGCTATATATTTTCAGGCTATTTTTGGAGCAGAAAGCCAAATAGCTGGTATCCAATACCAAAGAAACAATTTTTCAAATTCTCCAAATCATGATAAATAGCGGCCACAAGTCTCTGTAGAACCAAGCCAGGAGATACTATAGAGACTCTCTCGTTCTAAGTTTATTTCTGCTGTCTCTTTGCTTAGTGATTTTTTGTTGTTGTTGAAGTAATGTATCTTATATTTTAACAAATTCTTAAATAATTCTCTTTCCTTCCTTTTCTGTCCCTCATTCTGTTTTTACTTTAGCATGTGTATTTATTCTACCAAATGTTAGTTCAGATGGGAGTTGTAGATAATTTGAGCAGGCATGTTTTTCACAAAAAAGTTAACCACCTTTCTCTTTCTCTGTTTTTATGTTTGGATGGTCCTTCTTTTGTGTTGGTCTGATAAGAGGTTAATCTGTGTGGGTGAGAACATGACTACATCCTCAAGAATCTGAACATTGTAATAACAATCTGATGGTTTGAATAGTTGGATGTTATTGATAGGGATAAAATGGAAAAAGATGAGGGAGCGTCCTCAGGTCTGGTGCTGACTGAGGTGTACTCATCTTGTGTGTTTGAGTCTGTGTTTGAAGTTTCTTTTTTTGCTGGGGGGAGACAGAGTCTTGCTCTGTCGCCCAGGCTGGAGTGCAGTGGTGCGATCTCAGCTCACTGCAACCTCTGCCTCCTGGGTTCAAGTGATTCTTGTGCCTCAGCCTGGGACTACAGGTGCATGCCACCACGCCCAGCTAATTTTTGTATTTTAGTAGAGGCAGGGTTTCACCATGTTGGCCAGGCTGGTCTCGAACTCCTGACCTCAGGTGATCTGCCCGCCTTGGCCTCCCAAAGTACCTGGATTACACATGTGAGCCACCACGCCTGGCCTGTGTTTGAAGTTTCAGGTGGCCTGTGCCAGTGGTAAAACTTAACAGTAAAGGCCTCAAGGGATTGATTCGCTACATATATAGTGGGGATGAGCTTAAAGACAACGTATTTCTTACTTTTACTTATTCTGTTTACAAATTCAAATATTGATGCTGTATATTATTTTGGTAATTATTATTACAGGGCTAATTTTCTTCATGTACAGAGAATTTCTTCAAGTACCTAACATGTTTTGGTAAAGATGTTTGTGTCTTCCTGCAAAAACATTTCCTGAATCATTTTCCTGACTTCTGTGCAGCTTTTCCTTTTTAGTAAATTTTGCTTGAAGAAAAAAAAAGAATTAATTTTTCCTCTATATTAAAAGAAGCTTTCTTTTTCATCTAGAGAATAAATAACTCAGTAAATAGAGATGATATTACTGTTTCTTCAAAATAATTCATTTCCCAAAGTTTTTTTTCATGGTATGTAGTTTTAGGGAATGAGTCATAGAATTATGGGATTTTATGGCATAGCATCTTTAGAAAAGGATTTTTTTTATTTTGGCTTCACTTTATAGTTGAAAAAGAGTTGATTCTTTAGTTTCATTAATGACTGTCCTGTATATCTTCTCATGTTGGTTGTTGAGTGAGGTGACCAGCTCCTCGGAGGGACAAACCATACAATGAAAGGGAGAAATTTGAGAAATGATTGGATTTGGTGTAGTGGAAATTCAAGATGAATATTATGTTGGACATATTAGCACAATTCTGGGTGCGTTAATGGTGTTTTTTGTTTTTTGTTTTTCTGTTGGGGTCGGTTCCAGTGTGGGGCTGAACTGTCCTCTGGAAGGTTGACTTCTCATGTCTGGTCTGTGTGAGTGGATGGGCCCTCCTTTGGCACCAGTCTCTTAAGTATGCAGTTGCAGCCAGTTGGTATTCACTTGGTATTTATGACATGAACCATAGCAGGTGCATATGTGAAGAAAGCTTGAGGTTTCTTTTCACAAAGTTATTGATGTTTGTATAAATATATATTTTTACTGGCCATCTTATTGTTACCGGTAGAGGGTGTCCAGGTTCTTGGTGTTTTGAACAAAGAATTGAACAAAATGTACAAAGCAAGGAAAGAATTGAACAAAATGTACAAACAAAGCAAGGAAAGAATGAAACAACAAAAGCAGAGATTTATTGAAAACGAAAGTACACTCCACAGGGTGGAAGCAGGCTGAGCATAGGGGCTCAAGGGACCTGTTACAAAACTTTCTGGGGTTTAAATACCCTCCAGAGGTTTCCCATTGATTACTTGATGTACACGCTATGTAAATGAAGTAGTGGCCTGCAATCAGAGGCTGAAGTGAAGTTACAAAGGTCACATTCCTATGCAAACACCTGATTGATTGGGGAAAGCAACCAATCAGAGGCTAAAGTGAAGTTACAAAGTTACACTCCTAGTCAAATGTCTGATCGGTTTTCCCTGGGCCACATGGAAAAGGAGGGGGCTTTGCAAAGGGTGTAGCCTTCGATCCTTTTGTTTGTATGGAAAGTTGGGGTTTTCCTTTGGCTTTAGCTGTAGGCGTGAATCGGCCTTAGGTTCCCTGCCTCAGGTTCCCTGCCTCCAGACCCTATTTTCCTACCTCATTATAAACTCTTTTTCTTGGTTCTCATGGTTTTGAAGTTATTTCTTAAGGGCTTACAAGATAAAACAGCCACATCATATATAAATAAGAATTTTGTGTTTTTCTTTCCAGTTTATATTACCTCATAATCGTTCTGCATATTCTTTAGACTCACTGATAGCTGGCATTTTTGTCTTGGTCCCAACTTGTTAACAGGAGTGCCTTTAGTATTTCATCATAAGGTTTGACTTGATTTTGATGAATATTTGTGAGGGTTCATACTACTTTAACCTGATAAAGTACCTTAGTTCAGCTTTGACTTTGTAAATTAAGGAGTATACAGAACATGGAAGGTTCAGGAGAGAGCAGAAAATGTATGAGTGACTAAATAATACCCAAGTAGAGGAGCTAGGAACCTGGTATATTTATCCCAGAGAAGAAAAAACTAGGGGATGATTTCATTATCTCCAAGTATAGGTAGGACCCATGCTGGCATTTTGGAGCTCCCACGTCATCTTTGAGAATGAAAAAACAGTTCACTTTTTTCCCTTGGTAAACTTTTTATTGAACAATAACATACAAAGAAGTACATAAAATTTACATTTTAGATGGTTTGCCTCTCCCTCTCCCCACCCCCTGTCCCTCTCTTCCTTCCTCCCCCACCCCCACTTCCCTTCCCTCTTCCTCTTTCCCTTTTCAGTGTAGTGATAGCTAAAAATAACATTTGCTTGCCTGAGGGCATTGCCGACCTGCATTTAGGAGAAAGTTAGATCCACTATTTATCTGAACATTGAGTGATGGGTCCTTGCTTTTACCCATGTGCTTATAAGGATCAGGAATCCACTCTTGCCCTTTTCCCTGTGGTCTCTAAAGGCCCAGAGCTGGGAGTTTGTTTGTTGGATCTGGGGGCTGCAGTAGCCCTTACCTGAATTGATTTCTCTAGAGCTGCCTTATGGTCAGAGACCCCTCCCGTGGTGAAATGTAGAGTGAACTACCCATGTTTTCTCTGTCTTCACTTCCAGTCCTTGCTTACTTTATGAAATAGATTGTCAAACTTTCATTGATATTATACAGTCTCTTAACTCGCATGGCTCTTAGGTTTTTAAAGCTTAGGTCTTGATGTTTGTTTTTGTTTTTTTCTTTTTGCATTGTTCTCCAGTTACTTGTGTGCTAGTGTTACCTTCCTTACTAGATCATAGGTCTTAACCCTCTTTCTTGGGTCACAGATATTTGTATCACTTACTCCTAATTTGGAACTTTCAGAATTTAGCCCTTCTTTGTCACTTGGTCTGGATGTTTACATGGTTTAATCACAATAATCTGCAATATTGTTTTCCCAGTTAGGGTTGTTGTGTAACATAATACATGGAGGCTAAAAATCATGGAATTTGAGAATTTAGGTTGCATAAAATGGGTAGTTCCAATGTCAAGATCTTCATTCATTCATCAGATAGTTACAGAGCACCTTCTGTGTGCCAGGCACTATACTAGGTAATGAAAGGTAGTGGCGAGTATGACACTGCCTCAAACTTCATAGAATTTAGAAGAGTTTAGTGAAATGTCCTTAATCTGTTCTAGATTGGTGGTAGTAGAATGGTCTTGGCCTGGTGCAGTGGCTCATGTCTGTAATCCCAGCACTTTGGGAGGCCGAGGCGGGTGGATCACGAGGTCAGGAAATCGAGACCATCCTGGCTAACATGGTGAAACCCCATCTCTACTAAAAATACAAAAAATTAGCTGGGCGTGGTGGCGGGCGACTGTAGTCCCAGCTACTCGGGAGGCTGAGGCAGGAGAATGACGTGAACCCGTGAGGCAGAGCTTGCAGTGAGCCGAGATCGTGCCACTGCACTCCAGCCTGGGCGACAGAGCAAGACTCAGTCTAAAAAAAAAAAGGGTCTTGAGCTTTAGAATTATACTGTCCCAAGTACAGATCTAAGCTCTCCTAGTTATTAAAGTTGAATAACTTCAGATAATTATTTATACTCTGAATGGGATAAGAGGACCTTTTTCCCAGGGTTAGGGTTCAGATTTAATTGGTAAAGGTGTGGTTGTAGCCCATTGGGTGGCAGAGGAGTTCCCTGCTTGCCTGGGCCAGAGTTAATACACAGTTGCTGGGCAAGCAAGAAACCAAACCTGATGGGTAGGCATGCAGAAGGGAGTTGGGTGCCGCTGTGGCTACAAGGTGCAGAGGCATGCAGAGTCCGCATTGGGAAGGCCCTGTTAAACAACGCTTTGGGTTCCAGATGAGCCAGGCCTGGTAGCTGGGCATGCAGAGGGAAGTGGTACATGGCATCCTTTTTAGGAGGGCTGCAGGAAACAACTCTCTGGGATACAAGCCAGCAGAGGCCATCAGGAGGCTATTGTGTGTGTGAGGCCTGGAGTCCCTGCTGTCCGTGTCTACAGGAGCACAGGAAGGTGGTCACCAGGCCTGGTGTCACTGAGGGACCATGTGCTTTGTGCTTTGTGCATGTGGTAGGCAGAACACTACCATATGTCCCCACATACTTACACTAGACCTTGGAGCAAGAGCAAGAACAGCAAAAGCACAGCGCTTTTGAACCCAAAAGACAAGCTCCCTTCTTCCTGCGTTGTCCCTCCAGCTGCCTCTGCTGACCAGGTTTAGCATCATGTGCTCTGTAAAGGAGGAATTCTGGAGAGTCCAGTCCATTATTACAGAGCTAGTACTGAAGGGTGAGTTTGGAGTTAAGAGGCAATAAATTGATAACTGGCACAGAAGCCAAATATAAGAGTATTGACTAAATAATAGCTAAGTACAAGAACACAGATTACATAATTCCACTTTTATAAGGCACAGGACAGGTAAAACTAATCTACATTGTTAGAAGTCAGGCTAGTGGTTACTTTTGGGGAAAAGCAGTATTGAAAGGAGTATGGATTTGTAGTGCTAATGTTCTGTTTCTGGATGGGGATGCTGGTTACACAGCTGTGTGCAGTTTGTGAAGAGCTGTGCTTTCTATTATAATGTCTATTATATTTCATTAAAATTTAAAATATGGTGTAACCTGATTCAAAAAGTAAAAGCTTTAAAACAAGATCCAGTCTAGAATAGAGGAAATATAATCCAGGGTATCTCATCCTTTTTTTTTTAATGTTTAAAAACCATATGAAGGTTGTCTAACTTAATGTCTAAAAATAGATATCTAATTCATTCAACAAAAATACTAATGGCCAAGGAGTTTGAGACCAGCCTGGCCAACATGATGAAACCCGTTTCTACTAAAAATATAAAAATTGGCCAGGTGTGTTGGCGGCACCTGTAGTCCCAGCTACTCGGAAGGCTGAGGCAGGAGAATCACTTGAACCGGGAGGTGGAGGGTGCAGTGAGCTGAGATCGTGCCATTGCAGTCCAGCATGGGCAACAGAGCAAGACTCTGTCTAAAAAAAAAAAAAAAAAAAAAATTAATGGCCAGACTTCCTTTCTTTTGGTATCAAATTGGTAACTCTGAAGCCGTCAGTAGAGCAACTTACACTTCTTCATTTTGCTGTCATTCTTCTTACCAAGACTTTAAGCAGCAACTTCTAAGCTTTTTTATGGCCTCACAGATACCTCTTTGTTCTTGGTCTAAATAAAATATCACTGCTGTCTTCTGTAAGCGTTGTCTTTGCTTTTATCTTTGTCATGATATATCCTTCTCACAGCTGACAAATCACCAGACCTTCTTTTTCTTCACTAAGAGATTTGGAATCCCACTGTAACTCCCATATAGGAGTTAATGATAACAACAACTGTAGACTTGTTTGGGAACTGGTGGTGATAGGAGAGACTCAGTGTGTAGCTTTTAAAAGCTTCAAGCAGAAGCAGCTCAGTACTGTTATTTGTTCAGGAGTAGGTAACTCTGAGAGCAGAAGCTAAGGAATCTACCAAGTTAGCAGTTGAATCTGGATCCAAGGGATGGATATGGAATCTAGAAAGAGTTCATGTTCACAGAAAACAGAGGTTGTTAAGAAACTCTGGCATTACACTGTGAACAGAATTTAGGGTGAATTTCAAAGTGGAGCCAGCTGCTTAAAGCTCAGTTGTTAAAGTGAGTCACATTAGTCTAATTCCACTTTTGTGGACAGAGCTTGATATCTCCCAGTATACAGCATATGAGGTTGTTTTGTGCTTTCAATAGCTGGTGGTATTCTTGTACATAGAGAGGATTTGGCCAGGGCAAGAGTTACTGCAAACATATCACAGAAGGCTGAGAATCTAGAATGACTGCCTTGTAAAAATTGTTTCCTTATAATCTTTAACCCTTAAGTCATTTGGGGGTGAAGGAAGAAAACAGCATAAGTGGTGAAATTAGCCAGTGGGCCCCTCATATATAAATTCATTCCACCTACTTGCCCAACTAGTATATGTGTACTGTACTTACATTATTGGTCTGTCCTAGATACTGAGTTCACAAAGGTGAATCTGGGCAGTTCCTTGGCCCTCTGAGTGTTATTATTTTATATTCCTCTCTTTGAGGGCTGCCTGCATCACTTGTCTGTGATACCCAGCTTTGCACCAACTCCTTGAGGATTTTGATGAGCCTTTAAGAATTGATACTTGGGTTTCATATTCAACCTAATGAGAGTTCACTGACTTTTAATTTATTTCATTTTATTATTAGTCTGGGCTTGTACTGCCACCAGTAAAGACTGTCATTTTCAAATTTAACATCTTGAGAAAAGGTGCCTATGATTGAAGATATGAGTCTCATTCTGCACATGTATTCTAGAGTGGCAGTTTGGAAATTTGTTGTACTCCAAACTGGTCATCTGTATCTAGAAAAACCTTAAATCATGCCATTGGAGCTGGTTCTCAGTGCTTGGACTGATGATGGAAGGGAACATTGGAACAGGTAACATAAATACAGTAGTCCCTCAGTGTCCATGGGGGATTGGTTCCAGGACACCCATCCCATGCCAAAATTTGAGGTTGCTCCAGTTCCTTATTTAAAATGGCATAGTAATTGCCTATAACCTACTCACATCCTCCCATATACTTTAAATCATCTCTGATACAGTATAAATGCTATATGTAAATAGTTGTTGTACTGTATTTTAAAAAGTTGTATTTTTATATTTTTAAAAATTTTATATTTTAATTGCCTTATTGTTATTAAATATTTTTGATCTTTAATTCTGAGGATGTGGAGGGCTGACTGTATATGCAGGAGGTGATACATGGTAAGAAGTTAAGTTTATGTTATAAAATGGTTACTTTTTGATCTGGATATTGGTACTGTTTACCAAGAAACAAACAGGCTTTATTCTGTGATTCTTGTGCTCATTCTGGGCATGAATTCTGTCATCTCTCAGACCAGTCCCCCTAAAGTAGTGCCCCATGCCAATCTGAAAACTTCACTTTTAGGCAAACAACTAGTTTTATTTAGGTATTAGAAGTTAGTAGTGGTTTGCTAATATAGTATGAGTTTAAAGTAGGTGACCAAGTCTGTACCAATTTGTAGGCAAATTAAATGAATCACATATGGTGTAGATGGTGTTAACAGATTTTTGTGGATGGGCTTAAGTTGGCCTAAAGTGGCCTCCTAAATATTCTGCTTATTGCCTGCAGTTTCTGCTTTTAGTGTACTACAACCAGATTGGGAGAACCAGGACATTTTTTGTTTGGCAGGAGGATCCTATTGCTAGCCACCTGCCTCATCATTCACCCAGAGCTTTCTGTTTGCTTTTGCAAGGAGAACTTTTTCCATACCTCTTGGTCACCTCATGCCATGTCCTGCTCTATGTATTTTCCCCAACAGACTAGTTTTGTGTTTACCTCAGTACTCCCTCCCTCTTAGGCTTCTAGGAAGGAGGAATTGGAAGTGGGAGGGGATTAAGAACTGATACTCATCTTTGAAAAATCCAGAGTTTGAAAAACATTCTCAATTTATATTAAACAAAAATTCTCAGACCCTAAGGAAAGTGCAGGAGGTGCCAGAGTTGAACAGCTCTTAGGAGGCAGAAATGACTGTGGAAGCCATCAGGGTGCAGCATCCTTCTTGGTTTGCAAAGGTAATTTGATGTAGGATGTGGAAGTAGGTTTTAGCATTTCATCCATAAAACCTGAATGGAAGGAATTTGTGTCAGATTCAGAATCCATTATGTGTCTTCTCTTTAAACAAAGGGAAAAAAACACTTTGGAAAAATATTGGGTTTTTAAAAATTTTACTTTAATACAGCAGAGTTATAGGAGGAAGCCCATCTTTTTATTGCTAGGAATTCCACAGGTTTGGTTGAGGAGCTGTTTTCCAATTATAGATTGACTTGCCACTTGGGCCAACTCTTCTGTTTTCTGTAGATTGAAGAGTGCTGAGCCTGGGCAACCATAAATATGTGGTTTTTCTTTTATTAATTATCTCAAAGTACAAACTTTTCTCTGCTAAGTATTGTCTGTTATAATTTTGTTAATGTGTTTACTTTGTTTCCCTGCCATCTTGGATAGCTATCAGATAAACTTTGTTCCTTACCATAAATTGATCCAAAACAATTTTGTTTAACAATTCAGAATTCAAATGGAGGGCTATATGAATGTAGATAAAGAATTTAAACAGAATTATGTACGGTTATATCCCTCAAGATTTTATCTGTGTTTAATTATATGAGTTATTTGTTTGAAATATTTTGTTTCCTTGTATCAAGTAATATTATCTGAAGTATCTATCTATCTTGTCTAAAATGTGCTTATATGGTCCTTTTAAATGATAGTTTTATCAAGCTATTTTAATTGCTTTCTGTGTACTTCACCCTTGGATTGAAACCATCCTCTGCTACAGCCTTGCTTTTTTACTTTTATTCTTTTTTCTCTTTACATATTTTCTCAGAATATTTTGGATTTTTAGCCATGTAGAGTATGATTTTCAGTGTTTGTCTCCATCCAGTCACTCATGCTGTAGACATCTGTGTAGTTACAGGGAGAGGTTTAGGAGCCTGCAAGCCCGCCTCATAGCAGCCTTGTGTTCCTTCAGGGAGTGCCAGTCAATCTTCCTGGGTTGGAGTCCACATCCAGCAAGGTCATTTTGTCTGTGGCCTGGATGGGGCTTATTGAGCCCTGTGAACATAAAATTAGCTCCTTGGCATGCTGGTAAGCAGCAGAACTGAGCAGAGCCCAGGCACGTTAAGAGTTTCACATGGGAAGAGCATTTGACTTCTCTCTTCCTGTGTTTTGGGAGGGCCTGGTACCAAATGCTCACCCCCTTTTTTTTTTTCATCAGTACCTGAACCACAAGCCACCATGGACGTGCACACTGATACCTACTTGGGGATCAGGAGAGTGTACATGACAACAGCAAGGGAAGCAGCAGCACAGGAGACAGGCAAGACCACCACTACCTTTGCTGGAACTACACAACCAAGGAGCCATGCTTAAGTCTCCCCCAGGGTGGTGGTCTCCCTTTCCAAAAACTTAACAGCTGTCCCTGAGCCTGTTCCTGGGGTACACAATCATAAACAGTGTGTGTATGCCTGCCCCAAGTGGCCAGTGATGGTCATCAGGCTAGACACAGTGACCGAAGAGCTGTAGCTTGACCCTTGATAAGGGGGACTTAAGTGCTTACTGGTTAAGGCACTGTGTTGTTACCACTTTACAGGCAGGAGCCTCAGAGAACACCTGCCACACATAGGCCAGACCTGATGGCGCATCACACCAGGGTACAGTCAATTAACAACAGAGTCTTATCTTGGGGACAAGTGCCTTTTAGGGTGGGAAGAGATGACAACATCCAACAAAGACAGTTAAGAGCTGTGTAGGCCATAGTGCAAGCCCAGCAGCAACTGGTGATTCTGTCCCATGTGGCCTTCACCATATAATGGAACTAGTTAGTTAGCTAAGAGAAATAAGTTGAAACTAACCAGGTGTCCTTGGTCACGGTTGGGCCCTCTTGTTCATGATGCTATTTGCTTTAGTTACCTCCTATTCACCCCATTTGTGTGAGATTCCTGACACAGGATTATAGGGATGACCAAGCACAGTACACCTAACACTGGGCAGATGAGATCAGCAGCAGTTTATTGTTCACGTACACTCATAGCCTGCGGGAGGAGACACCACACACCACCCAGGGCCACACAGGGATTGTACTTGGGAAAAGGGTGAACATCCAGGGTCTATGGGAGGCAGGCTTTGTAGTACCAAGAGGACGGGGTGACCCCTGGTTCCCATGGGAGGATGTGATTGACTTGCATGAGTAATTCTACAGGCTGGCAAGAAATGGAAATCCTCTACTTGGGCATAAGAAGGAACTGCACATGGTCCCCTCAGTAAGGATGGAGGTTTGGTTAGGGGACCTTATCCACAGGAGCAGAGTGGGGAAGGGAACTTGGGGATAGACCATTGGAGGTCTTTCCAGTTTCAGATACCAAGGCAGCACATAATATTGGGCCTGAATTTTAGGCTTTACACCACACAAACCATTGTGTGGGACTTTGGAGACTTTTTTCCATTCCCCCCAAAAGCTAGTAGTTATCCCTTCCCTCACTATCTCACTGCCCCTTCATTTTTCCCCCTACCTACTCTCTAATAAGTACTAGAAAATGCAATCTGTCAGGGAGAGTACATGGCATAGTGATTTCATGGTTGAGTTTCTGCTCGGATGTTTTTCCAGAGTAGAGGTCCTCCAACCTGGCTGCCTATTAGAGTCATCTGAGAGAGTTTAGAAAATTATGTGGGGTGTCACCTCAGACCAGTTAAATTGGAATCTTTTGGAGATGGGAGTGAATTTTTTTTTAATGTGCTTCAGCCATTATTGAGAACTGCTTCTCATGGATGTCAGCAGAGTCACCATGTCTAAAACCAAATGCGTTGTCTTACTCCATGGAGCCAGCTCTTCCTGTTGACTGTTTTTCCCTCTTAATGGTACTAATATCATCTTCCCAGTCTCCCAGGCTAGAAAAGTTAGAATTCTCTTTGTACTTGTTCTCCCACTTTCCATAGAATGATATTTATCATTGGTCAGCCTTTGTTAATTTCATTTCATCTTTACTGCTGCACTTCTAGACTGTTGTATTTGTAGAATACCTTTCCAACCTCTGCCCACTCTCTGAGCGCCCCAAATAGAACATTTCCAGTCCTGATCTCTCACTTTATTATTTTCATTTGTCTGCAAGGCAGCTTGATGTAGTACTAAGAGAGCCGAATTGGAATCCAGGAAATCTAATTATTGTACTTCGGAGTCAATGTGAAGCTTTGGGCAGATCATTTGACAGCTCTAACCCTAAGTTTCATTATCTTAAGATAAAAGGATTACATTGCCTGAGCCTTGGATTCTTTCTCACTGTGACTCAGTCTTCACTTTTCCTTCAAATTTAGCCTGTCTGTAATAGAACTTATCCATCTACTCTCCCAAAAGTTACCTCTTTCTCGTGCCCTGATGCCTCTTGCCAATACCAGCATTCTAGCATCTTAGGCCACTTAAAAAGAATCCAGCTGGGCGCGGTGGCTCACGCCTGTAATCCCAGCACTTTGGGAGGCCGAGGCGGGTGGATCATGAGGTCAGGAGTTCAAGAGCAGCCTGGCCAACATGATGAAAACCCGTCTCTATTAAAAATACAAAAATTAGCCGGGTGTGGTGGCAGGCACCTGTAATCCCAGCTACTCGGGAGGCTGAGGCAGAGAATTGCTTGAATCTAGGAGGCAGAGGTTGCAGTGAGCTGAGATCGCGCCACTGCACTCCAGCCTGGGTGACAATAGTGAATCTCTATCTCAAAAAAAAAAAAAAAATCCATTATCTTCATTTTCTTGGACTCCATGACTTCTCTTCTGTTTTATTTGCTAGCCTGCTGTTTACTGTTACTTCTACCTGGGTATGACTCACTGGTCTTCTTGGACCCCAAGCCTGCCCTACCTATTCCTACCTGATGAATCTTTACATCAAACAAACTTTGATAATTTTTGTCCTTTTCTCAGAAATCTTCAATTAATGGCTCCCCATTACATAGAAGATTCAATTCAAACTGCCTAGCCAGGCATTTTGAGAGCCTCTCTCCATCACTTATCTCCAGCCCCAAACTTCACCTGCCTTTGCTGATTCCTCTTCACCTATTGGTCACCCATTATACATGTTGGGTGTTTAGAAAACAATTTTTTAATTGAATTACTCATTAACTTTGGATTAACATAGCCTTTAAGTAAGATTTTTAAAAATTTTATTAACTTTTTTCACACGGAAAAATGTCCGCTTTCTGGTGAGGAATTCTTTGAGTTTCAGCAAATGCATACCGTTGTGTAATGAACATCACAATCAAGATATAGAACAGTTTCATTATCCCCTAAAATTCTCTTTATAGTTGACCCTCTCCTGTCCCCAACCCCAACCACTGGTATGTTTTTTGTTCCTACAATTTTACCTTTTCTTGAATGTCATATAAATGAAATCATACAGTATATAGACTTTTCAATTTGTCCTCTTTCACTCAGCATAATGCATTTGAGATTCATCCATGTTGTGTGTATAAGTAGTTTGTTCTTTTTTATAACTCTGTTTTTAAAATACCCCCAAGAGGGAGTTTACATTGGGAGTTGTGAGTTTTTTGTGTCTTATATGCTGTTTTGGAAAACGGGAAGAGAAAATGTCATCTAGATCATTTTTAGCGCCCCAAAACATGTTTAAGCTATTTTGTAGATGGCTTCTCATTTCAATGTTAACAGAGTAACTTTTTGTTTTTAGCCCATGTGTCAGTCTCATATGATTGGCTTTTGTACCAGTTCTGTAAATGAAGAAACTGAGACCCAGGGAGATCAAATAAGTTGCCCAAATCCCACAACGCTTGTGTTCAGAACCCAGATATCTTCACTCCCAAGTCTACAGGTACTGCTGTTCTACCACAAAAGACATTAAAATGTAATGAGTGAAAAGTTCTTGTGTTACTGGTGAGACCTCTTGAAACTGAATATATAGAGTGTTGTTTGTAAAACCCTTTGTCTTCCCCCATAAGATTATGACTTGAATTTTCAGGGCTCTGAAGCTTGAATGGGCTTGGCTGTCAAGAAATTGGTTTATTCAGTCCTGTGTTCACAGCTGTGTTCATTCCTGATCTGGGTCAATTGACATTATGACATAGGGACCAACAACAACAAAAAAGTACAGTCAGATTTTACCTTACAATGTGATATATGATAGCTCTAGAAGGGTCTGGCCACTTGCTTCTACTGTTCTTCTTAATAGTAATTATTATCAAGCTAATTGATTTTTATGAGCAGATTAGGATTTAGAAATGATTTTTTTCTGACCAAGGAAGATGAACTGGAGTTGGTATTTCTCCTCTTGAATTGTGCGAATGTGCCTCACTCATCACTGAAATCAAAGAGTTTGGCCATGTGACCTCAGAGATCCCATTCAGTTCTGATTGTGCGAATGTGGCATTGTTTGAGGTATTTCTGGACTATAGAAAGCTTCCTTAGTTTATACCTTTATATCATCTCAGGTAAAACAGGTTATAGGAATTATAGCAACATAGGATACTGCTTCAAGTTAATAGTAATTACTTTGAATAGCCAGAGGAGAGTCATTCAGTGAGTAAAAGCCTTGTTATTCAGCAGCTGGCCCACAGGAAGGTTCTCAGAATGGGCTTTCCTAATACTCTTGGTTCAGTAGTGAGAGTTTCTTAGGAGGTTGTTGTCACTTCTACTACTGGCTTTTGCCATCTCCTCACAGACAAGGATTAAAATCACTACTGTTGATTTGCCTTTTGGCTTATATTACCCACATGCAGGGTAACAGAGCTTTTACTCTAAAATTAATTCGTTGAATGTTTAAAACACTTCTTTTGAGGAGTAGAGTCTTAATGTTAATGATGGTAATGCATCCTTTCAGACCGGCCAAGCACAGAGCTTCCTCAGTTTGGAAGTGATGACAGTACTAGTGCCTTCTCACAAGTAATATTTGGCAGATATTTTAAGTTAGGTGTTCACATTTTTGGAGAGATGGATTTTTAGTCCAAGCTTTACAGCTGTGTGTAAGATCTTTCTCTTTTGACCCACTATTGATAAGTCCATATATGCTATTAGTATATTTACTAATTTATCAAATACTATGCTAATATTAGTTAGACAATAGTCAAAATAGATACGGTCCCTGTCCTCATGGCCCTCTTTTAATCTTACAGATAAGGATATTTTTTGACATGTCGTCTTGAGTTTAAGGTGATAGGTTTTCTCTAGCCTGTAGTAGAGAACATCAGAAATTTACCTATACAGACTTTCTTTTGCCTGACTTATACACAAAAGATAATTTTTCACCGAAGTTGATCTAATTTACAAATTGCCGTATGTTTCAAAGAAAACTTTTGGGCATCTAAAAGAATTCATAATACAAAAAAAAAAAATCAAACCCTCAGTATATTTTGGTGCTCTGGCACCTTTAAGGCAAAAATATTCTCAGCCAGAGCTTGAATATATGAGAAATCCTTAAAACTGTTACAGAAGCCTTTCCTCATGCTAGTTTGAGTATTCTGGTTGTGCAGAAATGTTTCCACTAGACCACAGGGTCATCTTTGAAAGAAAAGAGTAACCATTTGTCATTTGAATGCCCTTCCATTATTGGTTAGTTGACATGAGTTTAGGAGACTATAAAAATAAAATATCAGAGCACACTCAAAAAAGAATTATTGAATGTTAAAAACATATTAGCTATAAAGAAAAAAGAAGGCTTGAAAGAGAAAGTTGAGGAAACTTCTCAGAAAGTAGAACATGAAGAGTTTTTTTTTTGTTTTGTTGTAAATGAGACAGAAAATTAGAGGTACAGCCAAGAAGGTCCATCATTCAAATAGTAACATGAGTTCCATTAAAAGAAAACAATAGGGAGGGAATTATGAAGAAATAATACCAGAGGAATTCTCAAAACTGAAAAATCTGACAGTTTCCAGATTGAGAAAGAATCCACCAGGTACCTAACCTCATGGGTGAAAATAGCCCCAAGGCACATCATTTTGAAAAGATGATTCTAAAAGCTTTCCAAAAAGGAAGAGATGTCACATACAAATGGGCAGAAATCAGAATTGTTCAGATTCTTCAAAATAAGTGGTGGAAGGAATAGAACAATGGAGTAGTGCTCTCAAAATTCCAAGGAGAAATTGACCTCCAGCCTGTGATTTGCAACCCACCAGTCCATCCAGATAGAATAGAAACATTTTCAGACATGAAGGTCTTAAAAACTTACATCTCATTTTTAGGATTTTCTAGAGCATTACTAGATGTTGTGCTTCACTAAAATGAGAGTGTAAACCTAGAGAGGAGAAACCTAGGAGTCCACCATGGAGAGAGACTGAGGGAGTGAGTCTCTGGGAGGATGGTGAGGAGAAGTCCCAGGAGGCAGATTAGAGACAATGATGAAGGACTCCTGATGGAGGACTCTACCTATAATGACCCAAGAGAAGAACATTGAGCTTAGATTGAAAGGAGTTTCAAGGTTTTAGAGGAGCATTTTAGGAGAAGTTAGTGATTCATAGAAAACCATGCAAATTTTTAAATGAGGTAGTTATTATCTTCAGGGAAAAAAATGACACAAAGTTTCAGCAAAGTATAGTTCATGGCTTAGCTGTGAATTAAATGTTGATTTAATAAATAAGGGTGATAATAACTATATTGGGAAGATAACACTTCATCTTCTATAGTAGGAGGACTTCCTGTTTTTGAAAAAAAGTTTTATTGGAACACAGCCATACCCATTTGTTTGCATATTTGTCTATGGCTGTTTTCACATCACAGCAGAATTGAGTAGTTGCAACTGAGACCATATGGCCTACAAAGCCTAAAATATTTATTATCTGGCCTTTTTATAAAAATACTTGCTGACTCCTGTTCCATAGGAAGAAGCCAATAAAATAATGCCTAAAATCGAAAAGAAAATCTAATAGCAGTAATAACCATGTTATTTAAAATAGAATGGAAAGGAGCAGAAGGAACAGCTGAAGTTTAAATGACTGCCTCTGGGAATAGTGAATCAGGAGTGGGGAGTAGAATCGGGGACTGTTTTTTTTTTTATTTGTTTTAGGCTTTATATTTCTATTGAATTCTTAAGCTAAGTACATGTATTTGAAAAGGTGTGAAGGAAGAATACTGAGAAATTTGATTGGATTAGGAGGAAAAAAAAAAGAGGTCACTAGTTACATTGAAAGTAGTTCAAAGCCTTTTCAGTAAACACAGCTTTCCCATTAATTCACTTACTCATTCCACAGGTAATCACTGAAGAGTCCAAATGTCAGGCACTGAGTGCTACACTGCAGGACAGGGTCCCTCCCTGGAGGGTGCTTGGGCCCTCCACAGCTAATGGCATGCACAGACAGGTAAAAGATGATAATAACATGGTGATACAGCTGCTTTAGTTTAGTGCCTATCACAAGATGCTTATGAGATTTAGGCAGGTCAGGGAAGACATCCCGGAGAACATGACACCAGATCTGAATTTTGAAGGATGAGACCACACAAGGCAGGGCCTGAATAAGACCTGAATGAGCAGGGCAGGAGTCGGAACCCACAGGTGTTCAGTATAGTTGGATGAATGGTGGAAATAATGTCAGAGCAGTAGACAAGAACCAGAGGCCAGATCGCTTATGCAGGGCTCTGTGTTATGAGGAATATGTTTTTATTTTTTTTAAGACACAATACCCACTGAAGAGATAGCATCTGATTTTGTTTGCACTTTAGGAAAACATACTGTTGGTAGCAATGAGGGTGATGGGGGTGAGGGTAGGAGACATGGAAAATAGAGAAGCACTTAAGAGGCTGTTTCAGGCAAAAATGACAACAAAAATATATGGGAATAAACCGGAGTCGACTGGAGAGGAACCAAGGGATTCTGGAATTAAAGGAGTTACGGGAAAGGGAAGGAATCAAGGATAACTCAGTTCTGGGCTGGGTGGCATGGCAGGTTGCAGGACATTAACCTCTGATGGGGAACACAGGAGCAGGTAGAGAGAGTGTGTGTGTGTGTGTATGTGTGCGTGTGTGTGTGTAAAGGTGGTACTGAGTTTCGTTTTGGAAGAGTTGTGGGGTTCTTTGTTGGTACCTGTGGAATGTCTCAGGAACTGGCCAGGATGTGGTTGGATATAGCCACATAGAGGTCAAGAGGAGGGCTTGGATTTGCAAATGTGCAGTGGTCATTGTGCAAAGAGATGAAGTTTGGGAGTTGAGTAGAAAACTCAGGGAGCCTTTCTGGTATTGACAGCATTGAACCCTGGGAACAGTGATATTTAAGGATTGGGTTTTATAATAGGAGGATTCTAGGGAGGAAGCTAAGCCTAGAAGCCTGCAATCAGAGGGATCAAGAAACCAGTGAGATGAGAATTTTAAGAAGAGGAAATGGTCCATAGTTTAAAATGCTGCAAAGCACTCAAAGCCTAAAAATGCCCATTAGGTTTGGTAACTAGGGAGTGATTGTCAAGAACAGCTTTAGGGAAGTAATATGGGAGGAAGTGAACTTTCAGGTGTGTAGAGGATTTGTTCATGTTGTTACTGTTTTGAGATAGAGTTAAACCTGTTTCTTTCTTGAGAGGAGGAGAGCTATACAAAGGGAGACATTTAGTGATAACTTAGGGAGAAGAAATGATTCTTCCATTCAAAGAATGCTTATTGCACACCTGCTAGGAGCTCAATCCTATTCCAGACTCAGGGAGTATAGCATGAACAAGACAAAGTTTACTTTGTGTGTGTGTGTGTGTGTGTGTGTGTGTGTCAGGAACAGGCAATAAGCTTAAAACCAAATAGATACATAGGAAGTCCTTACTTTAAGCAAAACAGCATTTAAGGAAACTAATTTTTTTTCTCATCAACATTGTAATGAAATAATGTTGATTAGAGGACCTGCCTTAAGTTGTTTCACTTAAAGTCGTTGTTCCACTGAAAGGTGTAGCTTTTTCCAAGAGTCTGGACATTAAGTAAGGTATTACTGTAATATAATATCAGGGAGTAATAAGTACCTGGTGGAGGAAAATGAAATTAGAATAAGAGAGTAACAGAGTGGTGGTGGGTGGGAGGTGGGGGTGCTGTTTTCTGTAGGCTGGCTAGGGAAGGCATTGCTGCTAAGGTGATATTTGAGGAGAGTCCTGAATGAAATGAGGAAAGAGTAACTGGGAGGTAATCAAGAGACTGAGGTGACTGAGAAGGGGGAGAGAGGGTGGATCTCAAATACAGATGGAAAGGTTACTTGTCCCCAGGAGATGAGGCACTGTTGCAGAGTTTTTGAACTGGAGAGAGAGGAGTAATTTAAAAAAAGAAAACTTTCAAAATGTTCTGATTGAAACTTGGCACCCTTTTTCTTAATAGGAGCATCCTTAGATGGTGAGTGTAAGAAGGAATGGGAGCTTTTATATTGTTTGTTTTTACATCATTAAAACATCTTCTTCGTCATTTACGTCTTCTTCCTGTGACACTGGAGGGATGACCATAAGGACAGGTAGCACAAATAGCTGCCTATAGCTAGTCTTCACCATGTGGCAGACGCCATAGATTGCCATCCCTTTTAATTCTCCTGAGGCCCTCTGAGGCACATGTTGTCAGCATTTTACAGGGGAGAAGACATTCACATGTCTCGTCGTCATTACAGCCCAGATCCAAACTGCTTTCTGGTACTTCAACCCCTTGCTATTAAAGTACCTCCTGTAGACTGCTCACACCTGGCAATAGAGAAAGGTACATGTGTCCAGTTTGTGGGCGTGGAGGGTAGTAAGGTGGGGAAATGGGAAGTTGGGGGATTTCTTACCCACTGGACTGCCTCCGAGGTCAGGAGTCTTGATAAGAGGTATTTGGGCAGGGGTTTAAGGAAGGTGGCATTCCTCAAGACATCTCTGCTTTCTTGATTATCTCACTCTTCCCAGATGAGTTACTCTCTGTGTCCTTATTCGTATTCCTAAAATCCCCATGGTATACCCTATTTATGCCTGCTGTTGTTAGAGTGGTTCATAGGAAACAATCTCAAGGTTGAGGATGGGCATGAGTAGATTATAAAAATACATGTTCACTGTGGAAAATTTGAGGTGGGTCTCATTTTTAGAGTTGCTTCCCACATACTCTGTCTCAAAGTGCCTGATAGAGTGGTGGGGGATAGGGGCCTGTTAACAGCAGAATTCTCCATCGTTATTGTGTTCAGTTGAGTCTACTCTCATCTTCTGTGAATATGAAGGACCTTGGTAGGGGTCTGCTGGGTATGCACTTGTTTGTGTTTGCAAAAACACACACTCTTGTAATGCAGTCGACCCTTGGACTGAGCAGGGATTGTTAGTATGGCAGAGTTCTCAAGGTATAGTGAATTTAAATCATTTCTGTGAATAAATGGTTGAATAGGGTGAACCTGATTTTTTTGTTATTTTTTAAAAGTTACTATTACACAACACTGAGGAACTTGGAAATGGCACAGGCACTGTTGCAGATTTTTTGGACTGGAGAGAGAGATAGTAATTTAAAAAAAAAAAGAAAAGAAAACTTTCAAAATGTTCTTATTGAAACCTGGCACCCATTTTTCTTAATAGGAGCATCCTTAGATGGGTGAGTATAAGAGGAATGGGAGCTTTTATATTGTTTGTTTTCACATCATTAGCAGCTTACCTTCTTGTGAAGATAATTAAATGCCGTGCTCCTACGGAAGCACTCATACATAATGCAGCAAGGAGAGCGGGAGTCCCACTAGCTTCCCACCAGTTTCCCCAGTTCAGAAGTTATACACTTGATATTTTCCGCTGTTGACAAGTTTTCTGGTTTGCCCACACGGAGTTATCTGTAGAATTATCTGTATTATGTTTCTAATTAAGTATTGAGACCCTGAAATTACATTTTGATTTGTTCTTTATTGAGCCAGAAGGATCTAGTCAGAACTTCTGAGTGATGGCAGCAGAGACTGTAAAGCCATTTCCAGCATTGTGCAGAAGTACAAGCTTTAGGGTGTATCTATTCATCTATTCCTAGTACATAAAATTTAGCCTTACAAAAAGATGACATTGTTTTATGTATTTTTTAATGTGTGCCTTTAAAAAGATTTAAAAAGTAGAGATAATTTAAGGGTGTTTATAAATTATGGGGTGCTGTCTGGAGAAGGACAAATCAATAAATGCTTATTGAACACCTATTGATGTTGATGACGTTTGTTATCTTGTGGGGTGGCAGCATGCTGGTGTGTTTTGTGATCTGTTGGGGTGCCAGAAATGATTTGACAGTAACATGAGATTTGCCAGAGTCTGCTTTCAGTGAACTAGACAGTTACTCTACAGTAACATCGCCATCATTCAGATTTCACATGCACATTCTCTCTGCCTCAGAGGCTAGCCAAGGCTGATGTGATATTTTCACATTTCACCCACCTCATCTCTGACCTTTCCCCTAGGGGTCAGGTTCATTTCCTACCCGCTTATGGCCTTAGGAGATATTCCTTAAAGTGGAACTGGCCTATAAAAGGATTGAAAACGTTCATAGATCTAGTGGCACATTGCCTGAGTGCTCTTCAGAAAGCTTGAAACAGTTAAAAGTGCCATTAGCGGAGACTGTCTCAAAAAAAAAAAAAAAAAGGTGCCCTCTCCCTCTCCCGTCTCCCCACGGTCTCCCTCTCCCTCTCCCGTCTCCCCACGGTCTCCCTCTCCCTCTCCCTCTTTCCACGGTCTCCCTCTGATGCCGAGCCAAAGCTGGACTGTACTGCTGCCATCTCGGCTCACTGCAACCTCCCTGCCTGATTCTCCTGCCTCAGCCTGCCGAGTGCCTGCGATTGCAGGTGCGCGCCGCCACGCCTGACTGGTTTTCGTATTTTTTTGGTGGAGACGGGGTTTCGCTGTGTTGGCCGGGCTGGTCTCCAGCTCCTAACCGCGAGTGATCCGCCAGCCTCGGCCTCCCGAGGTGCCGGGATTGCAGACGGAGTCTGGCTCACTCAGTGCTCAATGGTGCCCAGGCTGGAGTGCAGTGGCGTGATCTCGGCTCGCTACAACCTCCACCACCCAGCCGCCTGCCTTGGCCTCCCAAAGTACCGAGATTGCAGCCTCTGCCCAGCCGCCACCCCGTCTGGGAAGTGAGGAGCGTCTCTGCCTGGCCGCCCATCGTCTGGGACGTGAGGAGCCCCTCTGCCTGGCTGCCCAGTCTGGAAAGTGAGGAGCGTCTCTGCCCGGCCGCCATCCCATCTAGGAAGTGAGGAGCGTCTCTGCCCGGCTGCCCATCGTCTGAGATGTGGGGAGCGCCTCTGCCCCGCCGCCCCGTCTGGGATGTGAGGAGTGCCTCTACCCGGCCGCGACCCCGTCTGGGAGGTGAGGAGCGTCTCTGCCCGGCCGCCCCGTCTGAGAAGTGAGGAGACCCTCCGCCTGGCAACCGCCCCATCTGAGAAGTGAGGAGCCCCATCTGAGAAGTGAGGAGCCCCTCCGCCCGGCAGCCGCCCTGTCTGGGAAGTGAGGAGCGTCTCCGCCCGGCAGCCACCCCGTCCGGGAGGGAGGTGGGGGTCAGCCCCCTGCCCGGCCAGCCGCCCCGTCCGGGAGGGAGGTGGGGGGGTCGGCCCCCCGCCCGGCCGGCCGCCCCGTCCGGGAGGTGAGGGGCGCCTCTGCCCGGCCGCCCCTACTGGGAGGTGAGGAGCCCCTCTGCCCGGCCAGCCGCCCCGTCCAGGAGGGAGGTGGGGGGGTCAGCCCCCCACCCGGCCAGCCGCCCCATCCGGGAGGTGAGGGGCGCCTCTGCCCGGCCGCCCCTACTGGGAAGTGAGGAGCCCCTCTGCCCGGCCAGCCGCCCCGTCGGGGAGGGAGGTGGGGGGGTCAGCCCCCCGCCCGGCAAGCCGCCCCGTCCAGGAGGGAGGTGGGGGAATCAGCCCCCCACCCGGCCAGCCGCCCCGTCCGGGAGGGAGGTGGGGGGGTCAGCCCCCCGCCCGGCCAGCCGCCCCGTCCGGGAGGTGAGGGGCGCCTCTGCCCGGCTGCCCCTACTGGGAAGTGAGGAGCCCCTCTGCCTGGCCACCACCCCGTCTGGGAGGTGTACCCAACAGCTCATTGAGAACAGGCCATGATGACAATGGCGGTTTTGTGGAATAGAAAGAGGGGAAAGGTGGGGAAAACATTGAGAAATCGGATGGTTGCCGTGTCTGTGTAGAAAGAGGTAGACATGGGAGTCTTTTCATTTTGTTCTGTACTAAGAAAAATTCTTATCCTGTTGATCTGTGACCTTACCCCCAACCCTGTGCTCTCTGAAACATGTGCTGTGTCCACTCAGGGTTAAATGGATTAAGGGCGGTGCAAGATGTGCTTTGTTAAACAGATGCTTGAAGGCAGCATGCTCGTTAAGAGTCATCACCACTCCCTAATCTCAAATACCCAGGGACACAAACACTGCGGAAGGCCGCAGGGTCCTCTGCCTAGGAAAACCAGAGACCTTTGTTCACTTGTTTATCTGCTGACCTTCCCTCCACTATTGTCCTATGACCCTGCCAAATCCCCCTCTGCGAGAAACACCCAAGAATGATCAATAAAATAAATAAATAAATAAATAAATAAATAAAAAATAAAAGTGCCATTAGCAATTATAAGTAGGACCTGTTTTCCCACATTCCTGGCAGTGTTAGGTGCCCTGCTTGTTTTTATTCCAGTGCTAGTTTGTGGTAGTGAATCAGAAATTGTGCTTTCTGATGTCCCTGCTGCATCATAATTGTATCAGTTCTTTATACATTACAAAAGTAATTTTTTATTAACATTGGTAGAGTTTTCCTGTAGTGTTTCGTTTTGTTTGTTTTTTGAGACAGGGCCTCACTCTGTCACCTAGGCTGGAGTACAGTAGTGTGATCTCACTGCAGCTTGGACCTCCCAGACTCAGATGATCCTCCTACCTTAGCCTCCCAAGTAGCTGGGACCATAGGTGGAAGCCACCACACCTGGCTAATTTTTGTATTTTCTATAGAGACAAGTTTTTGCCATGTTGCCCAGGCTGGTCACAAACTCCTGGGTTCAAGTGATCCGCCTGCCTTGGCCTCCCAAAGTGCTGGGATTACAGGTGTGAGCCATTGTACCTGACCTTTCTGTAATTTTTAATGATTTCATTTTGTTGGGCAGAATTTTATTTGAGACATATTGTTAGAAATACCAAAATTGTTAGAAATAATCAGTGCCACAAAGAAAAGTCAGCACGGAGACAAAAGATCTCTCAGCAAGGCGATCTTTACTTTCTGCAGAAAGGGTACGCAATCGCAGATGAAACAATGGTGAGAGCACACCTGAACAAAGGAAAAGCAGATGTATTTATCCCTTACACATTTGGATCATCCTCACTGCCGTGTCCTGCATCCATTGGCTGGAGCTAGACCTCACGCTCTTAAACTAATACCCGATTTGCTAATAGCCTAAAACTTTCCTAAATAGGTAAGTGTGGGGAAGAACAAAGAAGGAGAGGAAGTTGCTTATGAAAGGTTTAAGGAAGCAATAACATTTCCAAATAAGGAATGGGCATAGGCTATGAGCTGGAACGTGCCTGTGAGCATGTCCAACAGTTACTTAGGACAGGGCCTGACAAAGAGTTATTAGCCCAAACCAAGGAGGCTTGAAGAAAGGTAGTCTTTAAAAGAAACTACTACTTCTAACACTTATGATTCATTCTTTAACAAGAAGGGGAACTTTGAAGAGGAAACTCTTTACTTTCTACACGTATGTCTTATTGTTAATACCCTTTTTTATTAGCTGGAATTTTCCCCCAAACTTCTTTATTTTTGACTTTGTGGCAGTTTGTGATGGTTAAGAATGTCAGTTTTCTGGGGTCTGATAATTTAAAGAATAGAGATAAAGGAGATAAACTTGTACTAACATAATTTACCTACAACTGACTCCACTGTAATGAAGCTTAGGAGATAATTTTTTTCTAAATTTTAACTGCGTTGGTTCAGAGCACTTACCATTTATCTGGAATTTATGGATTCTTCAGGTAAATAACTGTCCTATCAAACACTAACCCTTGCATTGATTCTTAGAAGCACCATTTACTAACTGGACTTGCCTTTCCCTGATTTAGCCAGTTAGTCTCTACCCTCCTCCCCTTCACCTTAGCACCCGATCATGCCTGCTTTCCAACTACTTACCTCCTTGGCCGCTGCACTCTTTGCAAACAGCAGTACCTTGGTAGACATGTCTCTCTAGGACAGATTCCATGGCATTTTGTGGTTCTTTTAATAGAAAATGCCTCTAACTCTTAGAGGGAGAAAAATCTAAATTGACAGACATTAAAATGATAAACTGTAATTGCGGTCCCAAGGATGATTGGAATCATGTCTTTCATTTTTCTGTTTGCGTCCAACATGCCATGAACTTACTTAGAATTGGAACTATCTCACTTTAATCTTTTTTAAATTGCAAATTGACAAATTATGGTTGTATATATTTATGGGGTACACAGTGATGTCATCATTTATGAATACAATGTGTAATAATTAAGTCAAGCTAATTAACATATCTACCACCTCAAATACTTATCTCACTTTAATCTTAAAGCTCTAATCTTAAAAGCTCTATTAAGACTTAATGCCTACACATCACATTCATTTGGATATGAGAAATAATTAGGAAACTTATGGGTAATTTGGTTTTCTGAGTGAGTGGTGTTCTGTAGTTGTGTGGGATGAACAGGAAATCAAAGTCAACAAAAAATAGGAAGCAGTGTTTATATTCCGGCTAGAACTAGAAGCCTGAGATTCTATAATCCTTGTATTGTTTGTATATGAGGAAGGTAAGAGCTTCAGATCTGAGGCAGTAGTACTAGTTAGTGATGCAGGCAGCCCCAAATTCTGGGTTTCCTAGACTAGGGTTTGTTCTTTTCCCTGAAATGCCCCGACACACTTTTGTACCTCTAAAGACAATTACTGGGCTTTTATGGTGTTCACAAGTCATTTATGAGAAGTTCAGTGTTGTCAAGGACATTATGGTTGCAGTGGGGATGGGGGCTTATGTCCTGGATAGAGTAAAATCAGTCCTTTAAAAAAAATCGTATGAAATATTGCAATGGAATTGTTTTTTCAAGTAATAAATGTACATGGTTTAAATCGTCAAATAATATACCAAATCCTGTCTCACTCCTTAGAGAGAACTGCATTGAACTCTTAGCTCTTTTTTATTGTCTGTATTTCTCTTTCTTGATTTTTCCATTGTAGACATCATTGATTGTTTTCTTCCAAAAGGGATGAGGGCTTACCTTACTTCCTTCCCATCTCCTAATACCTCTCAGTAAAGGCATGTTATTGTTTTTGTTCCTTTATTGGTTACCACTAACTTTCATACATGCCAACATCTTTTATAACTGATTTAATCTACAAAGACAATATCTTTTTGACTTCATTTTATTGGGTGCAATAAATTAGGGTCTAACAGAGTTAGATCTAATTAGGTGTACACTTACGGCTCTGGAGGTTGTTGGACATAAATGTTCTGCAGAAGTAATCCCCTGTTTGTTTTCCTTGTGTGTTACAGTAATCTGGAGATGTTGAAAATGTTTTATTTTGGGTTTTGTCATAATCTTTGCCTTTTTAAAAATGTTTTACAGAAATAAATATCTTCCTTCAATAGATGAAAATGAAAATACAGAAAAAAGAGAAGCAGGTAAGTGATCACTTTTCTTTTAAGTGAATGCATCCGGGTATCTTGGTGCTTTTTCAACAAGGGGAGACACTGGCAGTGTTGGCTTATCCCTTAATCTCTGGTACTTTCCCTGTTGCCTGTATTATAGTAACTGAGAGCTCTGTTCTGAATGACTTAATAATATGGATTTTTCTTGTTGCTCAGTTCATCTTCACGTAGGAGTAAATGTAATGAAAACTGTATATCAGAATATTATTCAAATTAGCCAAGTAGAAGAGAAACATTTCCTCCCTTTGAACAGCTTTCTGAGTCTTTTCTGAAAGAGAGATGTGACCAATTCTTTATATTTTATATATTTATCCTTCTGGATTTTTGGTTAAACTAAAAGCATTCTTACTTACAGAATCCTTATTTATAATGATCTGTGGATGGGTTCCCCCTAGAGAGAATAGTGAAATATTTGGAAGAATGGGAGCATCAACTCTTTGGCATTTGGTATTTTGAAGGGCGTGTGGGATGGAGAGTGATTTATCTTGCCAGGATCTCTTTCCTTGGTTGGTACTGCTATGCCATGAGTATAACATATTCAAAGGAACTCTGAGACCTCACTCAGGGAGGTCAGATGGGAGACCTGTCTGTGTCTCTTGGAAATGGGCTATTTCTGTTGGGCTGGTTTTTCTTTTACAGAATTGATTGACAGCCTGGGAATTGGGGTATCTAAATCCCTGCTTTTCACTGGGACTCTGTAACAAAGAGGTTGGGTGAGACTAGCCACTCCTACCTTTCCAGTTTGCTTCTAGGGAACTCTAGTCTAATAATAGGGTAACTTAGGGTTATGGGTTAGGGTTATGGTTACAAGGACTACCCCCTGGTCTGTCCTCAACGGCTAGGTTGGTTTGGGGAATTAGTTAATTCATCTGCTGCCAGATAACAAGAAGAGCAGTGACTAAATACTGCCTACAAACTGGATTTATATCTGTCCTAGCTCAAAGAGTTGTCAGCTGATAGGCAGACGCTACATGGAATGCAGTTCGATGTACCAGGAACTTATCCTGTGGATATACTCAGGTGTGCAAAACTGTGTGTATAAAGGCTTAAATTGCTGTTTCATGTATGATAGCAAAAATGGAAAAGAACGTACACATCCGTCAAAAAGGGGACTGTTCAAATCATAGCACACCCACCTAGTGGAATATTATGCTGCTGTTAAAAAGAAGACATTACTGGCTGGATGCAGTGGCTCACACCTGTAATCCCAGCACTTTTGGAGGCCGAGGCAGTCAGATCACCTGAGGTCAGGAGTTTGAGACCAGCCTGGCCAACATGGCAAAACCCCGTCTCTACTAAAAATACAAAAAAATTAGCCAGGCATGGTGGCGAGCACCTGTAATCGCAGCTACTCAGGAGGCTGAGGCAGGAGAATCACTTGAACCTGGGAGGTGGAGGTTGCAGTGAGCCGAGATTGCACCATTGGACTCCAGCCTGGACAAGAGCAAGATTCCATCTCAAAGAATACATTACTGAAGAGAACCCCAGACCCTCAAAACTATTGTCATTTGTGGTATGTGAGCAGGTTTATATTTCTTAAAGCAATCTGTACATTTGTTTATTTTTAAGCATCCTTTAAGATAAGCTTTTTTTTTTATGGACCCAAAATATTTTATTTTTTTAATTTTATTATTATTATACTTTAAGTTTTAGGGTACATGTGCACAATGTGCAGGTTTGTTACATATGTATACATGTGCCATGTTGGTGTGCTGCACCCATTAACTCATCATTTAGCATTAGGTATATCTCCTAATGCTATCCCTCCCCCCTCCCCCCACCCCACAACAGTCTCCGGAGTGTGATGTTCCCCTTCCTGTGTCCATGTGTTCTCATTGTTCAGTTCCCACCTGTGAGTGAGAACATGCAGTGTTTGGTTTTTTGTCCTTGTGATAGTTTGCTGAGAATGATGGTTTCCAGCTTCATCCATGTCCCTACAAAGGACATGAACTCATCATTTTTTATGGCTGCATAGTATTCCATGGTGTATATGTGCCACATTTTCTTAATCCAGTCTATCGTTGTTGGACATTTGGATTGGTTCCAAGTCTTTGCTATTGTGAATAGTGCCACAATAAACATACGTGTGCATGTGTCTTTATAGCAGCATGATTTATAATCCTTTGGGTATATACCCAGTAATGGGATGGCTGGGTCAAATGGTATTTCTAGTTCTAGATCCCTGAGGAATCGCCACACTGACTTCCACAATGGTTGAACTAGTTTACAGTCCCACCAATGGTGTAAAAGTGTTCCTGTTTCTCCACATCCTCTCCAGCACCTGTTATTTCCTGACTTTTTAATGAACGCCATTCTAACTGGTGTGAGATGGTATCTCATTGTGGTTTTGATTTGCATTTCTCTGATGGCCAGTGATGATGAGCATTTTTTCATGTGTTTTTTGGCTGCATAAATGTCTTCTTTTGAGAAGTGTCTGTTCATATCCTTTGCCTACTTTTTGATGGGGTTGTTTTTTTTTTCTTGTAAATTTGTTTGAGTTCATGTAGATTCTGGATATTAGCCCTTTGTCAGATGAGTAGGTTGCGAAAATTTTCTCCCATTTTGTAGGTTGCCTGTTCACTGTGATGGTAGTTTCTTTTGCTGTGCAGAAGCTCTTTAGTTTAATTAGATCCCATTTGTCAATTTTGGCTTTTGTTGCCATTGCTTTTGGTGTTTTAGACATGAAGTCCTTGCCTATGCCTATGTCCTGCATGGTATTGCCTAGGTTTTCTTCTAGCGTTTTTATGGTTTTAGGTCTAACATTTAAGTCTTTAATCCATCTTGAATTAATTTTTGTATAAGGTGTAAGGAGATAAGCATTTATTTAAATCAAAACATTCTTTAGTGATTCCACCAAAATGAATTCTGGTTTCTTGTGAGATTTTACTGGTTCATGTTAAGACCTTTGGTATGTTAGCCAGCTGTTATGTAGCTTCAGTTGGATGGGTTTTTGTTTTGGACCTCATGGTAATTTTGATGAACAGAACAGGATTTTTCATTTAAAAGTTAATATTAGATAGGATAGAGAAGCAGGTTACAGAAGTGAGCAACTTTCAGAAAGACTTGATCCTGCTCCTCTTATAAATACTGATGGTAGGCCATACTGATAACTGAATTGCAAGAAGTTGCAAAGAATGAAAATAGAAAATGATGTTCAAGTTAAAGCAATATATAGGCTCCAGGATGGAGAATTCAGTGCCTAATAGAGAAGAGGCTCATGTTCTGGAGTGAATTTCAGCTTTGATTTCCATAGAACAGGATTGAAACTCTGACCTTACGATTTAGTTGTATAATTTTGGGTAAGTTCAGCCTTGTCAAATGAACCTTTATGGAAATTTTTCCTTTGTGCTTCTTAACTAGTTGGGCATTCCACCACAACACTGTTGATGCCATCCATGATGTCATGAGGGTGGTGGCCATCAACATTGCAGACACAGACTGGGCAGTAGTCAGTCCCCAGGAGCTCTTTAATAGTTCCAGAGAGTTCTCTGGCTAAAGATTGGTGCTGCATCTGTCGAGCAGTGTTGACAATCTCATCAAAAGTGATAATTCCACTGTGTTTAATGTTTTTCTGTTTCTTTCTGTCTATTGGTGGTTCCTTGAGGGCTTTGATGATTAGGGCAGAGGCAGAAGGTACCACCTCAATCTGGGCCTGTCTGTTCTGAATCGTCAGTTTCACTGTAATCCTTAGACCCTTCCAGTCACTAGTTGCCTTGGCAATGTCATCATCAACCTTTTTGGGAGACAGACCCAGGGGTCTTATCCTGGGAGCCAGTGCAGACATGGCATCGACTTCACCCCCGGTGCACCTCAGGTATACGACTCTAATCTCATTGGGGTCAAACTTCAGCAGCATGGTGGAGGCAGCTTGTGTCAGATGAATCCGATTCAGGACGACTGAAAGAAGTTGCACCTTGGCCTCCTTTGAGCTGGAAGACAAAAGCCAGCCTTGTTTTTCTGTCATTTAAATGGAAGTAATCATAACATGCCTCACATCATAAGATTAGGATTAAGTGGGGTAATTCGTCGAGTACTTGGTATTTAGTTTGTCAGTGGCAAGGAAATCTTTCAGTTTAACAATAAAAGTAACCATCAAACTTTGTCTTTTACCATGATTCTGAGGTGTTAGAAGTAGCAGCAAATAAAACATCCACCTTTTAAAAACCCTCATTCCTATTAATTCACTTTCCTCTTCCCTGGAGAAAAATGGCATGTAAATACACTCTGATCTTGATATTCCTCATTTCTTTGTTCAAAATCTTACCAAGGTAAATTGAGATGGTAGATTTTTACAAATTAAATCAAAACTCAGTAATAAATAATCGTGCTTCTTATTAACCAGAAAGGGCATAATAGGAGTAATGTGCCCAGAATAAAGGGTTTAGAGATTGACTTTGTTTTGCCTAAAGAATCGTTGTGAGAAAAACAGATTTTAATAAAACGTTTAAAAGTGAATCACTCAGGAGAGCTATAGACTTTTATCTACATTAAAAAGAACTAAACTGCTTCTAAGAAATACGTTATTTTAATTCTTAAGATGACTAAGCATTATTAGGCAGAAAAAAATTATAAAAATAAAATGTGAACTCTAATCATTGAAAACCTATGTGGCACTATTGATGTATAATATGGTTGTAAATAGTTCTTTGCAAGAGGGCACATCCTAATGTTAGCAACAACGAAACAATGATATAGGAATATTGATTTTTATTCATCTCAGCTCCTGCTTGGCACTGGGAAAAACATAAAAAATGATAAATATTATGTAATGTATAATATGGTCTGCAGGCAGGTGTCATCTTAAGGGGTAAGAGGGCTTTGGGACCACATATCCAGTGTAGAAGACAGTTAATAAGCAATGAATGCAATAGAAATACATAATATTATAAGTAGGATGACGGCTTGGAGCTGACTTGAGTAACTACGGGAGAATCTTGCTTCCTGACCCCATGCCAAGAGTTGGGTAAGCAGAGCCCTTCATTCTTAGGTCCTCTAGAAAACATAAAGATGGGAAGAGTTTTCTTCAGATATACTGTGAGAATCTCAAAGACTTTCAGATTATTAGACCTTATTTTCTTCCCTGGAGTGAATATGGGTATAATTTATTCACTGAACAATTTGTTGAGTTTTTCAGCATTAATTTATTAATACTAGTTCAGAAATATTTGCGTTCTACTTGGGGTCAGGTTCAGTAGTAACTAAAGCAATTTCTCAAGAAATTTCTAGCCTGGTTACAAACCATTAATGTAACCAGGGGATGAAATATGCCTCGGAAGAGCCAGAGTTTTACCTTGTGGTGGAAGATCATGCTCTGGAATTGGAGAGTATGGGGGCCAAGGGAAGGTCAGCCCCACCAAAGAAATTGAGAGTGTTCTAAAAAGAGGCAGCGTCTTCTGTGGGGAGCTAGGTTTCAGGCTTTTTGCTTCAGGGTCCTCAGGAGGAAAGCTTAGGAGGGAAGAGAGTAATATAGGTGGTTTTGGGAAGTTGAAAGACGTGGTGGGAAGGGAGAAAGGAAAGGCCTAGTGTGTGGTGCTGAATTTTGGGTGGTGACCAAGGGTGAACTAGGACAAAGAATAATTCCCAAAAGAATTGGTCCCAGAAATCCTCTAGGGAGAGATGAGGACTCAGTTTACTAGTAGTATGGATCACTAAATCATGATCCATAATTTAGAATAGTGAAAGAGGAAGAATAGCAAAGTTGATAATATGGTTGAGTGAATAATTTACTTTTAAGACTTTTTGGCCTCATCCTGCAGAGGGTCTGAAGATCATCTGGGCCAATAACTAGCCTAGATGACTAAAGAGCCTCACCCTAGAATCATGTTTCAAAAGGACTTAAAAGGGACCTATCCACCTCTTTTCTCCTCCCTCCTCCAAAAAGGAAAAGAAGTCTGAGCATTAAATGCTTTCCCCTCTTTGAACATATCTTAATATATTTTTTTCATTATTCTTACTTTATGTTCTGAAACATACACTCGAGGCCAGAATAAAGTCACTGAGATGGCAAAATAACGCTGATTTATTTCATGTGAGCTGTGGATGAAGCTAGGACTGTGTAGCCTGAGGAAATGAAGACTTAAGGGCATCACGTGGAAAAGAGTTAAATGTGTCTATTGCTGGACCTGTGGAAGAGAATGGGACACGTGGGGAGAGTTAGAGGAGGATAGGCTTCATATAAAGAAGGACATCCGGAGAAGTTGAGCTGCGTAGCTGTGCCATATGCCTTGTAAGCAGTAAGCTCCCTGTCTCCAGAACTTATTAGTTATTATTTTCTCTCTCTCCTAATTCTTTGCTTGTATGTTAGAAAGCATGAGATGGGAGTTTGAACTCGACCTCAGAGGCCCATCCTGACTAGAATCATAGTTTGCCAGTACATTTATTTATGGTATTTATAAGACCAAAGTAAATTGTATGTAAGTTGACACAATTTTAACTAAAATATTACATAGTAATCATATATTACTATGATATAGTAATATTACTATACATACACAGTAATATGATTATTATAATATAGTATCATAACAGTACATATGATTATATAGTAATCATATTACTGTGTAATATTTTAGTATTAAAATACTAATATTTTAATTAGTATAAAATATTAACATTAAAATATTTATAGTATGATTAATTATATGTTAATATTAAAATTTAATATTTAAATTGCACTGTGGTTCATTTAATTCATGTTACTAATGTTATCAAATACGTCACTAGCATTTATGAGACAGACACAAAATTTTAATGGAAATAAGCTGCTAATTTTAAAATCCTATGCATAAAGAAGCTGTAAGTCTAGTAAGTTTACATGTAGAAAACACTGTCATAAAAAAGGCTACTTAAAAACAACTAATGGAATTGCCTCGTCTCCTGTCTTGACCAGAGGAGTCTGGGAAGCTCTGGTGACCAAGTTTTTGAAGCAGCTTCAAAGTGATGATGAAGGATTTGGATCTGTGACATTTTTAGCTCGCATAACGAGTATTGATGTGACTGTGAAGAATCGTCTTCCTCTGCCTAACTTTGTTTTTTTTTGAGACAGAGTTTTGCTTTGTTGCCCAGGCTGGAGTGTAGTGGCAAAATCTCAGCTCACTGCAACCTCCACCTCCCGGGTTCAAGCAATTATCATGCCTCAGCCTCTTGAGTAGCTGGGATTACAGGCGCCCGCCACCACGCCTGGCTGATTTTTTGTATTTTAGTAGAGACAGGGTTTCACTATTTTGCCCAGGCTGATCTCAAACTTCTGAGCTCAGGCAATCCGCATGTCTTGGCCTCCCAAAGTGATAGGATTACAGGAATGAGCCACCGTGCCTGGCCGCTCTGCATAACTTTGATTCATCCTTGGGAAAACTAGCCCAAAGGGTTAAAGTATTATGAAAAAACCAAAAGTGCAACAGGAACGTCTTTTTCATTTTGATATGGTTTGTAACTTTATCATGAACTTACTATCCAGGAACTACGTAATATTTAGATACTGAGAATAAAACGTTCTCATTTTGTAAGGATAAAAGAAATATGTCTACTGCTAACAAACTACATTCTTACGATGGTGGTTGTAGATCTTTGGTAGCTGCCAAGTCCATGTTTAAAATGACCCTCATCTTGGGACCCTTCTGGGTGAAGCTGAAAAGTCTTAGACATCATTTATTTAATATATGTCCTACTACATTTATTTAATATATGTCCACTTAATAAATTGTTTATTCTTGATATGTTTCTCATCTGATCTGGAGAACAAGTGGATTTATGAAGAAATGGATAGAAGAGGAAAAGTTAGTGAATTGAAAGTCATCTGGGGAAAGGTTGAGGAGAGATACAGGTGTGTTGGGGAATGGGTGATGGAAACAAAATAGAGGTTGGTTAGAGGTTCTTGCTGATTCTTATTTCTAAGTTTGTTGTATCCAGTACACGAGACAGTGTGAAGTGATTAAAAGCAATGGCCCTTGAAATGGGAGTCAAATCCCAAATCTTAGCTTTACCACTTACTAGCCGTGGGACCAAGTTGAGTTATTTAGCCTCTCTAGGCTTCTACTCTGTAAAATGGAGTCATAATATGCCTCTATCTTAAGGTTGTTTTGGTGATACATTTAATAAGCTTAGTATCTTCCTAATACCCATTTGTTAGTAAAATTAACTATTATTATTATTGACATCCTTTTTTTTTTTTTTTTTGAGACAGAGTCTCACTCTGTCACCAGGCTGGAGTGCAGTGGCGCAATCTTGGCTCACCGCAATCTCCACCTCCCGGAATCAAGCAATTCTCCTGCCTTAGCCTCTTGAGTAGCTGGGATTACAGGCACACGCCACCACACCCAGCTAGTTTTTTGAATTTTTAGTAGAGATGGGGTTTCACCATGTTGGCCAGGATGGTCTCAATCTCCTGACCTTGTGATCCACCCGCCTCAGCCTCCCAAAGTGCTGGGATTACAGGCGTGAGCCACCGTGCCTGGCCTTGGCATCCATTTTATGTGTAAAATATCAGAACAATTCTGGGTGGTTAGAGTCATTGTGACTACAAGGCTGAGATATATAAAAGAACAATTCCTTATCCATGAATACAGTCTTTCTTTTTCTTTTTTTTTGAGACGGAGTCTCGCTCTGTCGCCCAGGCTGGAGTGCAGTGGTGCGATCTCGGCTCCCTGCAAGCTCCACCTCCCAGATTCATGCCATTCTCCTGCCTCAGCCTCCTGAGTAGCTGGGACTACAGGCGCCCGCCACCATGCCCAGCTAATTTTTTGTATTTTTTAGTAGAGACGGGGTTTTACCATGTTAGCCAGGATGGTCTCGATCTCCTGACCTTGGGATCCACCCGCCTTGGCCTCCCAAAGTGCTGGGATTACAGGCATGAGCCACTGCGCCCAGCCGAATACAGTCTTTCTAACTCTAGGCCGGGGTCCTGGTTTATTATGTGGCAGGGGTAGGAGCAGAGTTGGCCTAAGTTTTGGGCCTAGGGCCTCTGGTAGCCCAAAGCTACTGTAAAACTACATGTGGGCCAGGAATGAAGAGGTAGGAAAATAGTCTTATTCACCCCACTAGATTCTGTTCAGCATCTACTTGTCCTAGAATATATCACCAAATAATTCTAAAAGATGTATCTCCTGGCCTTTGTTGGTGGAGCAAACATCATTCCACTTAGGCAGATTAGGAAATTGAGTTACTGTGAGGTTTTGGTCTACCCAAAGCCATAGTTGGAAATAAAAGTAGTTTCCAAAAACAACACAGGCACTTATTATTATTTTCCCTCTCTCCTCCTAATTCTTCCCTGTCAGCATCTAAATTTAGCCATATACTAGCCCACAGTTTTTGTTACTGCCTAGAGTTAACAAGAATTAGGTTGACGGCATATTTAGAGATTTCAAATTTCTAAGACTCTTGAAACATCATAAAAGTATCTCCTGTCCCCGTCTCCCCATTTTAATTGCAAAAATATGGAAGTAGAGGTGGAGACTAAAAACGACAGAGTCAAGTATTTGGGGGTGGAAAGGTTTTGAAAAAATGACATTACCAAATCTGTTGACCACTCTTTAGTGCTTCACTTACCTGCTTCTCAGCAGCGTTTGACACCTGCGATGATTCTGTCTTGAAATGCTCTCTTCTTCAGGCTTCAGGGATACCCTGCTTTCAGTCTTACATTTTTTCCCACCAACTTCACTTATCTCACTGTTTCTTCTCACTCTGTAGGTTCTTCTTCCTCTGGTGATCCTGAAACGTTAGTGTGTGTCAGGATTTGGTCCTGTTTTCTCTTCTCTCTTTATTCTTGCTGGGCAGTCTAATTCATTCTTGTAGAAATTTTTCTTGGAAAATTATCCAAGAACCTACTGGATTTCTGCACCTGAATTATCCTTAAATACCTGCAACTGAACTGTCTAACCAGCTGTGACTATGTGAAGAACACCAGGATCAAAGTACCTGCTTTGTCACCTAAAGCACAGGACTCCTCAGTAGAGATAGATTGAAATAGAAACGTTCCTGGACTTCCCGATGAAGTTATGTCCTGACAAACCCATCATAAAGTTGAAAATTCATAAATCAAACCATTATGAGTCGGGGACTGACTGTATACTAAATGCAGAAAAAGAAAGAGAGAAAGAGACATACAAATGCACAATCGGACAGACATTGTTCCTGCCCCCACTCTGGTCAGTCTTGCTAATTCCACACAGATGTCTTTGCTGAGTGGATAAGTTCCAGTACAATTGCAGCAAAATAAAAGCTGAGGACATGTGGGTTTTTTTTTTTTTTCTACATTTAGTATGTTCTGTAGTCAAATGCCTGTTTTAAAAAAAATCTTTCAGAAGAAAGTGAAGGTGAAAAAAATAAAACAATCCTAATTTTAATTAGGAAATAACTTTAGCTACCTGAAATGTTGTCCACAAACTGATTTATTAATAGAAACAGTTACCACTTCCTTTGAATTTTCATTTTTATTATTTGAACTTTAAAAAAACATAGAAGGTTGCAAATTTTGATGAGCTTTTCTACTCGTTTTTATGTTTAGCTAATTTCTAACACAGAACACCATCTTCTCCCTGCTGGAGAAGATAGAAGACTCCAAAGCCAGCCAGCAGCAGGAGCCAGCGAGGCCTTGCTCACTACTTGGGTTGGAGGTGCAAGGAAGCACAGCTGGATGAAGGGTTTGTGGTGGCCTTTCCAGCCCAGGTGCAAAGTGCACACTTTGTCCTGCACCTCAGTCAAATGTAATCTCTCAGTGCTGACACCTCTCATTCTGCCTTTGATTCTTGAATCCTTATGATTGGGAGAAACATGGATTGTCTGGTAAAACAGTTTTTCCCGCTTATTATAGAAGTCTGTAAAATTTTTCTATTACATGTATATGAAAGTTTTTCTGTTAAAAATACCATGAAAGTAATACATTCTCATTATTGAAATCGTAGATGTCTATTAGAAATAAACAGCCAAATTTGCATAGCCTCAGATGATTACTATTAACATTTTGTTTTCCTTCCATTAGTTGTTCTATGCACAGATATTTATTGCCATTTCTGTTTACATGTACAATTCTATAGACTCCCTTTTTCTCTTTTCCAAATTGTAGATAACTGTTTCTTTCATTCAGTAACCACAGGATTGAATTATACCATAAGCCAGGTACTTTTCTAGATACTACCACAGAATCACTGCCTCTGGAAGCTTACATTCTACTCATGGGAGACAGGTAAAAACAAAGAACAAAAAAGAAGTGAAAGCTGCCCACAGTCGTATCACCCAGACATGATGATGGTTAACATTTGGTCTGTGCCCTTGCAGACTTTAAAAAATTGTTTTAAAAAGCTAGCATTCGTATAGTATTTTTTAAAAACAAAAATGTGATTAGACCATAGGTTTTCTTTTTTTGCTTCCCAAATGTAGACATGTTTCATGTCTTTTAAACCTCCGTATAATAATGGTTGCGTAGTATTATTCCAGATGATGGGTGTACTATTAATTTAAATATTTTCCTAAAGATTGGCAAACAGGTTATTATAGCTTTTTTCTCTATTAAACACAATTGTGTATCAGATATTCTTATATATAATCCTTTGGAGTTATTATGTGTTTCCTTTATTTATGCCCTAGAAGAGAAGTTGCCCTGTTTAAAAGGATATCCACAATTAAAATTTTAGTATTGTTTTGTTGTATTTTTATCTAATTTGGTCTTAAGGTCACTCCCTGGGCAGTGGCTGTAATTTCTAGCACTGCCCTCATGGGGCCCCAGTGGGGTGGTCGTGTGTGTTTACAGTGTGCCTTTCACTGGATACTTCTCTATCCTGAAGGGCAGCCTAATGCAAGTGACCAGTGACCAGGTGTCCCTCTCACAGAAGACTTACTTATACTGGCAGACACCTTGTGGCTCTTGTCTAACCTGTGTCCTGGGTCCATTTTATTCCTACCAAGATAACCACTCTCGAGGAGAGCCTTGATCAGGAGGAGAGTTAGGTTAATGTGTGTCAGTCAGGTGAGATACAGAGAAGACAGCATAACAAAACATGAAATAACAGAAGCAGTTTTATTACTTGCAGATCCTAGAGAGAAGAGAGCAGCACACCTCACAGAGCCAGTGAGAAGCGAAGAGCTATCCAGGGCACGCATGTTCAGTCAGTGTGTGGGGAGCAAGAAAGAAAGATGAACCAACCCATGGATCAAAGCCTTCATTAGGGTCCAGGCGGTTAACCATTACCCAAGCAGGTTTCCTGCAGGGAGTTCTAATTGCTGGGTTTAGAGCAAGCAGTTAGAGTTCAGTGGAGTCACTGCGGCGTATCTGGGCAGTCCATGCAGGGTATGGGGTCAGTGGAGCAAGACACGTAGGTAGGCTCTGTGGCTGTCCCATAGGTGGGTGGTCACCAGGAGGCAGTTGTAAAAGGCAGATATCTGGATTGACCACCTTGAGGAACTGGGAGGAGGCAGGGTCAAGGGTAGAAACTGTATCAAGCTTGAACAAGCTCCACTTCTGGTATGAGAAAGTCCAGTGTACATCCAAAATGGATGTTGAGGCAACATAAAATTATAAGAATTCACTACATGTTGCTACTCTGTCCTGCAAAAAAAGGCTTTTAATAGTTGATACTCTTGCCAGCAATATTTGAGAGCACCAATTTTGGTATGTCCTAGTACTGGATTTTTCAAAATGAAAATGTAATTTACATACTATAAAATCCACCCTTTAAAAATGTGCAATTTTGTGGTTTTTAGAATATTCACAAGATTGTGTAAACATCGCCACTATTTAATTTCAGAACATTTTCGTAACCCCCAATTTGTCTCTTTGAGTTCGTTTTTTGCTGAGCATTTCATATAAATGGAATTATACAATATGTGGCCTTTTGTGTCTGGCTGATTTCATTTAGCCTGTTTTCAAGGTCTATCCATGGTGTAGCATGTTTCAGTACTTCACTCCTTTTTTATTTTTTTATTTTTTATTTTTTTGAGACAGAGTCTCACTTTGTCACCTAGGCTGGAGTACAGTGGCGCGATCTCAGCTCACTGCAACCTCCGCCTCCCAAGTTCAAGCAATTCTCCTGCCTTAGCCTCCCAAGTAGCTGGGATTACAGGCGCATGCCACCCCACCTGGCTAATTTTTGTGTTCTTAGTAGATAGGGAGTTTCACCATGTTGGCCTGGCTGGTCTTGAACTCCTGACCTCATGTGATCCGCCCACCTTGGCCTCCCCTTTGCTGGGATTATAGGTGTGAGCCACTGCACCCAGCCCCACTTCACTCCTTTTTATGGCTGAATAATATGCCATTGTATGGACATACCACATTTTGTTTGCCTGTTCGTCTGTCGATGGATGGAGTTGCTTCCACCTTTTGGCTATTGTGAATAGTGCTGCTGTGAACATTTGTGTGTAAGTTTTTGTTTAAACACCTGTTTTCAATTCTGTGTATATGTGTGTGTGTGTGTATCTATGATGGAATTGCTGGATCATTTGCTAACTGTGTTTAACTTCTTGAAGGACTGTCACACTGTTAAGTGGCTTCACCATTTTATATTCCCACCAACAATGTATGAAAGTTTCAATTCCTCTGTATCCTTGCCAAAATTATTGTTGTCTTGTCTTTTTTATTATAGCCATCTTAGGTGGGTATAAAATAGTATCTCGTTGTGGCCTTGAATTTGGTTCTTTTTTATTATTGACTTGTAAGAATTCTTTATATATTCTAGACACTAGACCCTTATCTGATAAATGATTTGCAAATATTTTCTCCTATTCTGGGGATTTTCTTTATGCACTTCTTCCTCAGCGTCCATGGGGGATTGTTCTAACGCCTTACATGAATACCAAAATCTGAGGATGCTCAAGTCCCTTATTTAAAATGGTGTAGTATTTGTATATAACCCATACACATCTTCTCATACACTTTAAATCATCTCTAGGTTACTTACAAGACCTAACACAACACAAATGCTACATAAATAGTTGTTGTAGTATATTGTTTTTAAATATGTATTTTTATTGTTGTATTGTCATTTTTAATTGTTTGTTTGTTTTCAAATATTTTCAATCCTCGGTTGACTCCATAGATGCAGAACCCATGGATTTAGAGGGCCAACTGTACTTTCTTGATAATATTCTTTAAAGTGCAAAAGTTATTAATTTTGATAAGTGTATTAAAGTTTTAAATGAAAAATATTTAAATTCCTTAATTACTATATTTCACATAAAATATGCAACTTTTAGGAAAAGTTGGGGGAAGTCTAATAGTATTATATTATCACTTTATTTAATTTTTCTTTCAAAGAAAGAATCATCCTAAATTTGGGAGAGGGAAATGTCATCACAACTTGGAGAGTATCTTCCCTTTCAACCTTCACATCTCTATATATGCCTGTTTGCCATGCCAATATTTAAAGAAACTTGTAAATGGCCAGTAAATACTGTTTATATGAATAAGAGTGAAAGGCTCTCTCTCTATTCCTCAGGAGCTTGGATAGAGAACAGTACTAGCTTGGAAGCAGCTTATAGGCAATGATTGTCAGGTATCCATGTATGGATTCCTTACAGATAGAAATATATGTTTCCTGACCCAAAACAAAAAAATACAGTGAAATATGCTTAATTTTTTTTAACCTGATGTACTGAAATTTAATGGTTTTTGTTGCCTGAGTTTTAGCATATTATTTCAAGGCTTTCTGTTGAAAAGGTATAGAAATGGTTATAACTGATGAAGAAGATTCTGTAGCAGATACGCTCATTATTCTGGATGATTTTCTTAATTAGAATCTATTTTGACTTTCAAGTTCTTGAATAATTGTTAAAGGTTTGTCCATGGACCTCTGTTTGGAACCACTGCCCAGGGCCATAATTTTTTCATTAGTTCTTAGCTCCTTTTCAACTGACCTGATCCAGTTTATCTAGATTCAAGTCTTTAAGTGTCTTTTCCAGGAATATTGTGGATTGATAATTTTGAATCACAGAAACGAGTTTTTTACTAACAGTGCAGTTTATGAGCTAGCATTGTTGCATGTGTTACCAGTGGAACCTGTCCATTTCATTCCTGTTTTCCTAGATTCTTGTCTCTATTTAAACTGTTGTTATAATTTGTAAAATATTTTTGGCACCTTGTGGCCCATCATCTTCAACCTGTTCCTTTTAGGGCCAGTTTCAAAGTGGTAATTTAATGTCCTTGGTAGAAGCTGAAACAAAGCTTTTATTTCAGCTCTTTGCCTTTCCCTTGCTGACCTTGAGACACATGAAAGAAATTTTTTTGTCTTATATTTTTTAATCTTCAGCAAATATGTTTTCAAAGCTCCCAACAAGGTGCCTTAAAAATACAAACATTTCTGGTAGACTTTTCAATTATAATTTTATATATTTTATTACTAATATCTGCTTTTTCATCAAGAACTGCATGACCTTTCCCAAAGTGATTGCATATGCCATCACATTTAACTTTTATTTTTATTTTTAAGAGATTGAGTCTTGCTGTGTTGCCCAGGCTGGAGTGCAGTGGCACAATCATAGCCCGTTGTAACTTCAAACTACTGGGCTCAAGTGATCCTCCTGCCTCAGCCTCCTAAGTAGCTAGGACTACAGGTGTGCACCACCACTGCTGGCAAATGTTTTAAATTTTTTTTTTTGGTAGAGACAGGGTCTTGCTCTATTGCCCAGGCTGGTCTCTAACTCCTGACCTCAAGTGGTTCTCCCACCTCAGCCTCCCAAAGTGCTGGTATTACAGGTGTGAACCACCATGCCTGGCTGCATTTAACATTTCTAACCAAGTTCCATCATGCTGGTCTCATGGCCTAGCAATCATTGTAGTTCCCCAGGAGGTCATACAATGCTCAATGAATTGGGTGTGAGCTTTGGCCAGATGGAAAGTTCAAATCCAGGCTCCTGCACTCAGTAGCCATATAGCCTTGGGCATATCAATTAACATCACTAATCTTCCATTTCTCTGTATACAAAATTGGCATCTTCATATTGACCCTGTGGGATTGTTATAAAGATTACAGGTCATGAAACATGCCTTGCAGAAGCCCTAGTGTACCCATATGGCATGTTTTCAATAAATGTTAGCTGCAGCTCTTGCTATTGCCTAAGGATTGAATGCTCCCTTACTGCCACCTGCTTCTAGCTTCTTTGGGGACCCCTGTCCTTCAGAAAAGGGTCCTGGACATGAGATATGAGCTGAAAAGACAGGGTCTCACTCTGACCTTCAGAGAGCTGCCTCGGTGGGAGTAGATCTTTTATGTTATCTTTGAAAGCCTAAGAAACCTGTGACTCATCCTTTTTCAGTCTGTACACCCTTGCATGCTAAGCAAAAACTTGTTCCTTGAGGGCCAGGCATCCTTGGCACAGAATTCAAGAATCTTCCGAGGACAGCTCTGCACTTCACAGGAGCCAAGCTTTACCTGGATACCTGTCACCTCACTGCTGGATTTCTTCTTGCCTTGTATCCCATTAAAACAGTTTTTAAAATTGTGGTAAAAGCATATGATAGAAAATTTACCACCTTAACCATTTTTTTTGTATTTGATTTTAAATTCCTTTTATGTCCACTTATCTCCTCCTTTTCCAAAGCCATCTCAAGTGCTCAATCAGCAATGAGATCATCAAACTGAATTGTTTTCCTTTTATTTATTTATTTATTTATTTTTGAAAGTAGTGAGTCCTGTCAGAATGACCAATTCCCTTTGTATTTAGGCTTATGAGGCTGGACTGTATTGATATGATAAAGATCTGCCCCCCGCCCCCCCAAAAATCTTTCCTTTCTTTCATCTTTTTCTCCTGGGATTCTCAGTGTTATGTTTGGGAGCATTGGACTAGGGAAAGAAACTGGAAAAACAGAAGGGGGAATATGCAGCTGAATGTTACAGTCTCTGTAACTACCAGGGTGGGCCAGGAAGTCTGAGCACAGATTGGGTAACCAGCATACTGAAGGGAAACCATGCCACCTGGGCAACTGTCTGTGCCCTTTAGCACATGCCAGGCCTCTTGTTAAGAGAGCAGGTTCCTCACAAATGGTGCTGTTTCTAAGCCATCATGCAAAGATGATTGTAACTGTCTTCTTAGAAAGCCTGCTTGTCCCTCCCAGGCTCTTCTTAAGTTATTTCTTTGTTCCAGACCAAGGAGAAGGTGCTGTTCCTTGAAACTAACACCCACATTGTTACCGACTATCACCAACCTTAGCTGTGTTGTGAAGTTGTAAATATTTTTTGCAACACCAGACCTGAAAGAATGAGATATAACTTCTAAACCCAAAGGGATGTTTTCTTAAAAAGTGGTCACTTTGGGGGGCTGTACTTTTATTTGTTGGTGCTCAAAAACAGCTTTGCAACTTCCATTTTAGGGATGCCTTGAGCACCTGTGACACATCCTTTCTAATGGCATCTATCACCATAAAACTTCCTCCTATACAGGTAGTTTGGTTTTTGCAAGTGGCTAAAGGTTATTTGGTGCTCAGTCTGGTGGCTAGATTAGATGATCATACAGAACAGCACAATTTTTAGTTAAAATCAAAGGCCTACCTTTGAATGATCCTGATTTAGTATGCTAACAACACGTTGGCACAGCTCCACAAGTGTAAAGGCCGTGTATGTCCTGTTTGCCACTCTGTCTCCAAGGCCTAGCACAATAGGAACTAACAGAGAGTGGGAACTCAGTAAATATTTGTTGAGCAAATCCATGTATTCAAACTGGGTAACTCTCTTTGTCTGAAGCATGAATTGGAAGGGTAATATGCTTGTTTCTCTTTCTTTTACAGTTGTCAAATTTAAAAGTTTTGAATCACTCCCCAATGTCTGATGCCTCTGTCAATTTTGACTACAAATCTCCATCCCCATTTGACTGCAGCACTGATCAAGAAGAGAAAATTGAAGATGTTGCTAGTCACTGTCTGCCTCAGAAGGACCTGTATACTGCTGAAGAGGAAGCTGCTACCCTTTTTCCTAGGAAAATGACATCCCATAATGGGATGGAGGACAGTGGAGGAGGAGGTACTGGAGTGAAGAAGAAACGGAAGAAAAAGGAGCCAGGAGACCAAGAGGGTGCAGCAAAGGGAAGCAAGGACAGAGAGCCCAAGCCAAAGAGGAAACGAGAACCGAAAGAGCCAAAGGAACCCAGAAAGGCCAAGGAGCCGAAGAAGGCCAAGGAGCACAAGGAGCCGAAGCAAAAAGATGGGGCAAAGAAGGCACGGAAGCCCCGGGAGGCCTCGGGCACCAAGGAGGCCAAAGAGAAGAGGAGCTGCACTGACTCTGCAGCCAGGACGAAGTCCAGGAAGGCCAGGTACGTTCCTTTCTCCCTTCTCTGAGCACTTGCCTATGCCAGTGCAGAACGATTTGCCTTTGGCATTAGCCCAAGCCCCTAGGCATAACCCTGCTGCACTCCTGTGGGCCTAAGCTTCACATCTCACCTGTATAGGATGGGGAGCAGGGGTAACCCCTTGGTGCTAATGCAAGGGGCTGTCCTTGGAGGTTGCTGTTTTCTCATTGCATTTCTAAAGTCGTGGTATTTCAAAAACGACATTTGTGTTTTTAGGATACTCCCAAGAATTCCCCACCCCCTTCAGACCCCAACCATTCTTTTTGGTCTTAGTACTTAGCATTATTTAGTTGCTAGCTGTGTAGATGTACCCCCTATATCCCATGTTTATATGTTCTTTGTGTCTATATTAGCTTTCAGCCAAAAATGAACCACTTTTCTTACCTCCTAATGAGAGAAAGATAACCTTAATTAATACTGACCATGCAGTTTCTTGCCATTCCTTTTGGACTAAAAAGAATTAAAATGTTAACATGCACAGGGTGTAAGGGAAGTGACATCCCAGGTGTGATACAGGGGGCAGTGATTTTTGGAACAGCAGTCGTGTAGAGTGGCAGAGGAGCTGCTATGAGGAGGATGCACAGTCACGGGAATCAGTGGTGCAGGAAGCCTGAGAGAGCCGTCAGTATGCACAGATTTCCAGATAGATGAGGACTGACTAGGTTCCCCTAGGTTCCAAGCTCTGAGTGCAGGACCATTCCTGATCTGTTTATCTAGTTCATTGTCTAGCACAGTGCTTGACACATTGACAAGTGCTTAGGAAATGCTGAGTAAATGAGACCAGAGGAGACCATAATGACTTACAGAGAGACCAGAGTGCATAGGTACAGATTCACTGTATAGACCCTATCAAGACAGCAAATGCATTCCTTGTGCAGGGAATTCCGTATCTGTCATCATATGCAAATATTATATTTCTCATTTTGTTTCTAAATTCCTTGTGGAGAACTTTATATTTAGAATTTTGAGGAAACACCAAATACATGACTCCTATCTTAAGGAATTTACATGTCTAAAATCTAAGTGCAAGGGAAGGTTAATTATATTTATCTATGTATCTATTATTTTAGACCAAGAGCACTCATAAAAAAACACAGACTGATGTGGATACTAACAAAACATAAAGTAATGAGGCCATCACACCTGTGTTGGTCAGGCATGAAGGAGGTAATTTTAAGAATGCATTTTAAGTGGTGTGTGTTGCAACGTGGAGTTTACTATATGGTTCAGTTCTTTTTCAGAAGGACAGCTTGTTGGGACCAGATGGATAGTTTCTTAATCCAAATTAAAATTTTGCCTCATAATGTTCACTCCCTTCTGTCTGGCAGGGAATTTCATCTTTCATCTACCACAGAAACTTGGGTGGGATCTCAGGAATGTAGGTTACAGAAAATGCCCATAAAATACCTTACAGACGGCCAAGAGAGAGGTAGACAAAACTCAGGATTCTGCCTAACTAAAACCTTAACAGGATTTGTTTCTTAGTGAACCTAGTGAGCATACTCTAGTCTCCAGTGTGTGGATGGAGTAGCAGAGTGACTGTTCAGCCTCTGCAAATAATTTTCATTTCCAGATTACTTTGGAGGAACTGAAGTGGTACTTTGGGATAATAGCATATATAAAGAAGGAGGATCAGACATGAGCTAGTGTGGCAACTTTTTTTTATTATTATTACAGAGAATAATAAGGCATAAAGATTGTGTTTGAGAATTTAGGGTGATTAGAGGAGAGTTTTATAGCCCTAATAAGAAGTCTTGGTTTGTATCTAGAAGACATTAGAAAGCCATAGGTGTCTGAGCCCACTTAGCCACTGGTTTCTGATGTTTACAATTTTATCAACTCCTCCTTTTTTAAGGAATTCATGTTTACATTGTATGAGGTCTGAAACAAAGTGATGAGTATGCAAACATTGTCATAAATTCCATTTTGGGGGAATAAGGAGGCATTTAACAAAGTGTTGGATGCCAAATGTATAGGCAAAATCAGGATTCTGTCTAGTGAAAATGTACAGTCTTTGTTATATAAATGTAGCAATATTAACGCAACTTGATTTGATCTAATTAGGCTGTATGAAATATAAGTGAGTTGGAGAAGTGCTTGGCAGTGTTTTCAAAGGCTGCTAACTTAGAAGACAGCAGAACCTTTTGAGGTTTAGAAGTCCAAGAGACACCCTATTAGAGGAGGCTGACAGAAGTGATCATCTCTTTAAAAATGTGGACAAGTTACATGAGCTTTCTCTTTATTTTAGAGTTATATTACATTGATCTGTAACATAATAGAATTCTTCTATGTACTCCAGGGTTCTGGACTGGTTAGCCTTTGATTGCTTCTCTTTTATATCTTTGTAAAATTGTTTTGGTTCCTTTAATTAGTGATCCTACTGGTAGGCAGAAGCAATTTTACATATGAAGCATGTTAATTGATTTAAAAATACATGTATATATATACACACACATATGTATATATGCATATGTTAGTAATTAAGCCTTAGTTTTTTGTTCTCGTTGATTTACTCTTGCAGATTGGCTCAAGTACGTGTTTTGATTTGAGCAGGTATCGATTAGACCCTGGTAATACTTGATGGTTATAAATGACTCACTTAATGCTTGGATTAGCTCCGCAACTGATTTACGGGCTTCTGGCCTTTTCCTCCCTCAGTCCATCTTGCCAGCTGCCACCTGGCTAGTCTTTCTGAAGCCCTGCTGTTGGCCCCTTTATTTATGTTGGCAACAGTGGTGGTGGTGGTGGTAAATCAGATCGCCTTTTCTCCCTTTTCAATTCTAAATCAGTTGAGAAATAGTCAATAGAAATGGGCATTCGTTTATCAGCTCGGTTATTGGTAAACTGGATTGAAAAACATTTGTTAGCTTGTGGCCACCATCAGACTTGCTGTTACTCTCTCACTTGAGTTTATCTGCCAGCACTGCAGGCACTCGGAAGCAGAGGTGGTGGTGCTGGGCCATGTGTGCTCCATTCCTTCTTCCAGTCTTGCTATTTGGGTATTTCCCCAGTCGGGGAAGTGAGATAAGTTTGAAGAAGGGTGGAAAATATATTTCCAGTATTTTTCAGTCCTTGGGAATAAAATATGCTTTTCCTCATGAAAACATGGAGGCAGGGAAATAGGATTCCCTCAACAATTTATAACCGCTTAGAATCTTCTGATTGTTCCTGTTGCCCCCTGATTGCTCCTGTTGTCCCCTGATTGCTCCTGTTGCCTCCAGGACAAAATCCAGACTCCTTCCTCTGTTATTCAGACCCTCTGGGGTCTGACATCTCCCTCTCTTTCCATCTCTGGCGCTATACCTGGCCAACTCGATTAATCTCATTAGTTCTTAAAGGTCCTTGACCCACTTCTCCTTTGGATTGCTCTTGGTATTTCCCCAGCTCTTACCCTTCTCTCAGTATCCCAAGTCCTTTCCATTCTTCAGGTCTGAGTGCAAGTCTCAGTTCAGATATATATCAGAGTTCAGATATATATCAGAGTTTCCCCAAACCAGTGTACCTGTGTGTCCCCTCTGAACTTCCATAGCCCTGTTGTATTGCAGCCAGGGAAACGGAGACCCACAGAGAAGTGACTTGTCTAAGGTCATTCACAGATGTGTGTTATAATCTCAGGCCTGATTCCCAGTCTTGTATGTTTGCCTCTAAAACAGGCTACTTTTCCCGTCATTAATTGTGGTTTTCAGGTATGTGTGACTTGTTTTCCTCAACAAAAGTTAAGATATGTATATGTATATATACCAAGAATAAATGGATAGAGCTCTTCTCCTTGAAAATAAGACCTGTATAAGGTATCTTATAACTCCTATTGTTATATAACAGTAGGTAATATATCCATTTTATAATTGAATGAAAGTTCAAAAAGTTAAGTAACTTGTCCAAGGCACAAAACTAGTGAGCACCATTGTTGGGATTTGACTCCAGGTTCACCTGACTGTAAAACCGACTTTTCTCTCCATAGCCGTGTGTCTTTTATGTTTTGCTAAGGAAGATCAGAAATGGACGTGGGGAGATTTCAGTGTCAGAGAAGTTGGTTTTTATTTGTAGGAAATGGTCCCTCTTCTATAGAATTTCAGTTTGCATACTCCATGGTATCCTTTCAAGGACTAAAATGTCTTCAACTTTTTCCTTTGTTTGTGTTTGCATTTGAGAGGCAACAAGCAGATTATTGAACATGTCTGTTCTAAACAGGTGATAGGTAGAGTCTAGCAAATTTTCCTTTTCAAGGATGATATTAATAGTGATCAGTATTCATTTATTGCTTAAGAGATAAAAGCCTAAAATTCTTAAATAGGAGAAGTTTCAATTGAAACTAGTATTTATTCTTTTCCCTCCAAATTATTATTATTATTTTTTTTAGAGATGGGGTCTCCCCAATAGCTGGGATTACAGATATATATCACCAAACCTGGCTTAATTCTCTAAATTATTTTTGAGTATGAGTTTAGTTCATTCCTTTATTGTGTAAAACTTAAGCAAGAAAGAAAGCTCCTTCAGGAAGCCAAGTTAGGCTCTGTCATTTTCCTGACTCTGAAATTAAAATTTCATTTGGTATAACTCATATGTTTATACTATTTTTAAAATTATAGTGCCTTATTCCAGAGAGGATTGGAGCCACTTGCCTAAGAAGACATACACAGATGTACGTTTATGTGTATACATACAAACATATACACATACCTATGCATACATAGCTGTACATGGCTGGTATAGCTGGAGGAGGGGATCAGAAAGGCAGGGGTCAGGTCATGTAGGGTCATGAAATGTTAATAAGGGCTTTGGGAATATATTGTTCCCAAAATTGTTCATTATATTGAATATAATGTTTTGGCCTTAGAAAAGCAACATGCCAGTTTCTCAGAGAAGCTAAGTTTTTACCATTTGAGAAAGAAATTTCTTATTAGGGAACTGTTATAGTTCATTTTATGTTGCTATAACAGAATACACAGACTGGATAATGTATAATGAACAGAAATTTCTTTGGCTTACCATTCTGGAGACTGGGAAGTCCAACAGTATGGCACTGGAATCTGGGGAGGACCTGTGTGCAGCTCCTCATCCTGTGGCCAAAGGCAGAGAGAGGAGCAAGAGAGGATGAAATGTTAACGAGAGAGGGCTACTCTCAAGAGAATCCACTCCTGTGATAACAATATTCATCCATTCATGAGTCCAGAGCCACCTGACCTGATCTCCTCTTATTAGACCCCAACCCCCGACACTGCTGCATTGGACATGAGGTTTCCAACACAGGAATTTTGGGGGACAAATTCAGATTATAGCAAGAACTGTTATGCAGTAGATCTGTGCTCAACAACAGTTTTTGCATCTAATGCTTCTAAATGCCTGTGAATTTCATTTTTTTCTTCCTGAAATAGCCTTTAGTAAAAAGTCAGCTTCGTGGCATTAAGGCACAGCCGAGTGAGCAGGAAAGATGATCCATTTCAGTTGTGTATGAAGCCTTCTGATTCTTTTACTCTATATCCAGGGAGTGAGTATCTGAGGAGTAGGTCTGTAGCCAGCTCTTTAGGTTGCCCTTTCTCACATAGGGAGCCAAGCATTTTGACTGAGCTGAAGGTTGCTTCTTTTTTTTTTTGAGACAGGGTCTCGCTCTGTCGCCCAGGCTGGAGTGCAGTGGTGTGATCTCGGCTCACTGCAATCTCCACCTCCCGGGTTCAAGCAGTTCTGCTTCAGCCTCCCGAGTAGCTGGGACACCACACCCAGTTTATTTTTTGTATTTTTAGTAGAGACGGGGTTTTGCTATGTTGGCCGGGCTGGTCTTGAACTCCTGTCCTCAAGTGATTTGCTTGCCTGGCCTCTTAAAGTGCTGGGATTACAGGCATGAGCCATGGTGCCCAGCCTGAATGTTGCTTTTAAAAGCTAGGGTCTTGAGTTTTGGTGTTCATGTTGTTGGTGAGGGCAGAGGATGAGCTTTGGAATTTCCACACATATGAGAATGGTTCATATTCTTTCTTGCAAGTCAAGAAATTAGTCAATGTGCTGGCCCAAGTGGAGGTCTATCTACCTGGATCTCTGGTCCTCAGACTTTGCTGTGCCTAGGGAACTACCTGGACAGCTTGTTAGAAAAGTGGATTCCCCAGAGAGAATGATTAGGTCTGGGGTGGAACCCAGGAATTTGCAGTTCAAAATTCTCCCAGGTAATTAGAGTGTGGCTGATTCTTAGATTATCCTTTGAGAAACATGTTTCCCAGGTGAAAGATCACAGGAAAAGTGGAGCCTGTGTAAGTTTTTATATGTAACGTCTGCTAGGAATGAAAAAGCAAAAAGAGGAAAAGAAGTGGTTGGTGTGATCAGCCCCAGTTTCAGTTTTTCATCCCCATTTGTTTGGTTTGTCAGCCCAGAGCAGATTTTTCTCCCAAATCCAGCATTTTACCTTTTTTCGCTTTCATCTGTGATGATTGCTTCTGCGAAGTGTTAAACCCCAGGCCTTCTGATTATATAACCATTTGAGCTGCCTGATTGCCGCTGAGTCAGCTGATAACTGTGTGGTGCAGGAAGAGTAGTAGAACTCAACTACCTTTCCTCCTCACAAGAGCTGGTGGCTCTTTCTCATTTATTTGAAGGTCAATCAGCTATCTGTTTAGAGAGATCTTTATTGAGGCTAATTTCAGGTTCAAGAGATTACATTAGTGGGGTTCTTTCTGTTGGGAGACTTGTTTTTACATTGTGACCATTTATTAGAATAAAGAAGACATAACGGTGTGTATGAGTCCTCAGTAGAGACCCTGAGCTTGGAACCCATTGGACTTCATGTTAACCAGGGAAGAAATCTAAATGGTAATGTCAGAGACCCACCTTGGAAGCTTTGCACTAAGTCTTTATTTCTGGGGTTTTTGTTTTTTTTTTTAAGAGCATCAGAAGTGCTTACTCTGTGGCCTGGTGCATAGTAGACCTTTACCAAATCTGTAAGGAAAGAGTTACTAAATAATAATGCTTGATAAATGCCTACTCATTTATCCAGTATATTTTTATTGCCTCTTCTGTGTCTTGCTTTATGAGTTTTTTTATAGGGAAAGGAAGCAAAGTGTCACAGAAGTATCTATGAGACTAGTCATTGAGGTACTTTTATGAATTTGAGGTGCTTTTCACAAGAAGCAACCTTGACAAGTGTTCAAGACACAGGCAAAAATATAAACAAATGAAAAACCTGATATAACTGCATACAGAGTAGCTGAAAGGATTTAGAAGGTAAAGAGTATGTCATTTCTGGTCTGGGGAGTCCCTTGGAAGAGATGAGTATTGATCCAGTTATTAAAGAAATTAATAGATGAGAAAAGGCTTAAAGCAAAAAGACCAAAAGACATTTAAACAAATGTTCTTTTTAGGGGCTTCCAGATTTTAAGATGGTACACGCAGCCTGCTTTCATTTTCACTTCTTATCCAAATCTTACTGAAATGATAGGAAGAACAGAGGGGAAGAAATATTTCACAGATGAGAGCTATTACTGAATTTCTGGACAAAGAAGTCCAGTGGGATCATACTGGTGGATAAATGGTGTGGAGGGAGTCCTAGCTCAGAGCTCAGGCAGGCGCTGTGTTTGCAGCAAACATAGAGGTGTTTCCTCCTTGCAATGGAGCAGGCAGCTCTGGAGGAGGGATTGGAGGCAGGCCAGAAGCGGAGGTGGCTGATTAAGGGACTGTCTGCAGAATGGCTGTGTGGTTTGTCAGCTCCAGGATGAACTCAGGCAATTACTCTAAGGATATTGGGCAGTTTGCCCTGGGGAAGGGGCTAGGGCTCCATATAAGGAATGACACCCACAGGAAGGGGGCACAGGGCACTAACTTCTCTGCCCTTCCCTGCCCATACCCTAAAAAGTGGAGGGAGGGACAGCCACTTGACAAGTCTTGCCATGTGTACGGTGTCCTAGGCCAGGCTTCCTATTCAGGGGCGAGGCTTGTAGAGAAAGCAGTTTACTCGGCAGCAGAGGAGAGCCTCACCAGGCACCTGTATTACCAGCCTAGTTGATTTTCAATAGGAAATCAGTCTACTGAAGACCCCAAGACCGTAGAGGAAAACGAGCAGCATAAAGCAGGAAAAGGAAGAAAGAAAAGAACAACTGTCATCAGAAGAAATAATTCAAGGAAAAGAATGAACACATTTTAAATTAGCATCCTCAGATTGAGGTTATTTTGTCTGCAACACAAGAATGGGTCATGACAGAGGAGCAATCAGAAAAGCAAAGAATTAATGAAAATTTAAAGTGTGGTTGCCTCCACTAAGAGAGTTCAACGAAAATACTGAGTAGGGACAGCAACAGGGGAGGTATATGAGATCTGAATTCATCAACTTTCCTATCAGGATGTCAGTAGCCATTGCTTAATGTTGATAAATAATGAACTAGAAGCATGAGCGTATTTGGGGTTAGAGAGGCATCAGTCAAAAGTGATCCTCTCTGGGGATTTGGTGTACTGAGGATGGGTTATACTTTTTATTTGAAACTCTTCTATACTTTCTGAATTTTTATTTTCAGTTACTTTTATTACTTTTGATAGGACTACTTGGTAAAACTCTGCTTTTTCATCTTAAGAGGAAGTAATCTTTTTGTTTCCTTTTTACTAGGACAATATCACAAACCTCTCTAATCTCCATTTTGAAGGTGTTGATGATACGGTTAAAGGGACTGACAGGGCAGATTTAGTTCACAGTTTATCTACAGCAGATTATATCTGTACCAAAATAATTAGGGTCTTTTTATATTTTTTCTTTTAACTAGTATCTTTAAAAAATCAATACCAACTCAGTTTTCTATGTAGACTCAGTTAATACCGGTATTATGGAAAAGCTGAATCAAGTGTGCAAATGAGCTTTTTCAAGGTGATATCCATGTTTTCAGTATTGTACTCCTGGGAAGAAGATCAAAGCCTATAGGAAGGTCAGTGCTGGAAGCTTCTCTGAAGCATTGTTGCTGGAGTGGAGTAGTGGTTCCTGGACTGGACTTCTGAGACTCTACATGTCTTTGGAGGCAGTCATTGGGATCATGAGCTATTTTCGGTGGCTGTAGTAGTAACGCATTCTTTCCGTAAGGCTCTGATGGATATTTTATAAGGTTTTAATTTTAAAATGAGAAGATGAATCATTTTGAATTAATGCATCTTAGTAGATAAGAGCTTTCAATACCTGGAGTCCACGGGGACAGAGCCATAAAAGATTCATAGTAGTACGATGTCGTGACATGTACCCATATCTTTCCTCGTACTCAGATTCAGCACTCACTTCCTAACTCTCAGTTCTAGCAAAGAAACCTGGAGGTTAGAAACTGGAGATATGCTTGAAGAGAAAGTTTGAGAAATCCTAGTGCTTTCATATGATAATGAAATTTCCTATTTGGAAAGCAAAAAAAAAAACAAAAAACAAAAAACACGTTTTTTCTAGGACAAACTACAGAAAGTAAAGATGCACAAAATCTTCTTGGCTGATGAAGCCATGTGGAAGACAGGATAAAAGCTTTGATGGTTATAACTAATAGTTGTCCTACATGTATGATATAACTGATTGGGAGTTTCTTGCATGTCATAAATGCATAGTAGGTACTTTCTTTAAAGTGGAGATATGTTTGATTGTAAAATCAAGTTTTAATAAAAAATAGTTACTTTGACTCTCAAAAATGTTATTTCTTCCTTTTTTTCCTTGCAAGTTAGTTTGTTCTAACTCTGAAAGCTATTAATAAAAAAGAGGATTATAGAAATAAGATTGCTTTGATTCAAGCTCCTGTGCCATTAATTGGTGGGAGTATTAGGCCTTTGTATTATTCAGAACTCTCTTGGTTACAAGTAACATAAACCCAATCAAATTAGCTTAAGTTAGAAAAAAATGATGATGAGGTTCACTGGCTTAAGGAATCAGAACCAGGAAGTTTAGTTGAGACCAAGGCAGTTTGTCTTCAGTGACCCCCTGTGCCTGTCTGGGTGCCACTCCATTCTTTGCAAATGCATTCCTCTCAAGGCTGGAATCATGGCTGCCCATAGCTGTGGGCTTACAGCTTAACAACTTCATGACCTAGGAAGAAAGATTCATTTTCCTACCCACTCCTGCATATATATATATATTTTAAAGGAAGGACTCCCAGATTAGTCTGGCTGGGTCATGTGTCCATCCTGGACCAATCACCATGGTAAAAAGAATAGGGTACGATAGCCCAGTCTGACCTTCTGCCAGAGCTCTTTTATAGTCTAGGAATCAGTATTGGTTGTCAGAAGAAAAGATGCCAAACACAGTATCCACTTCTGCAGTGGAATAGACGTATGTCAAGATAAATTATTTTTTAAAGTGTATATATGTATATATACTTATATTATAAACTTATTTCAATAAATATCTATTTATGTATGTGTGTGTGCGCGCACGCGTGCGCGCATGTTTCCTGAACCAGTTGCAAACAAGTTACGTATGTCAGGCCTTTTTGTCCCTAAATACATCAGTGTGTCTTTCCTAAGTTCTTATTCTTCTGTAACCATTGTCTAGTTATTCTTTTCGTTCCCTTATAACTAATAAGTAATCTGCAGGGAGACATTTTAAGATCATGCAAATATCCTGCTTCTCTTCACATCTTTCTCCCAAGATTTAGCATCCCTTGATGATTCTGCACCATGCGCATCTTTTCTACGTTGGTTACAAAATGGGTTTTTTTGGTTTGTTATTTTGTTTTTTTTGAGACAGGGTCTTGCTCTGTCACCCAGGCTGGTGTGCAGTGGCACAATCATGACTGACTACAGCCTCAACCATCTGGGCTCAATCAATCCTCCCATCTCAGCCTCCCAAGTACCTGGGACTACAGGCATGCACCATCATGTGTGGCTGATTTTTTTTCCCGATTTTTTTGTAGAGATGGGGTTTCACTATGCTGCCAGTCTGGTCTCAAACTTCTGACCTCAAGCCATCCTCCTGCCCCAGCCTACCAAAGTGCTGATATTACAGGCGTGAGCCACTGCACCCAGCCTCAAAATTATTTTCTAACTACCACTTCCTTTACAGTTACCATTTGTATTTTGTAGTAAACAAGAGCTCCCCCTTATCCCTTATTCATTATTTATGTATGTCTCATTGGTATGGATTCCTATTGTTTTCAGTGACTTATAATTCTTTACTGTCCTCAATTACTTTGGTGTTCAGATGGTCTCAGTTTTGGGCAACGAAAGCTCTTCAAGCTAACTTATTTGTCATTTTGACATGCCATGTTTATTTTTCTAAACACCCTCTTACTTTCTGACATAGCAGGATGTTTCGGGCTCATCGTCTGTCTTCCCTGCTTTAGCTTTGGAATCAGCCATTTCTGTGAGGAGCTTCAGTGTTAAACACCAAGATCTGAGTGTTAGGTGTACTCATTGCTGATAGGGCATCTTTGCTCTTAGGCCCTTTCTGTTGTCAAAACTAGGGGGAAAATACATACAAACGCGCACATATGAATATATGTACACACATATATACATATATCTACACACATATTATATGTGTATATATACACATGCACATATACATGCTTGTGTTCATACATGTTATAGAAGTCATGAGTTCAACTGATGATGCCTGCAGTTGAGATTCATCTGACAGTATCTCCCTTGCCTTATAGCATTTCATATTTGCCAGTTCCCAACATCAATACGTTCACTCGTTTGCTTAATCCTATGCCACATCTGAAATAGTTTCAGAGTCACTTCACCATTTAACTACCAAGAAAAAAAATTTCAGAATTGGTTTGCTATACTTTCCCCTTCCCCCAGAAGTGGAGAATATGTAGTCAAATGCTGTGTTAATCAATTAATGGAAGGGGTTTTATTCTCTGTGAGGTGTAGTTATACTACTTGTTTTAAACATACATGGATTCAGTTGTTTCAGCTTGTTTTCATCTTTAGTTTTTTATGTTTTAATATGTAGAACTTTAACAGATTTCCTAAAGGCAGATCTGTGTACAGAGGTATACTCAGAGAAGTGTCACTCCCTCCTGTATCCCTGCTACTGTTCTCTCCCCTACCCCTTGCAGGTAGATAGACATTGTGGGGTTTTTTGTTTACCCTTCCTCTGTTTCTTTTTGTATTAATAGATGTGTACATGCTTTTTTATTTTCCCTTTATTCTTACACAAAAGGTAGCATATTATACTCTTTTAACACTGCCTTTTTCACTTAAATATCTTTAGAAATCATTGCCTATCAGTTTGTAGAATTTTTTTTTAATTATTATTATACTTTAAGTTTTAGGGTACGTGTGCAGAACATGCAGGTTAGTTACATATGTATACATGTGCCATGTTGGTGTGCTGCATCCATTAACTTGTCATTTAACATTAGTTATATCTCCTAATGCTATCCCTCCCCCCTCCCCCGACCCCACAACAGGCCCCGGTGTGTGATGTTCCCCTTCCTGTGTCCATGTGTTCTCATTGTTCAGTTCCCACCTATGAGTGAGAACATGCGGTGTTTGGTTTTTTGTCCTTGTGATAGTTTGCTGAGAATGATGGTTTCCAGCTTCATCCATGTCCCTACAAAGAACATGAACTCATCATTTTTTATGGCTGCATAGTATTCCATGGTGTATATGTGCCACATTTTCTTAATCCAGTCTATCATTGTTGGACATTTGGGTTGGTTCCAAGTCTTTGCTATTGTGAATAGTGCCGCAGTAACATACGTGTGCATGTGTCTTTATAGCAGCATGATTTATAATCCTTTGGATATATACCCAGTAATGGGATTGCTGGGTCAAATGGTATTTCTACTTCTAGATCCCTGAGGAATCACCACACTGACTTCCACAATGGTTGAACTAGTTTACAGTCCCACCAACAGTGTAAAAGTGTTCCTATTTCTCCACATCCTCTCCAGCACCTGTTGTTTCCTGACTTTTTAATGATCACCATTCTAACTGGTGTGAGATGATATCTCATTGTGGTTTTGATTTGCGTTTCTCTCATGGCCAGTGATGATGAGCATTTTTTCATGTGTCTTTTGGCGGCATAAATGTCTTCTTTCGAGAAATGTCTGTTCATATCCTTCACCCATTTTTTGATGGGGTTGTTTTTTTCTTACAAATTTGTTTTGAGCTCGTTGCTGATTCTGGATATTAGCCCTTTGTCAGATGAGTAGATTGCAAGAATTTTCTCCCATTCTGTAGGTTGCCTGTTCACTCTGATGGTAGTTTTTTTGCTGTGCAGAAGCTCTTTAGTTTAATTAGATCCCATTTGTCAATTTTGGCTTTTGTTGCCATTGCTTTTGGTGTTTTAGTCATGAAGTCCTTGCCCATGCCTGTGTCCTGAATGGTATTGCCTAGATTTTCTTCTAGGGTTTTTATGGTTTTAGGTCTAACATTTAAGTCTTTAATCCATCTTGGATTAATTTTGTATAAGGTGTAAGGAAGGGATCCAGTTTCAGCTTTCTACATATGGCTAGCCAGTTTTCCCAGCACCATTTATTAAATAGGGAATTGTTTCCTGCAGTTTGTAGAATTCTTTCTTAATTGTTTTTATAGCTGTCTAGTATTACATTGTATATATCCTAATTTATTCAGTCATTTATGTTTAGATAGGTAGTTTTCATTATTTTACAATTACCAAAAAATGTTGTAATAAATAACCTCATGAATATGTGTTTTTATATCGTGTGATATATCTTTAGATTACATTCCTGTAAGTAGATTGCTGAGTCAAAGATTATTTGCATATGTAGTTTTGTTAGATCCTGTTTATCCACTTTGTTTTTGTTTGTTTGTTTGTTTGTTTTTGAGACAGGGTCTGACTCTGACAGTCAGGTTGGAGTGCAGTGGCATGATCTGTGCTCACTGCAACCTCTGCCTTCCAGGCTCAAACAATTCTCCCACCTCAGCCTCCCAAGTAGCGGGGACCACAGGCCTGCGCCACCATGCCCGGCTAATTTTTGTATTTTTTTGTAGAGACGGGGTTTCGCCATATTGCCCAGGCTGGTCTTGAACTCCTGAGCTCAAGCAGTCTGCCTGCCTGGGCCTCCCAAAGTGCTGGGATTACAGTCATGAGCCACCACACCTGGCCTATCCATTATTTTTGAAGAACCTGGAACTTCAAGGAGCAAACAAATATTCATGGGCCAAATCATCTATAGGTATAGCAGTTTGGAGATTGAAATGTCTTCAGTTGATAAAACTCTCAAGCATAAGGTTTTTAAAACTTTTTCCAAAGAGCAGAAATATATACCTTATCTGGTCTTTTTAGAGGATGAATTCAGATGGTATTTTCTTAATATCCTATTTGAAGATCCCACTTGTAAGCTTTCAGGGAATCTTTTCTTCCTGAAACTTGACTTTATCAGAAGAGCTCCAGAAAGAATTTTTGGAACTTAAAATGGCTTGTCTTGCCAAAGGTAACCTCCAAAAAATCACTTTGAAGATTTCCCAAGTAGAGTATCTTCTTCTTTACCTGCAAATAAGGGAGCACGTTTCTGCCGGTATTTTCCTATTTTACTGACAAATATTTGAGAAAGTATTTCCAGGCTACCTAACCCCCAGCTTCTGTCTGGGAAAATCTAGTAGCGCCTCAGGCTTGACTTGGAAAGTGCTTCACCATGATTCCCCCCTCCTTTCAACATTTAACATGTTGCTCAAAATGCACACAAGTCTCCTAGTGAAGTGTCATATTTTGAGGAAGTTCTATTCCTTAGTTATGATTTGGGCTTGGTTTAGCTTTGAGTATGATGTTCCACAGTGAAGCACATGATTCTAGCATGTGGGCACGCGCGCACGCACACACACATATACACACAATAAATATTTAAAATGAAGGTTAAACATATACAGACAGTGTTCTAATATAATGAAGTTACGTTTAGTAAGTAGATGAAATTGATTTCAAATGCTGGAAAGAAAGATTTAAGATTGTACAGAAGATTCAGAGGCCACTGAGCATGTGATTATTAGGGTGACTTTTGGGATATTGTAAGCTTTCTTTAAATTTGTGTCAAAGAAACCTTTTTCTAAGAGAGCTATAAAAAACTATCAACATCTATGAATTTGTGAATTTTATATATTTGGGTCATTGGAATGTTGCTGATTTTTTAAACCATTATTTTGAGATTCAAATAACATTAAAGGATATTTGAAGTTTTTACATTTACTAAAAGGGAGACTGGGATTTTAGAAAAAAAGAGGCAAAATACATGACTTGGTATGAAAAAGTAATACCCTGTGACTCAGCTGACCTGAGCGTAAGCCTCTGCCCTGCTGCTGACTTTGGGGCATTTGCTGCTTTTAAATCTCAGTTTTCCTCATCTGGAATATGGGGATTATTTGTCCTGGCTCCCTCATGGGATTGGGATGAGACATGGAATTCATAAGTACTTTGTAGAATGTAATTTGCTATGCAGTTTTCTTAATGAGGAGCCACATAACATGAGATAAAGACTCATGTGAAAATTTAGCATCTTTTAAAACTGTTTTACCTGAGTCTCCTCTTCTGAACTGATAAGAAAAGGAAGAACTTTTGCTTTTTCCCCTGCTTAAGGGTACAAGTCCCTTGTTAAAAATCGGTAATCCTCAAAAATGGCATGACCCCTAGAGTTTCAGTTCTTTAGGTTGGATCAAAATAGTTTTGTTTTGTTTTTTTAACTTTTAAGTTCAGAGGTACAAATGCAGGTTTGTTACATAAGTAAACTTATGTCATGGTGGTTGGTTGTATAGATTATTTCATCCCCCAGGTATTAAGCCTAGTATCCATTAGTTATTTTTCCTGATCCTCTACCTGCTCCCATCCTCCACCCTCCAAAAGGCCCTAGTGTGTGTCATTCCCCTCTATGTGTCCATATATTCTCATCATTTAGCTCCCACTTGTAAGTGAGAACATGCAGTATTTGGTTTTCTGTTCCTGTGTTAGTTTGCAAATAGCTTTCATCATGAACTTTCCTGGTAGGTAGGCAAGCCCGTCTCCAGCCTGGGGAATAGAAGCTGGGCAGAGTTTGTGCTGACCTGGTTAGGGACATATGAAGGGTGACGGGTGTTCAAGAGGGAAGCAGGCAGATTGAGCGATCAGCACTGGCTGGTTCGTGTGCTTGATCACCCCTCTGAGCCAGGTCATCCAGTTTCCTTCTCTTCCCCAAACTTTCTACTAACTCTCCTGATGGGAAGTACCAGTGTTGGCTCTTCTTGTTCCCCACTTTCTGTCACTTGCCGAGACTTCCTGGTTCTACTCCTGCTGGGCCTTTCAAAGCATTTCCACCCTTGAAAGGCTTCATTCCCTCTTTCCTGGACCTGCTTTCATGGCCCTTTTCACGCAGAATGAAGTCTAAACTTCCTGGCCTGGTGCACCCTTGATTTTTCCTTTGAGCTCCATCACATAGTGCTTCTGTTCACTTGCCCTGTTATCCAGACACAGAGCCAGCTATCTTTTACTAAATGTATCCAAAACACTGTTCTATTCCCCAAGAATGCTATGATCAAGAGCACAGACTCCACTCGGGTTCACATCTTGTCTCTGCCATTTACTAACCCTGTTGCCCTGGAAATCTAACTTAACCTCGCCATGCCTCAGATTCCTCAAGATAAAATGAGAATAAGAATACCATCTGCTGGCCAGGTGTGGTGGCTCACACCTGTAATCTCAGCACTCTGGAAGGCTGAGGCAGGCAGATCATTTGAGGTCAGGAGTTTTAGACCAGCCTGGCCAACATGATGAAACCCCATCTCTACTAAAAATACTGAAAACAAACAAAAACAATTAGCCATGCGTGGTGACGGACACCTGTAATCCCAGCTACAGGGGAGACTGAGGCAGGAGAATTAAACGTGGGAGGTAGAGGTTGCAGTGAGCCAAGATCACGCCACTGCACCCCATCCTGGGCAACAGCGCGAGACTCCGTCTAAAAAAAAAAAAAATTACCATCTGCTTTACAGGGCTGTTGTGAAGAGCAAAGGCAATAATTCATGTAAAAGAATGTGCCTGCATATAGTAATTATTATATAAAGTATTAGCTGCAATCATTAGTTATTGTTATTCCTACTACTGTCTGTCAGAATTATGTTTTTATATGTGCACATATATGTATCTCTGCTCAAATGCATGTTCTCAAATCTCCCCATTCACAGTTAATCATAGCCATTCATTAATGCATCCATCTATCCATTGCTTAAAAAGCAGTTTTAAGGCTTGCTTAAATATTAATTGAATACTTACTATGCATAAAGCATAAGACTACTCACTCTGAGGAATACAAAACATAGTCAAGCACATACTGCCCTCTAGGAACTTCGAGTCTGATAAGAGAGATCAGAGAAGCATAAAATACTCATTTATCCAGGATAGCAAATGTTTATTGAGCAACTGTAGAGGATCCAGGCACTGTATTTAGTTATGTGAATTCTGAGCCTCATATTGTAGTTAACAACTAATTCTGGTGAAAGGTCGTTTAAGCAAAGTATAGTTGGAAGTGCTTTGGGAGTGTAGGAAAGAGATTTTACCAGCTAGGAAGGCCAGGAAAGGCCTTTTAGAGAAAATGTTGCCATCTTAGCAGGGCCTTGCAGGGTGGATGGACTTGGCCCATCTCTACCTCTCTGAGGAAGCATTCATGTACTGCCTTGGGCTGTGGTTGTAGGTGAACTGTAGGATTTTCATAATTGTAAGCTTGTCAAGGGCAGAGGCAGTGTTCTCTTCATTTTTGAGTGCCTAGTGTTCACTCCAGGTCCAGCGTGTACTCAATAGAGGTTGGTGACAGATTAGGGAGATGTCTCTTCCTAAGAAACTTAAAGGGAGATTGTAATTTGATGATTCTTAGTATCTGTGAAGCAGTTGAACTTCCTAGAGAAGACATTTGTATAAACTGAAAGTGAAGTTTTTGGAGATGTTCATATTATTTCTTACATATTAATTGTAGCTATAATAGTCATGATGGGGTGTAATAAAGTGAATTCTGCATTGATCCATGTAGATATTTCCATGTTTCTGTTTATTTCTTGGAAGAAACTCTTGTAGATTCCCCATTAAAGCCTGCCCTGGTCCTAGAATTCCAGGATGTGATTTCATGACGTTGATCACATGAGAAATCTTAGTTTTAAAAACTGCCCAACAGTTTTAATTCTGAATTTCTCCTTGTAGCAAGGAGCAAGGACCAACCCCAGTGGAGAAAAAGAAGAAAGGAAAAAGGAAAAGTGAAACTACAGTGGAGAGTTTAGAGCTGGATCAGGGCCTGACGAACCCATCTCTGCGGAGTCCTGAGGAGTCCACTGAGTCTACAGACAGCCAGGTACAGCTGTGACCGGGAGGCCTGGTGGAGATTACGGCTCCTGGATGGGATCTGGCTGACACTGATCGTGTTGCTCCTCTATGCCTTTCTCTAGCACACTCCCTAGCCCTGGGCTGGGCTTTTACCGTTTTGGTGGGTGAGCAGGTAGACTGTAGTCTTTTGCCCTAGCCCGATCAGTATACTAATGATATCCCAGTTTTTTAGTGGTATTTGCCTCATTCCTGGAAGGTAGCAGGATATTAGGCTGCAGAGGGAGTTGATGTGGAAAATGAAGTTGTGAGCCAAGCTAGGTAAGGCCTCTTTTGCCATACAGGTAATGCATTTAGTGCTCAGAGTGCCAGGCCAGCCCGTACAGGGATATTTTCATAATCCCAGATGCTGGGAAAGTCAGAAATGTATCCATTATGCCAACAAGTAAGGAAGGTTTGGCCAAACTTGGAAACAAGGAGTTGCCCATCTAAACCAGATTCCTGAAAATATACCAAAATGTGCCCGTGACAGTGTTAGGGATTTTCTGAGTTGAGAACCTCTCTTGAGCATGAAGTCTAATATTTGAAAGTGCTTTGTTTCCTCTGATATTCTTAGCAATTTATCTGAGCCACTCTGCTGCAAGGCTCATTTAGAATAAGACTGACGTACTATACCTTCCAGGATCATCTGGACCTTCATGGGTTTCTCACTGCTCTTCCCTGTAGGAAAATGACAGCTAGTAATGTCATAGTATTAATAAGCAGCAGTGTCTGGTGTCAGAGCAGACTCCTCACTGCCTATAAACTGGGGCTGGTGGCTGTTAAGTGTCTAGATTGGCAGAGGAGCCAAGCACGTTGAGTTGATGGGATTTGGCAGGGAATTAGGTGTTTGTAGAATGGTGATCTGTATGTGGTGTTGGGGAGAGGTTTTTATGTGGAATCCCTCATATAAAGTAAAACATCATAGAGGTAACTTAGTGAAGAAGTGATAGGAACAGAAGAGAGACACTCAGGAGGTATCTTTTAGAAGAAAAGAGAGGTGGGATTTTGCTTTTGCTTTTGTTTTTTAAGATTTAAATATTTGAGAGTGAGCTGGCTGATAAATGGTTCCCTGAAGTGATTCTACTGTTGAGATATGATTAGTATGTAGAGATGGACTGTATGCTGCTCTATTTGTAGAAAGCCACTGGGCTGTTTTGTTGTTGATTATTAAAAGGTACAGCTTCTTAATTAGAGATGAATCCTTAGATCATCACACTCAAGGTGACTTAGGGACCTTGTTTTGTCACACTTAAGATGTCTCCCTGCATTTCAAGAAGTGTTACGAGATTCTCAAAGTAAATCCAAAAAATTGATACTAATTAGTTTTCAAACTACATTTTTAGAAGTATGTGGTAAGGATGGTGAATTTAAGCAAAAACAATAAAACTGTCATCATGTCATAAAATCTGTGCTTCCACCAAGTGCTGGAAGGGACCCCAAAGATGGTAGAGTTCAGCTCCCATCCTTGTTTTATTGGAGGAGAAGTGGATTCTGAAAGGGGGAAAGTCACTACCGTTGATGAACAAAACACATCTTACTGGACTATGAGACACTACCCCTTCTTTTTAGTGGATCATGGCAATTTGGAGATTGAGCTTTTGTTCTGTCCCCTACTCAGCTAGATCCCATTTTGACTGAATTTAGTCCTTTTATTAAAAGAGTTGTATTTAAGAAAGATTTCTTTTGTAAGGCAAGAAAGCACTCCTTGGCATGTTAGTAAATGTAGATGAGGGTATTCTTGTGTAGGCTGTTGTCTTTCACTCAGAGAGCTTCTCTGACGGGTGTGTTTGCCCTACAGAAACGACGCTCGGGAAGGCAAGTAAAGCGCAGAAAATACAATGAGGACCTGGACTTCAAAGTGGTGGATGATGATGGGGAAACAATTGCTGTTCTTGGAGCTGGTCGAACATCTGCACTCTCAGCCTCTACACTGGCCTGGCAGGCGGAGGTATGGCCTTTGCATGAGGTTACTGACCTTGGCTGGACAGTCATTTTGACCTAGATGACAGACGTGTTTCTTGGCCTTTGCTAAAGCATAAGTCAGATCATTTTAACTGCTGCTTGTGGCCTTCGATTGACTTCCTGTTGCATTGGGAATGACATTCAGACTCCTTACTGTGCTCAGCAGGACCCTCCACGATCACACTCTCGCCTTGTTTTGCCAAATTCTTCATTTTTTTAGATAAACAATTTTTCCCTGTCTCATTACTCTCCAGCCAAAAGACTGGCTGTCTTTTAATGCCTTGAACTAACAGTTCTTCTCTACCCATAGACCTTTGCCTCTGTTGTTCCTTCTGCTTGGGATGCTTTACGTGACTGGTTTATCAGTTTTGCCTAAAATGTTATCTCCTTAGAGAGGTTCTTCCTGATCTTTTATCTAAAGTAGATTCCTGCCCCTCATCCCAATGATATTCTGTTTCAGCCCCTTGTGTACTTCCTTAAAGCACTTACCACAACACAAATTGCATTTGAATGTGTCTGATCTCTGATTTTGTTTTACTTGTCTCTCATTAAAATGTGAAAGTCTTGGCCGGGCATTGTGGCTCACACCTGTAATCCCAGCACTTTTGGGAGTCCGAGGCAGGCAGATCACTTGAGGCCAGGAGTTCGAGATCAACATGGGCAACATGGCAAAACCCCATCTCTACAAAAAAAAAAATTAGCTGGGCATGGTGGTGCAGGCCTGTAATCCCAGCTACTTGGGAGATTGAGGCACAAGAATCACTTGAACCCAGGAAGCAGAGGTTGCAGTGAGCCAAGATCGCGTCATTATACTCCAGCCTGGGTGACAGAGCAAGACTGTGTCAAAGAAAAAAAAAATGTAAAAGTCTTTTGTATAATAAATCGCTGTTAAGTGGATGAGATCAAATGAACTAGTAATTACTGTTGGAACTCTAATTCAACAAGCATGTATTGCAAGTCTAGAAGAATGTGCTGGGTACAGAGGCTAACAGAAGCAGGAGTGGACAGGAAAGGAGTGGTCAGATGTATAGAAGACAAGAACTTAGGAGGAACATTTCCAACATGAACTTTATAAAACCCCAGAAACTGAATGGCACCGCAGGCTGTGATATGACAAATGGATAATCTTGGCTGGATGCTGGGGTATAATTTGAGGGGTGGTGAGAGAGGAGGACTGAGAGATAGGAGCAGTCACAGTATGAAGGGCCTTGAGTATCACCTAAGGTTTTTAGTTTTTATCCTGCAGATTGGACAAGGGATAGGAGGCATTGATGAGTTCAGGCAGAGGAGTAGGACCACTATATTTGCATTTTAGCAGTTTCCATTGACAGCAGTGTCAAGGAAGAAGATGATAGTATTAGCACTTAATACAGAGGTACTAGAAAGGAGAGAAGGGTTAAATGTTGAAAAAAAGAGGTCTGTGCCAAGGAGCTTATAGAGAAGAAATGAAAAGCAAGAGAAGAAGCAGGCTGTGCATGTAGGAGGGGCATTATTGCCAAGAGCACATTCTGGGACACGGCTGTCTGTTGTTATGGAGTCACTGTTGCTGACTTGGCAGAATTCACACTGTATGGAGCAGTAGCAGCACAAATATCTGTCGTTCCTCCTGGATGCTAGTGTGTCTTATGGAAACTGATAGTACTTAATCTTCCTCGACCACCTTGCCTCCAACTTAAAGCATTTTCATATAATTCCGCTTATTCTTTCACTCTGTGTTTGCATGGAAAGTAGCAGGGAGCAGGGACTATTGTCCCTATTTTAACAATGAAGAAACTGAAGCCCAGAACGATCCAGGTCAGAGTTACATAGCAGCAGTTAATCAGTGACTAGCATATAACAGTTGATTTCATGTCATGGTTATATTCATTACCCAACTAATGAATATAACACTTAGTAGGAATAATAATTTGATATATTGTCACTATAATACTTTTCAAGCAAATATTAATAGTTAAAAATAGCACTTGCAAGACTGCCATGAGGTGATAGAATTGTATTGCTTTGTAATGGGGTTTTCATTCCTTGGGGATGTTATGGTTGGTTTGGTAGTTAAAACACTATACAGGATTTTATTTTCTCCTAGTAGCCATTTGGCCTAAGCCATTAATCATATTTCAGATGTTGTTATGACTTCTCCCCTGGCACCTGAAGGGCATCAGTAGCTGATCTAACTAACAGAAATAATTCAGGAAATGTTATGTATCTTATTAAGACTCTTTTGTTTCTTCTAAGGATGTAGCAAACAGAGGGTTTATATATGGAGAAACATAAATTAGAATCTGAATTATATCTCAAAAAAATTTACTAAATTTAAGGAAGAGAGAGGCCTGATTCATGGTTTTGGCTTTGACATTCAGAGAAGCGACCATGTGGGGCTGGCCTCCGAGCCAAGGCCTGGCCTAGCATGCAGGGCAGGCTACACAACCAGTGAGGGGACTGGAGAGATCGGCTTACCGAGTGATTTTCAAAATTGGTGCTCTGTAGAGTCCTCGTTGCTGCAGAACCAAAACAGCTCCACTTAAAACTGTTTTTACATACTGGGCTTCCTGAGGAAGTTTGAGCAAAGATTTCCCACGCTAACGAAAAGCCTGAAAGCCTTGAATCTCATCTAGGATTCCAGGCAATCTCAAGGCACATGCAGTGGCACAGAAAATCATTGAAGAAGAGGTGGCTTTTTCCTATATCCTTCTCCCGGGGCCCTCTGGGTGGGTGTCTGCCTGCCTGCTAGCTTTAGCTCAGGGCAGAGAAGGGGATGGAGTCAGCACCAGAATGGCCCCACTGCCATCTCTGCAGATCTGTGCAGTATCTTCTCAGTGTGCTCAACGCAATTCTGTGACTGCTGGCCCTTGTCCCAGCCCCAGATCACAACCTCAGGATTGGTTACCAAGTGGTGAGTTGCGAAAACATCTTTACACAGGATTCGCTTTAGCTCAGGACTGGCATGTTATCACAGCTCTGCTTTGCACTCCATACCACAATCCCAAGCATGGGATTCAGGGGCAGGAAGTAAGTTTCCATCCTAAATGTGACTCTTTATTTTCTTATTCTTTGTCAAACTGATTTTGGTGTCTGGAACACAAACTTTTAGAATTCTGCAGTGCCTTTACAATGTAAAGACTGTTGACAAGCCTGTCTCAGTTTTTGCCTCCTGCAGTTTGGGTGGTTTGTGTGATTTTGCCTTTTGGAACAGAAGGACTTGAATTTGAATAAGGCTTTGGCTCGTGGTGCTCTCCTGTGCTGTGCTCTGTGTCTGCGTACAGTGTACTCTTCTTTGATAGGCCTTTTTCTATACCTGGCAGGCTGAGCTCAGTTGTTTCCTCCTCCCGAAAGTTCCTTGCTCCTCCGAGCTGGGGATAAGTGCCCCTCCCCTTTGCTCTTAGGGCACTCTAATATGTTTAACTGTCATTGTCCTTCGAACACCTGCCAAGTTTTTTGTTTCCTTCTTCTAAACCATGAGTTATGTTAGTGTAGGATTTGTATCTTTTTTTGTCCTATGTGCCTCTCAGGTAGGAGAGTTTCAATAAACTAAAATTTACATTTACTCCCAGGAACTATTCAGATGAAGTGGCACTTTCCATCTTCTGTTTGATAATGTTTTTCACTATTATAATTATTATTCCCTAAGTCTAGATTGAGCTGGGATCGTTGCACCACTTATTCATAGCCTGTGATGGTCCTGATTTTCAGTGCCTCTGCCATACTGTTTTGATGATCACTCCTGATTGTTCCCCTAATCAGATTGCAGAGTTTTGCAAAAACAGGCATCACTTTTTAATTTATTGTAATTTTTGCTTAGCATAGGTAGAACTGTATGTTTCTGTTGGTTAGTAGCTAGTATAAAGACCTAATTAGTTGAACTTATCAAATAACTTATTCAGTGAGTGAATAAATATGTTTAAAACTCATTATATAAACTGGTATGATTTGTTTAAGCCTCTGTATTAGAAAGGAAAGAGATTTTTCTTTTCTCCCAGGCTTTTGTTTCCTCCATTTCCTTATACTGGCATTTTTTCCTCACTGGTATTCATCTCTGTCTCACTTAAACCCTCAGAAAGGGCTCCTTTCTGAGACTCCTTGCTGCTATTTGACATTGCCGTAGCTTCGTGCCAGCATGTGAGACTCGGTGCAGAAGTGTCTGTTGGGGCCGTTCATCATAAGGCTTCTGTCAGCTCAGCCTGGGTGGGTAATTTCTTGAGTCTTCCCATTTCTTCACTGGGTACAACCACCAATTCCCACACTGTCTTTAGGTTGTTTCCTGTATTTGTTTCCTCTTGGTTTCTGCTGCCACCCCCTGTGCTGAGCCCAGTGTACAGTTTACTGCAGCACACACTTCTGTAGTTTCCCTGCCACAAGTCTCTGCTCTCCCCAGTCGGATACCAGGATAACTTTCCCAAAATACCAGGGGAATTGCTGGTATTTCTCAGTCTCCTGCTCACGAAATCCAAGATGGTTACTTTTTAACTCCCGTGTTAGATCAAAACTCCTGTGTTTTGTGTGTTTTTTTTTAAAGATGTGGCTACACACTACCTGTTTACTCTGATTACTACTCCTCATTTTGTGTAATGCTTTCTCTCTAATAAGGCAGGTTACTTAGCATTCTAAATATGCATCATACATCCTATATGATTGTTCTTTCATCTCTCATTTCATCTTACCTTTCTCTTTGCTGTCCTCTTTTATGAGCCACTGTTCTTTAGGGCCCAACTAAAACCTCACCTATGCTGTGAAATCCATGCTGTTTTCACTTTCTGAATTCTCATTGGACTGTAGTTACTGTTTAACCAATTAGCATTTACCTTGGGATATTTCTAAGACAGATATGTTTATTTTGTCTTCCCTGAATGAGTGTAATCCCCTTGAAACTGGGCATCAAGCTTGATACTGGTTTTGTATATTCCATGGCACTTGGTAAATACTGTGGTTTGAAACATGATTTGTTTCTTGTTAGGCTCCCTCCTTATGGTTTGCTAAATAGAAGTAAAAGAGGTAGTTGGCTGAGGTTGAAGGTAAATAGGGTTAAAAGTTTTTGAAATTTTTCCCTAAGGATAAAATATTAAGATTATATAAATCTCTGACATAAAAAGAGTATGAATTAAAATGGTCTTCTTTGAAGGATAATTTAAGGAAATTCCAAGCAGTTGAGAACAGATGGTTGTTATGGAAGTGTGTCTGGCAAGCAGATTTAGTTTATATCTGTGTGTATCTGTATACACTGAGTGTTTATACACACATGATCGTACTTACGCACAATCTCTGTTCAGGAAAAAAAAGATCCTGATTTTCCAGCTCCCTTCCTACTTCGATGTGTATTTCAGAAAGGCTGCTCCCTTTTCGTTTCATTAGGATAAAATAAAAACCCGTTTTCCATATTTGGATGATCACTACTGATTCTTTAACATGAGTGCTTACCCTCTTTTTTAACAGTGCCAAAAAAAAAAAAAATTGAAATTTTACTTCAAACTCCTTAATTTTCACTTGAAAATTTCCTATGATGAAGAGTGTTTAAACCCTGACTTCTTTTAGTATTCAAAGTCCTGTGCTTTCTTCATCCATGTATTAAAGTTTCTTTAGATTTGGTCCTAGTTAAATATTCTGAATTGTAATCAAAATCCTATCATCAGAAACCATTTTTATCTATTCTTCATGGTAGGTAAAAATAAGAAAATATTTGAAGCAGTCTAGTAGTAAAGAAGAGAACTTTGTTCCTTTGAGTGTATGTACATGTGTGGATGCTTGCTTGCTAGTCTGAGATATACAGACTTAGGAGCAGGTGGGGAAAGTAGTCAGCAGTCATGAAAGTTTACTGCTTGCCTACAGATGTAACTCATACGTCATATCATTTCCAGAGCCTCTTCTAATTCACCCAAGTGCTCTGGCTTCTGTGTTCTCATAGTACTTGCTTTTTACTTCTATTATCATATTCTATTGCAAAATCTCCTAACATTATTTATTCAGAAGTATTTATTGAGCACCTACTATATGCCAAGGACTATCTAATTTCTGGAAATAACACCAAGGAACAAAAGGGACAGAAATTCCTGCCCTCGTGGAAGAGCTTGCAACAAATTCACAACTGGTCTCTCCCTCCAGTGTTTGCCAGATTTTGAACCTACACGGCATGGGAGGTCAAAGGACCAAGGTCAAAACTTCTAAAGAGTAGAAGTAAATAGAGAGAGGCTGTTAATAAACCTTAAATAAGAAAATTACCTAGTACATCAATGGCAGTAAGTGCCATTCTAAAAATATATTAGAATAAGGGTGATATGGAATTCAGGGTGAGGATTGCAGTTTTAAATAGGGTGGTCAGAGTTGCCTTCACTAAAAGTATAATATTTGAGCAAATAATTGAAGGAGGTAAAGGAGAGAGGGAGTTGTGCAGGGCAGAAGAACATCTTAGACAGAGGGAATAGTCTATACAAAGTCCTGAGGTAGAGGCATGCTTGGTATGCATGAAGAATGGACAAGGATAACTGAAACATAACAGATGAGGTGGGAGGGTGGGCAGGAACCCTGTAGGATTTGTAGACATTGGAAGATGTTTAGTTTTACTTTGAGTTAAAAGAGAAGCGTTTTAAGCAGTGTAAGCGGAGCATAATAAAAAGGGTCATTCTGAATGTTAGGTTGTGAATAGACTAGTGGGGCAAGAACTGAAGCAGGGAGACAAATTAGGAGACTCTTGAGAATAATCTGGGTGAGAAATGAAGGTGGTACAGATCAGGTTAGAAGCAATGGAGATGGTGAGAAATAGATTGGGTTTTGGACATACTTTGAAGATAGAGCCAACAAGATTTCTAGGCCAGTCAGATATGGTGTATGGAAAGGAAAGAGAAGAGTTAGGATTACACCAAGATTTTTGGTTTGAGTATCTGAAAGGATAATTTACTCTAACTCAGGTGGGAGAAGACTGTAGGTAGGAGGGGTAGGAAAGGGGGATTGGATAGGAGTTTAGTGAGTGGATATTTTAAATTCGAAATACCTCTGAGATACTCAAGTGGAGATGGCATATAGGAATTATGTATATGAGGCTATTGCCAGGGGAGAGGTTCTGAGCTGGATGATGCCTGTATTTAAAACCCTGAGACTGAGTGAGATCACCAAGAGAATGAATACAGATAGAAAAGAGAAGAAATCCAAAAACTAGGCCCTAGACTGCTCCGGTAATAAGAGTTAATATTGGAAAAAATATATATATAAATTACAAAAAGCTCTTTTTAAAGGCATCAAATAGCTATGGAAACAACAAGAATTAGATGAACTAAAATATCAGACAGTAAGAGTCATCCGGAGGTGGGCTGACGATGGCTGGCTGTTTTCTTCTCTGGAGGCATTTCTCAGTTCTGGGAGTGGGCCGAGGATCAGGTTTGGCCCAAACAAAAGAGACTGTTCTGGATAGAAGAGAAACCATCTGACCCTGGTGGGGATTGAATATACAGGGCTCGTGGAGTGTTTGGAAACTAAAGAAATCCCCAAAGCAAGGGGATTTCCTCAAGAGACTTCTGCTGAATTCTGGGGTATCCCAGGAAGCTAGGAGTTCAGACAGAAGGCAGATTGAAATTTCATAGTTGCGTGGTACTTACGAGACAAAAAAATCACTAAAGGAATGGACCTACCACAAAATACTGACTCTTGCTTAAGATATTTGTCGGACTTTTAACCTGCATGGGGTAGAAGACTAAAATACTAAGCTCAAAACCTCCATAGAGCATGTTTCAGGGCTCAAGAGAAAAAAGACCTGCCAATCTCTCAGTCAGTGACCCTGGATACTCATGTTCCAAAAACAGTAAAATAAGAGGTGGATTGAATCTTAAAACAGTAACTCAGTCCTGACCCAACTCAGTCTCTGACTGGATCAAAGGGACCACCCCCTCGCCCTGGTTGTCTAAGAGAAAATGGGAAATACTTGTAGTAGAAAATATTGTTTGGAGCTGCTACAATTTGTTTATCCACAGTGTCCAACATAAAATAAAAAAAATTAGACATTCAAAGAGGCTGGAAAAGGTGGCTAAAAATTAAGAGAATAATCATATAATAGAAGCAGACCCTAGGTGATCCAGATATTAGAGTTGGCAGGAGGAAAGAACTTTAAAATAACTATGATTAAAATGTTAAAGAAAATAGAGGGCGCCAGCACAGTGGCTCGTGCCTATAATGCCAGCACTTTTGGAGACCAAGGCTGGAGTATTGCTTTGAGCTTAGAATTTCGAGGCCAACCTGGGCAACATGGCAAAACCCCTTCTCTACAAAAAATACAAAAATTAGCTGGGTGTGGTGGCTTGTGCCTGTAGTCCCAGCTACTTGCAAGCCTGAGGCTGGAGAATCATTTGAGCCTGGGAAGTGGAGGTTTTAGTGAGGTGAGATCGTTCCACTGCACTTTCCAGCCTGGGTGACAGAGTGAGATCCTGTCTAAAAAAAAAAAAAAAAAAAAAAAGAAAATAGAGGAAAAGATGGACAAGATGAATTTTAAAATGAAGACTTCCAACAGAGAATTACATCTATAAAGAAAATCAGATAGCAGTGTAGAATGAAAAATCCAGTTTATAAAATTCAAGACCAAGTGGATAGGTTTATAAGTAGATTAGATGCAGCAGAAGAGGAGTGACTATGAAGACAGATCAATGGAAAATTTCTGAAGCACATAGAGGAAAAAGAATGAATCAAACAGAGCAAAAGGTAAAAGCATAAGAAAGAGAGACAAGTGCGATGCAGTTAAAAGTTGTAATGTATTTCTTTTTTTTTTTTTTTTTTTTTTTTTTTGAGACAGAGTCTCACTCTATCACCCAAGCTGGAGTACAGTGGCGCAATCTCAGCTCACTGCAACCTCTGCCTCCTGGGCTCAAGCAATTCTCTTTCCTCAGCCTCCCAAGTAGATGTGATTACAGGTGTGCGCCACTATGCCCAGCTAATTTTTGTATTTTTAGTAGAGATGGGGCTTCACCGTGTTGGCCAGGCTGGTCTCAAACTCCTGACCTCAGTTGATCCACCCACTTCGGCCTCCTAAAGTGTTGGGATTACAGGCGTGAGCCACTGCACCCAGCCGAAAGTTCAAAGTATTTCTGATTGGAGTGCTAGGGATAGAGGAGATTGGAGCAGAGTAGCATTTGACGATATAACTAATGACCAAAAATTCCTAAACTGATGGAAGATATCAACCAGTAGATTCAAAATCAGATAACTCTAAAGCAGGAAAAATGCAAAAAAGAAAACCATACCTAGGCATATCTTAAACTATATAAACAAAGACTGAGAGAACATTTAAAAGCCACAAGAGAAAATCTGGTGGATAATATTGTATTAAGTAGTACAATATTGAATGCATTCTCCTGAATTTGAGAGTAAGAAAAATATTTCACTGTCATAATTTGTACTCAGAAATACAATGTAGGACCTGGCCACTACAATAAAGAGAAAGAATAAATAAAAAGTTAAAAGATTAGAAAGGGAGTAGTAAAACTTTTTTATTAGTTGTAGATGATGTGACTGCATATGTAGAAAATTGAACAGAATGTACTAACAAATCATTAGAAATAATAAATGTAGGTTTAGTTAAGTTGCTGGATATATAAAGATAATATGCAATATGGATACATAAAGACAATATGCAAATACGTATTTTTTATTTCTATAAACTAGCGACATAACATCAGGAAAGGATAATTATTAAATCCCATTTATAATAGCATCAACCTATCAGATACCCTGGAATAACTCAAAAAATACACAAGCCGTCTATGCTAAAAACATAGCTATGAAAAAGAAGACCTAAACAAATAGATGTAGCACATATGGGTTTTGTTTTGTTTTGCTTTGCTTTGTTTTGTTTTGTTTTTGAGATGGAGTCTCACTCTGTCGCCCAGGCTGGAGTGCAGTGGCATGGTCTCGCTCACTGCAACCTCCACCTCCCAGGTTCAAGTGATTCTCCTGTCTCAGCCTCCCAAATAGCTGGGACTATAGGCGTGCACCACCACGCCACGCTAATTTTTGTATTTTTAGTAGAGACAGGGTTTCGCTGTATTGGCCAGGCTGGTCCCGAGTTCCTGACCTCAAGTGACCCACCTGCCTCGACCTCCCAAAGTGCTGGGATAATAGGCATGAGCCACCGTGCCCAGCCACATATGGTTATTTAATACTGCTAAGATGTCTATAATTCAAACCCAGTCAAAAACTAAGCAGGGCATTTTTTAATTGGTGGAAATTCATATGAAAATGCTAAAGACCTATCTAACATAACCTGAGACAGTCATGAAAAAGAACTAAATTGGAAGATTTAACTGTAAGACTTTGTAATCAAGCTGTAGGAGTGAAGACAGGGTAGTATTGCCATAAGGATAGTCAAATAGACCAGCTGAACAAAATATAACTACCTTGTCCAGTATGGACCCTATCAGCCACATGTGCCTATTGAGCACTTGAAATGTAGCTAGTTTGAATTAAGATGTGCTATAAATATAAAATACCATATTTTGAAGACTTGGTATGAAATGACTATTAACATATTTTTTAATTTTTTAATTGATTACATATTGATAATTTAGATATATTGGTTTAAGTGAAATATATTAAAATTACTTGCACCTGTTTTACTTTTTTAATGTGGCTACTAGAAAATTTTAAATTACATATGTAGCTTAATGATGTTGGTGGCAATACAAATTTCTTAAACAGCACACAAAAATACTATTCATAAAAGAAAAGATTGATAAAATGGATTATATAGAATTTCTGTTCAGAAGACACATTAAGGGATTGAAAAGGCAAACCATAGACTGGTAGAAAATGTTTGTAATCTGTGTATCTGAGAGAGGACTCTTATTTAAAATAATTCTTGAAAATAAATTAGAAAGAACAATTTATAAAATAGGCAAATGACTTGAATAGGAGGTTCACAAAAGAGGATATCCAAATGTCCAGTAAGCATATGAAAAGGGGCACAGCATCCTCTGTTATCAGGAAAATGTGAATTAAAGAGACAACATTACACATCCACCAGAATGGCTAACATGCTAAAGACTGACATTATCAAGTCACCCAGAACTCCCATACCTTGCTGGTAGGTGTCAAAATTTTTACAATCACTGAGAAAATTTTTGACAATATTATTTATTTATTTATTGACAATATTTATTAAAATTAGACATCTACCTACCCCATAACCCAGTATTTCTTCTCCTAGTTATATATCCAAGATAAATGAGCATATTTTTCCACCAAAAGACATAATTTATATGGATTTCTTGTGTAATACAAAAATTGGAAGCAAACCAAATATTCCTCAACAGTAGAGTGGATAGTTTATATTACAAAATACTTCACAGTGTTAAAAAAGAATGAACTACATACTGTATGATTCCATTTACATGAGGTTTAATAATACACAAAACCAGTCTACGGTGGTAGAAGTCTGAATATTGGTTACTTACAGTGAGGGCACAGGATTTTTCAGAGTGTTGGAAAAATTATATAAACTTGATCTTGAGTGGTAGTTATATAGGTGCATTTCTGTATGTAAAAATTCGTCAAGATGTACACTTCAGATTTCTGCATACTACAAGTATGCCATACCTCAGTAACTAAGCATTTTGTTAGCATGCCTGATAGTTCCTTCATGATTAAGACTAGACATATCTCATTTACTTCTGTAAGGCCAGTGCATAAACTAAAAGCACTCCATAAATAATGTGGGATAAAAATTTAGGAAGGAAATGAGGTAGGAAGCTGGTTCATTAGTCTAGTTTCTCTTAACCTAGCACCTGTTCACTGCCCACTCGCCATAGTCAGACTTTAGTTAGTTGGCTGCAAGATCAGTGGTAGTGGTCCTTGCTGCTCATTAATGCACACCTAGCTTTGGCCCTTTGCTGTTACCGTCCTGACAGTATGTAAGTCTGAGTGTATGGAGATGGGGGAGACTTCTTAAATTAAGTGACATAAATCAAGAAAAATAGCTGTCTCTACTCTGTGGCCTCAGAGAGTTTGACCCTTTATTTCCTCACTGTATTTCCTTCTTTCTTTTCCTCTTGCTTGTTATTTAGCATTCAAAAAATACCTATTGATTATGCATTTCCTGGTCTAGCTATGTCGGTATATAAAACAAGGATCCCTGCCCTCTGAAGGTTTATGTAGTAAAGGGAGAAGACAGCAATAAACAGTGAACTGCCACCTTCTCCCTGCCACCTATCTATATTTAGGAACCAAGCAGAGCAAATACTTAAACAGAGAAACAAAAGCATAGTCTGTATTCACACCCCTTTCTTCTATTGTATGGTAATTATAGTTTACTTGCCTTCCTGTTGAGTGGTGAGAAGGGACGTGTGTGGTTTTGGATTAACTTCTGTATGGCATCTAGCACAATGCCATGTGTCTGAGAGAGCTTAGTAAATATTTGTAACCTTTGGGAACATCTGCCTGTGCCTGCTTGCTGATTTCCATAATTCTTTTCTGCCATATGCCTTCCTCATTTCTTTTAACCCATCATCACTTTCCTGGGAAAAGCTTGATTTAAGATCTTAAGAGATATTTTCTATAATTTTATGGCTTTACACCCTAGAATGGGTAGACTGAAGATATACAAATCATCCTTCTGGGACGTTCCAGCCAGGAACCCAGAATACCGAATTTGGCAGTTTCATTGTTGTGATGAGTGTTCTTTTCATATGGTGTTTTAAGTCTCATATTGTAATAGATCTGAAAAGGTCATTGTGCATATGAACCACTGAGAAATAATGCTGCTTGAGGTTCTAGAAAGAATGTTAAACATTTTGTGTTTTTAACTATAAATACTCTGTAGAAAGAGATTTCATGGAGATTGGAGGATAGAAGTGTTGATGGTTATCTAGGGTAAAAAGGAATTTAGGTTTTCAGTTGGGATTTACGTTCAAAGGATGATCAGTGAAACAGCCTTTTCCAGCTACAAAGGGGAAAGATGGTACAATTTAATAGAGAATAATTATACCTTGATTTTGAATAGTATGTGAAAACATTTTTCCAATAGTAATACTATTTTATCTTCCCACTAATTCAGTGAGATATGTATTTTTAACTCCTATTTTAATATATTTGGAGACTAGGAGGTATTAATTGACTTGCCTAAAGTCAATAGCTGGTAGATATTAGAACTAATTTTAAGACCCCATACTCTTAGAGCTTTCTGAAAATTGTATGCAGCAACATGTAGGTAGTTTTGCAAAGAAGGTAAATCTGAGGACCAATTTTAGGTATGTTAAATGCAGATCTGAAATTGCATCTGAAAAACTTCTCTGCTCTTGTAGAGTTGTGTCCAGAGCTTAGAAGCCACCACTTTAAATTCTAGCTTTGCAAAATGCTTGTGACCTTTTGACCACTCTGTGGCCTGATGGGAGGCCTTGGTACTCAAAGGTGAACTTTTGAATGAAGTAGTACCCATTGTAGTATTTCTTACAGAATTGTTTTCTTGGATTCTGTGGTTCCAGCAATTTTCTTTTTTTTTTATCTTTGTCCCCAGGAGCCTCCAGAAGATGATGCAAACATCATTGAGAAGATCCTGGCATCTAAGACTGTCCAGGAGGTTGGTGGCTCATGTTTCTAGCTTTTATATCATTAGCACAGATTACATCTTCTGTGAAGAGATTTTTGGCTAGAGAACCTAGAATGACCATTATTGGCTGGAGTGAGAGCTAGGCAAGAATATTGTCTGGCTAGCCAACACTTATTTTTACCCCTGTAGAGCATTTTAGGACATAAAACTCTTAAAATATCTAGAATGGCTCAAGCTGATGATTTCCTCCATTGTGATCCTAGCAAAAGCCATATATCCCTTAGTTGCTGTAGCCCACCACAATTTAGCAGAGGGCCAAGAAGAAGAGATGGACAAAAAGTCCTAATAGAGGCCAGGTTCATTGGCTCATACCTATAATCCCATCACTTTGAGAGGCCAACATCGGAGGTTCACTTGAGCCCAGTAGTTCAAGACCAACCTGGGCAATATAGTGAGACCCTTTCTCTATTTAAAATACACACACACACACACACACACACACACACACACACATACATACATACATACATACATACATACATACACACATACACACCCATATGAGTCCTAATGGAAACGTGGGGGTTTTTTTCTTCAGACATCTCAGGGCCATTGTAGGAATCTCCTATAGGAAATTCTTGGAGTGCTAGAGTATGTTGGTGCTGGTGAGAGCACGGCTTCATCTTTACTTCAAGAATTTATGAAAGTAAACTTCCTTACTTGGAGAGTGACTACCATTGGTGTTTCAGAAGTGAAGCGTTAGTGGGGTGCCAGAGATGAATGTAGTCACTTCCACACCAGGCTCTGGTCCTGACATTTCTCATTGTCCTGGGCCAGTTTGGGTTTATCAGCTGAGTGCCGTCCCAGCCTAGACCTTGGAAGGACATCAGGAAGATCAGTTTTTTACCTTGCAGCTGTGTATTCCACCTTTGGAAAACCTGACCAATAGGTGTCAGGAAAAGGCCTGGGAAAATGAAAATATGCCTTAAGAAATCTTTATGGAAATCAGGCAGAGATATTGATTACCTGTTTTCTTTTGGCTCAGTAAGGGTGATCTGCCTGGGATCTGGGCTGATAACTGCTTGCTGTTTGTTACAGGTTCACCCAGGAGAACCTCCGTTCGACTTGGAGCTGTTCTACGTTAAGTATAGAAATTTGTACGTCTATTTAAAGTATTCTCTGTATTTGGGTTTTATATGAATAAAACTTTTTTTCTCTTGTGACTTTATTATCTTCTACATCTTCAGAGTCTTGCCTCTAAGGCATGACCCACAGGTCTTGGCTGACTCAAGTTTACCTTAGGCAGTAACGCTCAATTATAGCTGCACACAGAATTACCTGGAGAGCTTTTTTAAACCTCTAAAGCCTTTGCTCCACCCAAGACCATTGGCTCAGACTCAGTGGGGCCCAAGGATTGTTGTGTTTTTAAAAACTCCTTGGGCAATTCTCATATGCAACCAGGGTAGAGAACCACTCTCCTGTAGCATATGCTCTTTTCCCCTCTTGTATATTTTCCTTTCTGCTACAGACCCACTTTCACTAATGTGTGTTAATGATAACCTGCCCACAGCTGCCCTGCCTCTGTTCTCAGCCAGTTTCTCTAGAAGCTGCAGAGAGATCAGTTGCTTGGAATTACTCCGTTTTGTTTTGTTTTCTGTTGTTGCCCTTAAGGGGAAGGTCTTTCTAAGCCCAATCTCCAGCAGTTTCACAATAAACCATTTTACTATTTCTGTGTTAGGTGGTCACCGTGTTTATTGAACACCTTAAAGCTCGATCATTTGCTAGTTATGTGCTTGCCTGACAATTTGTATGTCTTTGGATAGTTCCTACTTACATTGTAAATGGGCCACAATGGAAGAGCTCGAAAAGGATCCTCGCATCGCACAGAAGATCAAGCGATTTAGGAATAAACAAGCCCAGATGAAGCACATTTTTACGGAGGTGAAGCAATATTTACTGACTCATTTGACTGCTGCTTTTCTTGCAGCAGTAAATACTGTGTTTACGTTTCTAAGTCCAAGTTAAATTCCTATACAGATCTGTTGCTCAAGTCAAATTGATAAATGTGTGCTGATTTGCAACAAAACTAGTCTAGATTCAAGTCAAAGAAAACTATCCACCAAAGTTAAGGATCAAACCTTATAAACTGACAACTCATAACGGCGTGCATCTTGGTCTGAATACTAATAAATAGCTAGAGTGAGAGGAATACGCACACAATTCTTTTGTCCCTGCTCCCTCAACCCACTGCAACCCAAAAAGGACATTTCAGAAGGTCCTAAAGTTTGAATGTAAAAAACAAAACAAATCTAAAAGTGAGAGAAAGTAAACAAATAAATAATTTTATTTATGTAAACTTGGGAATTTCTAAGTATTGTACCTATAGCAAGAGGAAGGACTGATGGATTTTAATATTAAACAAATCTATAATGCTATATATCAGAAAATGCCACAAACCTTAACCTTAATGTGTTATTCTTGGAATAAAGACTAAACCCTGTAATAGAGCCTACACAGCCCTTTGTGTCTGTTTTCTGATCTATTCCCAAAGTAGTGGTTTTTCCTTGGCCGAGAATAGAGGAAACTGTGCTGGGATATATAGAAATAATGCAACAAGAGTTCATATTCTTGTGGGAAGGAAAGGCTCTTGAGAAGATTGGAACACATGAAATTAAGGAGGAATAATACTGACGAGTAGTTCAACACTGCCTTTGGTCTTGACCTATTCAACATATTTGTTAGTAACTTGGGTAAATATTTTTGTGATACAAATAGTAACTTAGTTTTGAATAGAGCTTTGTATCCATTATTTCCAGCTGCTTTATGAGGTAGCTAAAGCACACGTGGAGGAAACTCAGGCTCCAAGAGCCTGCAACTTCCCACATGCGCAGAGATAGACTCCTGATGAAATCCTAACTCCTGAACACCCAGGAGACGTTCTAACCAGATCCAATACTGAGAGAATAAATGTCAGGATCAGCCTGGGTTTGCCTGGACAGGGTAGGATGAATAAATGTAGGAATAAATGTAATATCCTACATTGTTCTTGGAATCTTTCTGGTTCTGAAATGAGGAAAATGACTGGGTAGCAGTTCTAGGGAGAAAACATATTGCCAGTTCAATTAACTACACATTTACTGCGTGTCAAGAGTAGGACATGGCTGTTTAAAAAGTAAACGAATCCTACTAATCCTAGACTGCACCAATAGAACAGTCCTGCTGTACCATGCCCTTTTCATTCCTAAATGCTATGTTCATTTGGGTACCAGGATTCAGTGAGGGACTTTGCAAAACCTGAGGGCAGCTGCAAGAGGACTGTCATGGTGGGAATGGGGCATAGGTGGAGAGCGGACTGCACAATGGTAAGAGCCTGGGCTCTGCAGTCAAACTGCCCCTCCCAGCCCAGCCTCACACACACCTGGGTGGCCTCAGGCCATGGCATAAGCTCTTTCAAACTCAGTATCATAGGAAAAAGCAGGACTCCTGATAGAATCAGCCTCACAGAATACCTGCAAGGATTAGATGATAGTTTTCTTGCCGTTTTAAGCTTTATTGGAGTATAATTGTCAAAAAATTATATTTAAGGTGTACAACTTGATGTTTTAACGTATGTTTACATTGTGAAATAACCACTATAGTCAAGCTAGTGAGCATATCCATCACCTCACATAAGTAGGGGGTTTTTTTTCTTTCTTTTTTCCCCCCTAAGGGTGAGAACACTTAAGATTTATCCTCTTAGCAAATTTCAAATATATAATACAGTAGTTTAACTGTCATCACCATGCTATGCATTAGGTCTCCAGAACTTATTCATCCTGCGTAACTGAAATTTTATACCCTTTGACCAATGTCTTCCCCATTTCCCCTCCCCTTCATCCCTGGCAACCACCATTTACTCTCTGCTTCTATGAGTTTGATTATTTTATATTCCACATATAAGTGAGATCATACAATATTTGTCTTTGTGTGTCAGGCTTATTTTACTTTGTATAACATCCTCCAGGTTCATCCATGTTGTTGCAAATGATGGGATTTCTTTCTTTTTTAAAGCTGAATGATATTCTATTGTCTAGGTATATACACCCCACTTTCTTTATCCATTCATCCCTTGATGGACACTTAGCTTGTTTCCGTAATCTTGACTATTGTGAATAATAAAGGACACAATGTTTATAGCAGTGTTTAGCTCATAGGCACTACTCCATAAGTATTAGCTTTTCGTATCATTAAGATGGAAACGGTATATGAAGAACTGTTGAACAAACTGGGTTTTTTTTTTTTAACCCAGATAGGGAGGGGATTGCTGAAGAGCCTAAAGAGAGAGGAAAGAATCCTCTTATTGCTGCTGTAAAGGAAGCAGTTCATGCCAATGAGCAACAGTTATAAGGAAGGAAGTTAAGTTATAATTTACTAATGATAAAGATCATGATGCTACTCCTAAAGAGGTAGAGATAAAGCTGTTTCGACAGTGAATCAGGTCTTGAAGGGTAGTAAATTTCTTAGTTGGGAATAATTGAATCTGAGAGGCTTGCCAGGGATGTTGTAAAAAGTATCCTGCATTGATTAGACGATGAAATTAGCCCCAAAAGTGCCTTGCAGCCTAAGTGGCAGTAAGAGCTCTTCAGCACTCCTGGAGGAGGGCTTCAGCTTCTGGGTAAGAAAGACCTGGGTGAACGGTCCAGTTAACATAGCTCCGTCAACTTGGTCACATTACTTAATATCTCTGAGTCAGTTTCCTAATCTGTAAGGTAATTATAGTACCTACTCCGTAAGGTAGTTTTGGAGCTTAAATGAAAGTACTTAGCATTACTCTGGACATACCTTAAGTATTTCTATATGTTGCTTCTTGTTGTTTTGTAGTAAACTTTTTTTGAAGCATAGTGTGCATAAAGATAAAAGTATACATCTCAATGAATTTTTACAATGTAAACACATTTGTGTAACTACTACCTAGATCAGCAAATAGAACATTGTCAGCACCCAGGAAGCTTCCCTCATGCCCCCTGCCAGTGTTAACTATTGTTGTTATTAAGAAAAAGAAACTGTAATTCCTAGTTGCCAAGGGCTGTGTTTGAAATAAGGACCAGTAAGGAAAAGGGAACCCTTCTGCTGATTTTTGTACATTGCTATAATGACCAACAGGGAATTATTACCTGGCTAGGGTGTAGCCACTAAGATGGTTAGATCCTTTAAATTTAGTCATGGAGAGCAGGATTTGGAGACAGTGAATAAATGCCGTGACTTTTATTCTTAAGCAAACCCTTTCTTTTTGTGTTTGTTGATAGGGCCTAGAGTAGGGATCACTTAGAGATAACACCCTAGGTGTTGGATTTGAGGCAAGGGGACATACTTCCTAACTGTTCTCCTCTGTTTGTGTTAGCCTGATGAAGACTTGTTCAATCCAGACTATGTAGAAGTTGATCGCATCTTGGAGGTGGCCCACACCAAGGATGCAGAAACAGGGGAGGTGGGTATTTGCCTCTCCTGAAGCATCTTCCCTTCTTTCCACGTATTTCACTTGTTTTAACATGTGACCCTTGTCTTAGTGGTATTCCTGTCTAGTCACGTAGGGTGGTTTTTCAGAGGTTGGCAGATACTACTGACTCCTTTAACCTAATAGAACATTAAGTTTCTTTCCTGTTTTCCCACCAGGAGGTAACACATTACCTGGTGAAGTGGTGCTCACTACCATATGAAGAAAGCACGTGGGAGCTAGAGGAAGATGTAGATCCTGCAAAAGTTAAAGAATTTGAATCTCTTCAAGTTCTCCCTGAAATTAAGCATGTGGTAAAGTAGTTTTGTCTCTCTCTGGCACTTCTCGGAACATGTAATTTTATGAACTTTGCAATCATGGAAGTCCACCTGGCTTGTTCCTAGGTGGTTTCTGTGGTATTTTACCTTTGTTACTTCTCATTGAACCCTCAATTCAGTGTTTTCCACCCCAGATCGAACTTTCCCAGCGCCCTTGTCACCTTTAGGTCTCAGGTCTATTTTGATGTATGTGACATTTAAGAAGCTTTGATATTGGCTTAGATTTCTTGGTGTGCGGCTGTTGTATGGAGTCAGTAAAATAAAATTTGTAAGTAATGGCTGGTGTGCAAGAGAAGCTCAGTAGTATCTTTCCTGTTTCTTATCTCTTCATCAGCTACCTCTTTTCTTTGATTTTCCCTTCTTCACTCAACTGGAATATTATTAAGTGGAAGAACTGTCCTTTATCTGCAGATCCCTGTGACTCCCACAGAGAGAACATAGGTTTTTGATAAACATTATTGAATTTATTTGTTTTTCTGATTCTGGATTATTACCACTCAACTGCCAAGATCTCCCAGGGCGCCTGAGAAGTATATAGATTATCCAACAATTAAAAGGAGGGGAGTTGGGATCAGAGCTTTTATTTATTTTTTTATTTTGAGATGGAGTCTTGGTCTGTTGCTGGAGTGCAGTGGCACAATCTCAGCTCACTGCAACCTCCATCTCCCGAGTTCAAGCAATTCTCCTGCCTTGGACTCCTGAGTAGCTAGGAATACAAGCGTGTGCCACCACGCCTGGCTAATTTTTGTATGTTTTTAGCAGAGATGGTGTTTCACCATGTTAAGCTCGTCTTGAACTCCTGACTTCAGGTGATCCGCCTGTCTTGGCCTCCCAAAGTGCTGGGATTACTTTGGCGTGAGCCACCACACCCAGCCCAGAGCTTTATTAAGGTGTAACTAACTTGAAAAGAGAATCAGTTGTTAAAGAATATGGCTATAGGCTGGAATGATCAGTTTCTGTTTAAAAAAACATTGCCATTTTTATATGAAAAACTGTTATCCAGTTCCTTATTAATATTATTTCTTGCTTTTACATCACTGGAAGGTTGATACTCGGAACATTAAACTTAGGTCCCTGTAGGAGTCCATTCAAGAGCAGTGTTTTGTTTTTGTTTTCTTTGGCATATGAAAGGTAGATAGAGGTGTCTCGAGATGCAGAACTGTGATTAGAAACTTACATAGTTAATAGTGTTTTGTTTGCATGGTTGATTATTATTCTTTCAACCCTCTCCCATAAATACTGTTTTCTGCTTTTAATTCAACTTGTCAGTCATCTATTAAGCATTTGCTGTAGGTTGATTCTTGTGTGAGATATGGTAAGAAACAAGGTACAGGCCCTGCCCTCAGGAGCTCACAGTCTAATGGAAGAAGCATGTGTGTGCATGGATAAATAAATACAGCACCAGGCTAATTGTGGTGTGTGGTGTAATGCAGTGACGGACCAGATAGAAAGCAGGGAGAGTTTCATTCTGAAGCTAATTGTAAGTTATTATCTAGAAGCAATCAGGATTCCTAACCATTCTCTCAGCCTGACTCCTACTTAGTTCCCCCAACCTATACGTTACTCAGAAGGTAATAACTATAGTTTGAAACCAGCCTTGGGACAGTGAGATTTACCACTGTCCTCGTTAGTATCCATGTTATGCTCCTAAAACATCATTCTCTATCTATTATGCTGTTTGCTTTCCTCCCTAGGAGCGGCCTGCTTCAGACTCCTGGCAGAAACTTGAGAAGTCTCGCGAGTATAAGAACAGTAACCAGCTCCGGGAGTACCAGCTGGAAGGGATGAACTGGCTTCTTTTTAACTGGTATAACAGGTAAGGAACCAAAACCAGCCCAGATGTTTGTACCCAGAGGTATATTATTGCCTTAGCCTGGAACACCTAGAGTCGCAGTAGCAGACTGGTGAGAGGGAGCAGCATGGCCATCAATTTAGGGTGGTAGTCTTTGCACATTAATCATCCAAGACTTACTTTATTTTTGTCAGCTGTTTCTCCAACCAAAAGGAATGATCTTTAGACATCACTGACTTTGTGCCTTTTTTTTTTGGCCAGCCACACCAAAAGGGTGGGCTCAATCTAGATGAAACAAAATCCAGAATATCCTTTAAAGCTGTTTTCTATTTCTAAATCCTTAACCAAAAAAACAAAAAACAAAACAAAACAAAACCAAAAAATATATATATATATTTATAGGAATATATATATATATATATGGGAATATACAGCTATACAAAAACTTTTAAATATTTTAAAACTTCTTGACTCTTTGTAATAACACTTAAGAGTCAAAAAGTTTTTTAAAAAATTGGAAGTTCATCAGTAAAAAAGTTACAGTAAGCTAGGGTTAATTTATTATTGAAGAAAAAATATTTTTAAATAAATTGAGTGTAGCCTTAGTGTACAGTATTTATAATGTCTACAGTGGTGTGCGGTAATGTCCTCGGCCTTCACATCACCCACCACTCACTCACTCACTCACCCAGAGCAACTTCCAGTCCTATAAGCTCCATTCATGGTAAGTCCCCTGTATAGGTATACCTTTTTTGTTTTTGTTTTTTAATGTTTATTTTTTAGTTCTAGGGTACATGTGCCAGATATGCAGGTTTGTTACATAGGTAAATGTGTGCCATGGTGGTTTGCTGCACCTGTCAACCTATCACCTAGGTATACCATTTTATTTTTTTATTTTTTATTTTTGTTGAGACAGAGCCTCGCTCTGTCACCCATGCTGGAGTGCAATGGTGTGATCTCAGCTCTCTGCAACCTCCGCCTCCTGGGTTCAAACGATTCTTCTGCCTCTGCCTCCCTAGTAGCTGGGATTACAGGCACTTGCCACCTCGCCCTGCTAGTTTTTGTATTTTTAATAGAGATGGGGTTTCACCATGTTGGCCAGGTTCGTCTCGAACTCCTGACCTCAGGTGATCTGCCCGCGTTGGCCTCCCAAAATGTTGGGATTACAGGTGTGAGCCACCGCGCCTGGCCAGGTATACCACTTTTAATCTATATTTTGCTCTATTTTTACTTTGCCTTTTCTGTGTTTAGACATGTTTAGATACACAAATACTTACTATGGTGTTACAATTGCCTACGGTATTCACTGCAATGACATGCTGTATAGGCTTATAGCCTAGAAGCCATAGGCTATATACCACATAGCCTAGGTATGTAGTAGGCTATACCATCTAGGTTTAGTAGGTACACTCTATGATGTTCCCACAATGAAACAGTCACGCAGTGATGCGTTTCTCGGAGTGTGACCCCATCCTTAAGTGACACATGACTGTATTTTCTCCCAAATTAGCATGGTTCTGTTTTGGAAGTAGGCAAAGTAGGAATAATAATAATAACTAACCTCAGTTTAATATGTGAAATGATGATAAAGCCTTCAATGATAATCTTACAGGTATGTGAAGCATCTTTTCAAGTTATAACCAGCCTCTATAAGTTTCCTATATTGATAATGAATTACCTATATTTCTCACTCTCTGCAGAAAAAACTGTATTTTGGCTGATGAGATGGGCCTAGGGAAAACCATCCAGTCCATCACATTCCTTTCAGAAATATTTCTGAGAGGAATCCACGGCCCTTTTCTCATTATCGCCCCTCTCTCCACCATCACTAACTGGGAGCGGGAGTTCCGGACATGGACAGAGATGAATGCCATTGTGTACCACGGCAGCCAGATCAGCAGGCAGATGATCCAGCAGTATGAAATGGTGTACAGAGACGCCCAGGTGAGCCTCACGTGAGATCAGAGACCCAGGGACTGCCTAAGCTCAGAACAGCCTTTCTGTCACTTATCTTCAGAAGTTCCAGTGCCCTGCATCTTGTATTAATGTGGAATGACTTTGTAATATGTTTGTCAAGGCTGACTCCTGCTCTCCCTGGTAGCTCGTTTTAATTTATGATACAACACAGGATTGTAGGGCATGCTGTCTAAACTCTGAGATATACCTTTTTTAGGACACTGAAAGTTTGACTTACTTATTGGTTTATGAAGTTACTTTTATATGCAGAAGATTTTATCTGAATTGTTATGTGTTCAGTGAAGAAAGTGAGCAAAAGAATTACTATACAGAGAATGGATTCCCAGCCAGGGAGTTTGGAGAGGAGGTTAACAGATTTGACAGAGAAGGATAAAGAGAAAATAGGTTTCAAATCATTAGAAACCCAACAGCAACATTTTCTCTTTAAGTTTTTAAGTGCTGTCACTTAGCTGAATATAGTTGTGTGTTTGTCCTGCACATTGGTTTTTATAATTAAGGTAAAAATTAAACGATTTCAATCAGAGGAAAGCCAGTGGTCTCTCCAGAGGTTTCAAAAACAGCAGAGACACTTGGAAGACATTTAAGAAGTGCTCTAACATGATGCAGCTCTGCTCTTGAAATGTGATGGCAACACCAAGACAGTCTGAAAAACAAAGCTGTGTCCTGCCTAGTAGCGCTTGTCTTAGGTGCATCAGAATCATTACCTTCAATCTGTGCTAGAACTCAAATTATAAGGTGAAATTAAGTCTGAAAAATAGCAGAGAGTTTCCTTTGGGCATTCAAACTATGCATGGTTTAGATGGACTCCTGGCTGGGGACTTGTGAACAACACCTATCTGATTTCCTTATCATGACAGCTAATAAATAAAAATGCTCCCTTGCTGTGCCTTCCATATTGCCCATCCTTCTCACCTTTGTGAGGGCAGATGTTGTCTCGCTTCTGTTTCATTGATGGTGTGAGGCCTTCTGGCTAACTAGCTCGTTAATTCTTATATTCTCTTTTCTCACATGAGGAAAAGCAGTGCTTGTCTTCTCACCTAGGCCCCAGCATCTGTAGTGCTGCCTCCTGTAGTCCAGCAGATATTAGCAGAATTCTATAGCCATGGTGTAAAGCTTTGACTTTGGTTGTGTCATCCTCAGGGAAACCCCCTTTCAGGAGTCTTCAAGTTCCACGTCGTCATCACAACATTTGAAATGATCCTAGCAGACTGCCCAGAGTTGAAGAAGATTCACTGGAGCTGTGTGATAATTGATGAAGCCCACAGACTGAAGAATAGGAACTGCAAACTTCTGGAGGGTCTAAAGCTTATGGCCCTGGTGAGAGTTAGCATCTCTTTACATAAACACAGGTTCCTTTTGTTCAGCTTGGAGGAAACACTCTTTAGCCATTCTGCATGTAACTTATTTCTGCCTAGTCGTTTTACATTAGATTTTCTTTTTTGGTCTCTATAACTGCAATAGTATAGGAATTAAGATTTTTTGGTTACAAACTGGGTCAACAATTTGACCTTTGCCACAGATTGATTTCCATAGACTTAGGAGGACTCTTAAATACCATGAAATATATGACTTGGAAATGTAAGGTGTTTTGGCTGGTTTCCAGGCCCCTAAATGAACTGGTACCAAAGATGATGCCCTTTTAACATTACTGCCTTGGCACAGTGCCCAGTATCTGGTGGGGAGGCACTCAATAATATTTAGTGAATGAGTGAATAGTTGCTTTAATTAACATGAACGTGCTGCTGGAATCAGTGATGTGAAAGGAAGGTTGATTCGTTTATTGACTGTACCCCTATGATGGCATATTATCTTTTCATTAAAGCAGATCAGAATTGCCCCAAATTGAGCACTCAATGCCCTGGCTTAATTTTCCCCACGAAAATGCACTATTTTGATGGCTCAAGCACTGTCCATCATGTATGTTTAATTTGCGCAGGAACATAAAGTGCTTCTCACTGGAACACCCTTGCAGAACTCTGTGGAGGAGCTCTTCAGTTTGTTAAATTTTCTGGAGCCATCACAGTTTCCTTCAGAGACCGCTTTCTTGGAGGAATTTGGAGATCTGAAAACAGAGGAGCAGGTAATTAGGGACCCAAAGAATTGAGGAGACAGTGTGATCGTTATCTTCATCAAGAAAAGAGCAGGATGCTATGGGGCCAGGATTTAGCAAGTTGTCACGTTCCTGGTAAAATGAGCGTTACCTCCTTTATTTTATGTGTTTGTGTATGTTGGGGCGGGTACGCTGATTATTAGCAGTTCTTATTGCCCCAGAGGATAGATGGGTCCATACCCAAAATATCTTATGCGCCCAAAATATTTTATGTTGGTGTATCGGGCCTCCTTGCTTCACTAATTTCACATATTGTGCGTTCGCTGATTTTGCTTACAGCTCTGGTCTCAGGAGCATGGTGCTTTCTTTTGCTTCCCTCATCCTTCATCCTTTTCCCTTCAAAATCTGCAACTTGTTCCCAGGCCCATCTTCTTGCATACAGCACAATACACAGGTAGTGAGGAAAAGAAGGCAGTCACATACCTGGAGTAGTTGATAAGTCCACTTTTGTCCAGATCAACTGCATTTCTGCAGTTTTCAAGGTCCAGTTCCAAGTCTACCTTGTTGGACTCAAAGCTAATAAAAAACAACTGATAGTAATAAATACTCTACTAGGGATTATAGAATCTCCACTAGGGATTATAGAAATAACCCAGACAAATGTACGTGCCATAAGAGGAACAAATAGTAGAGGTGGTCCTTCAAAGGAGAGACAGGTTACATCTATTTGAGAATTAGAAAAGACTCTAGGGAGAGAGTACAATTTGAAAATGCATCTTGAGGGATGGGCAGCTTTTAACAGGTGTGGAGAGAAGAGGTGGTAACCACTCTGCATAGAAAAAAAAAAACCCAGCATAATCAGAGTCATGGTAGTTATTCACTAGTGGGGAAACATCTGATTAAACTGAAAACAGAGTGGATGAATTGGAAAATATAAGCAGAAGTGTTTAGGGTTATATTGTGGGAAGATGTTGAAAGGTAGTTTGAAGAATTCAGTAGGTAACAGAGAAGCCATGCAAGACCTTATTACAGGAATGACATAATTAGCTCTGCCAAATTAATCCAGCAATGGTGTGTAAGTGGGTTGGGGCAAAGAATGAGGGGAATGAAAAGGTTTGGGAATTTTGCCCACATGTCAAGCGTACACCCTGGGGTTCCAATCTCTTTCTTCCTACTTCTGATGCAAGTCAGGCTTGCATCAGAGCAGTGAATAATCAAACTTAATTCCTACATTTGCCCTATCTATTGATTTTCAAAAGCCAGCTCTAACCTTCTCTCCGTTTTTGGACCATTAGAAATGCATCCTCTTCTCCCATTGCACTTAATTTGTGGTATGCATTTTTTCTTCTTCCTAGACAAAAGATCTCCTTGAGGACAAGGCCCACATCTTCTCCCAAGTTGTGTTTGTTGTATTGACCAGCACAATGTCTGGCATATAGTAAACTCTAAATGATTCAAGGTATGAACCAAGAGAAGGGCAAAAGCTGAACCCAGCATGTGGCAGATTGACATTTGTCCCTATCTTTAACAATCAGCTAGCTGTGTCTTTTCTCTTTAGGTTCTTATATAGTAATTCCTTACCCATATGGGGGATTCGATTTCTAAGTACCCTTGGTTGGTAAAAATGAAAGTCTCATAAAAAGATTAAGATTGGAGTTAGGTAGGAGAAAACCATAAAAATGACATCAAAACTTCTTTTTAATATTTATATATAACAATTTAATTTTAAATTTTTTGGCTTTATTTTTTTAATCGACAAAATATGTATTTATCACGTACAATATGTTTTGAAATATGTATACATGGTGGAATGGCTAAATAGAGCTAATTAGCACATGCTTTTTGTGAGAACATTCAAAATCCACTCTCAGCAATCTTCAGAAATACTGTACATTGTTATTAACTGTAGTCACCATGTTGTTCAGTAGATCTCTTGAACTTATTCCACTTGTCTAACTAAAATTTTGTATCCTTTGAACAATACCTCCCTACCCCGCCCCACCCCCCAGTCCCTGGTAACCACTACTCTAATCTCTGCTCTATGAGATGTCTGTATTTTAAAACACAGTAAATAAACGTTCTGGAAAGCATCTGTTTGCAAAATAAAGCATGTTCATCATTGTCTAAAATGTGCTTTTGTAAGTAACTCTTCTAAATCACTCTCTGTAAATCACTTTATATTTCTTCAGGAAGCAATCTCGCAGCACACAACTTGTTTATGCAGAGTCTACCCCTTTTAAATTTTTGAACAGCCGTTTCTGACTTGAAACGTGATTTCTTTTGCACTTTCATCTTCCCTTATTTTGTTTTACCATCAGAGTTAATCTTACCGGTATCATGTTTTAGCTCCAGGTTAACTCAGGTACTTTGACTTTGAATCCCTCAGTCTGTCATTGTCTCACTGGGAGGGGGAACAAGTCACCTTGCTGGTGCAGTCAGTTGCATAAAGATCTGCTGTCCAGGCCTGTGCTTTTAGGGGAAGAACAGACAAATTGTAGCAAAGAACACCATCAGACTTAAAGTGCCCCTGATGTGACAGATTCCATGATAGAGTAGATGTCACCTATAACATTAGTTCTTTACATACTGCTACACCCAAGCATGTATGCTGCTATTGTTACTTAAAAGGTATAGGAGGAATTGTTTTCCAGATCATCTCTACTTCTTACTCCATTCTCTCAGCGTCTAAGTTTCCTTGTAATATATCACTCATACCTCCGAACATAATTTAAAATACTCTTCAGGTAATTACTGTGCATGTGGTGTGTGTATTAGAGAAAGAATGACAGAGAGACATGTTTTCTCCATCCTAGAGAATAGGTACTCTTTTATACCTTTCTCCCTTTTTATCTTCTGAGATTGCCACTAGATTCTCAGTAATTGCTTGTGAATTAAAATCATATCCCTTATTCCCTTTCAGTACTATTATAAACTCTCCATTTTCAGGGGTCGATCATAATCTTTCTTTTAGTCTACTACCACAGTACTATGGGTAAATGTTCAAGAAATTAGAGTGAAGGTTGGAATACCCCAGTAATCGTTAACTTGGGATTGAGGCAGGTAACTAGGTCTCATTTCCCTGGACAGGTAAAGAAACTGCAGTCTATCCTAAAACCAATGATGCTTCGGCGGCTGAAAGATGATGTGGAAAAGAACCTTGCTCCCAAACAAGAGACGATCATTGAGGTGGAACTGACCAATATCCAGAAAAAGTACTACCGTGCCATCCTCGAGAAGAACTTTTCCTTCCTGACCAAGGGGGCAAATCAGCACAACATGCCCAATCTCATCAACACCATGATGGAGCTGAGGAAGTGCTGTAACCATCCCTACCTGATCAATGGTGAGTCAGGGGCACTAGGAAGTAACTCAGGACTGCCATGACCTCTGCGAGAAGCTAATGATAATCAAATAACTCATGTATTGAATTTTCATTATATGCTAGGATGTACGCATTCTCACCTTTTTACAGAGTATAAAACTGAGATTCAGAGAGCTTGATGAATTTGCCTAAGTGGTATAGCTACTAAGGACCAAGAGCCAAGGTTTGAACTTAACTTCTGCCAACAAGCTGCCTCACAGCATGTACTCTGCCGGGCAGAAGATGGATATCACTCACCAGTTTGCTGCCCTTTATTTGTTCAAAGTCTGGCCCACACTTTCTACTTGGGGACAGGGAAATGTGTTACTTAGTTGAATCAGTGAAAGTGCTGCAATGAGATTAAAACTCTCTGTAGACAAATTAACAGTTAACCAAACTAGTTAGAGAAAATGTTGGGAGGATTTTTTTTTACTATGAAACTTTTGGAGAAATTTTAAAATCAAAATGTGGCTTGGATTATCTTACAGTCTTTGTGATGTCAAGAGGTATGAAAGTCCTTCTTGTCTGGGAAGGTTTCTTTACTTGGGTGAGTCAGCTTAGGACTTGGTATCTCAGATCCTCTCTCTACTTGGTGAGACTTCCCAGGAGAGTGGAGCACCCGCATTCTCTCCTGCTGCCACTGCAGAGCCCTCTGCTGAAGGCACAGACCAAAGAGTGCACCCAGCATCTCCTCACTGGACTGCTGGTCTAGGACCTAAGAATTCACTTCATTTTTCCCAGGATCTGTAAAGCAGAGTACAACCTTTATCCTTATATTCTGTCCGAGGAATAGTTTTGTTCCATTCCTTTTCAGGAGCAGAGGAGAAAATTCTAGAAGATTTCCGAAAAACCCACAGCCCTGATGCCCCTGACTTTCAGCTGCAGGCCATGATTCAGGCAGCAGGAAAGCTTGTGTTGATTGATAAACTACTCCCTAAGCTGATTGCAGGTGGCCACAAAGTACTCATCTTCTCCCAGATGGTGCGCTGCCTCGACATCCTAGAAGATTACCTCATCCAGAGAAGGTGAGACTTGTGTCAAAGCTCTGCATTCAACAATGGGACAGTTCCTTTCCTTTGATATTTTTTTGATCCATTCAAAAATTTTGTTTAAACACAAAACATTCAAAAACGGAGGAAAGGAATCTCCTTTTAAAGATAGACTGAAATTCAGAGTTAAATTTTATGACCAAATGGACCCAAGTTTAACTGTCAAGAGTAAATTTCATGACCTATGATGTACAGTCCTTGCTTTGCTTAAAAAAAAAATTCCACATATTTATTTATATTCACTTTAGTTGGAGGAAATAATTCAAATAGCATTAGAAAGGGCTAAGAAAATAATGTATTTACATTTTTGTTGCTTAATAATGGTGAAAGAAATATATCCTGGAAATCATCACTATATCAAATTCCTGAAAGAGCATAAACTGGCAACTCACAGAGAAAGAATGTGGGGATATTTTATGTCCTTTCTCAGCAAGCCCTCTTAAGGTTTTATGATGCACTGGCTATGGCATCCCAATTTATTTTCTTGTTCATACTCTTAGAATTCCTTGAATCTAAGTTACATTCCTCATGCAAGTAAAAAGTCTGTGGTGCTGTGTGGGTTATTTGGATTCTGTATGGAAACTACATTTGTTACCTCATGTGTATTACTTTAGATTTTCCGTCATTGTGACACATCAATGATCTGAAGATGACAAATGAGTTTTTAAAAATTCATTCTTAATGATAAAAGACTTTCAAGATCATAGAAACTGGTAGCCTAGGCATTGCTAAGTCTAAAGAAAATCTTGTTTTCATAGCAAATCTCGGGTGTCTTAACAGATGTTCTTATTCTTTAACATTCTGTTTGCCCTTGTACATTACATGTACTTTATAGCAAGAGGATTAAAAGAAATGACAAATTAAACTATGGGTATGCTGACACTTAATGTAACATAAATGATTCTTCAAAGTCTGATTAGACAATAAAATAATTCCTCAGAGCTCTATAGGAGAGATTTCTATGTAAAGGATTCTTGAGACTTGTATTACATGAATAAATCAAAACTTGCAAAGCAGTTTTGTAGCTTTCAATTCACTATAGATTAGGAGCCTATTGCCAGAGCATTTGCTTCTTATATTATCTTACTCTTTAAAATATGTACAACTGTTAGTTTGCAGATTTTTAAAAAAGAACCCCCCAAAATGAGTAAAGGTGTATATAACAGACTTTTGGTAAGTACAGAAGTCTTTATTTAGCTCTCTTTTATGCTATTTTCTCTTTATTATTTATTGCTCATTTTGTGTTCAAATTACTTAAGATTGTAGTTTCTCTTGAAAATGCGGAAATAATGTAACACTACCACCTGCACAACTCCCCATTCATCTTGGGGGTTATCTTCTCAGTCTGTTTTTTTCTGCATAAATATGTTTAGCTTTATTGTTTGTTTGAATTGCAGTGCTGTTCTACATTGCACTTTGTAACTCTTATTTTTTATTTAATATATTATGAAATTTTTTTCTTTATTTTTCTACAACAAAATTTTAATGATCTATGTGATACTCTATTTTAAACATTTCCAATTTTTCAGCATTTTAAGGGACTCTATAAATGAATATCCCTTTAAAGTACTTAACGTTTTCATTATTTCTTTAGGATAAATGTCAGTGCACATTTTTAAAAACATTTGATACACTCAGTATTTCCAAAATGCCCTCTAGTTAAGAGTGTTTTATTTATATTCCTTTCCAAAATATCATATGAGAATGCTTTTTTCCATATTCTGATCAATATTGTTTTTACTTCTTAATCTTTGCTAATCCAGTAATTCAAAATTATTCTCTCTTTAATTTGTAATTGTGATTACTAATGAGAGTGAGTATTTTTTCATATTTGTTATTTATATTTCATTTTTGTGGATTGTGTATTCATGTTTTTCATGCATTTTCTCTTGGTCTTTGACTTTTTGTTTATTTATAAGAATTTGTTGCAAAAACTTTCCCCAGTGTTGTTTTTGTTCTTTAATTTTATTTATGAGTATGGGTTTTCATTTATTTTATTTTTTGATGTCCTAAATTTTATAATAGTCAAATCTTTGTCTTAAAACAACTTTAAATCCTTTTTTAGGCCTGAACTTAAGCTTAAATTAATGTGCTTTAAAAGGCTTCTCTCTCATCTTAACCGTGAGACCCATATAAATATTCTGAAGTGTATATATATATATATTTTTTTTTCTTTTTCTGAGACAATGTCTCGCTCTGTCACCTAAGATGAAGTACAGTGGCTCGGTCACTGTGGCCTCAAACTCCTAGGCTGAAGTGGTCCTCCCATCTCAGCCTCCTGAGTAGCTGGATTATAGGCATAGATCACCATACCCAGCTCTTCTTTTCATGTTTATGGCTTCTTCACCCAAGCTGCATCCAACAGGGTTCTTCTGGCCTTAATATTATCATTGCCTTTCTCTTTTTAGTTTAGTTTTTATTTTCATTAAAGTTGTATGTGCACATAATTTAAAGAGCCATATCATTCTATTACACTTAATGAAAAATTATTTGCTAATTCACTCTCTACCTTCCCCCAGTTTCTCATATCCCAGAAGCATTTACTTTCAACTCTTTATGCTATTTCTTTTGGTATTTATAGCTGTATCTAAATAATGATATTAGTTGTAATTTCTTGATATTTTTCAGTTGTAGGTATTATCCGTTCTCACTGTGGAAGATGAATGTTTAGCCTTCTTTCACTGCTCCTCATACCGTCATGTATACAACTTCCTGTCCTCTCATCTTCCCAGTATGCCACATAATACTTTGAGTTAGGTTAATATTTGTTGTTTATTATGACTTAGGAAAATGTGAAATTACAGCTGAGTTATGTCATGTGCTGTTTACTTTTCATTTTTGTACAGTTTTTATTTTCTCTGAAACTAAAAATTATCTTTTTGATTGCTTATTTTTCTATACACCTATTATAATTCAGCAGCAAACTTTACCCTGGTTGTCTAAATCTCTGGTTATGTTCCAACACATCAGTTTCCTCTTCTCTAGGCCATACCTTCTGGGGCCTCCTGACTTCCTCCTCCCTGGCCTGTTGCTGTTCCCCACAGAGTACACAGTTGTCAGCTGTGATCTGCCTTGTTTCTCATGCTGACAGCTTTCTTTTTTTTCCTCTTAAATCAGATCTTCTTGTTGGTGGATTCCATGTTGGAGCACCTCTTCCAGGAGCTCCTGAGAAAGGGTGAATGATAAGTAAATTTTGAGACATTGTCTGAAAATGTTTTACTCTGCTCTCATTCTTAAGGAATCTATTCGCAGGATTTGAGATTCTAGGTTGTAAATCATTTCCCTACAGAATTTTGAAGGTGTTAATCCACTGTCTTCTAGCTTCCAGGGTTGCCATTGAGAAGTTCGAAGCCTGTAGGATTCTTAGTCTGTGTATGTGTTATGTTTGTTCTTTTTAGAAGTTTTTATGTATTCTCTTTGTCCCCAGTCCTATGAAATTTTACAGTGAACTGCTTCATTGGTGCTGGATACTAAATAGATCTTTCCCATCTGAAATCTAAGTTCAGATGCTGGGGAATTTTCTTGACTTTATCTTTCATTATATTTTTTAATTTCACAGAACATTTTTTGTAATTTTTCCATTTTTAATAGCACTGGTTATTTCACAAGTACAGTGTCTTCTCCTGTCTTTCTAAGGCTTATCAGGATAGAATTTTTTTATCTTCATCTGTTTTCTCCAAGTCATATTTTTTCCCATTTGTTTGTATCTGTCTTTCATATTAGAATTTTAGGTTCACTTTTTTTTCCTTTTCTTCCCCCTCCAGCTCTTTACAGTGTTAGTCCACTGTGCCCTGGTCCCCGTGGTTTCTTATGAAAAGTTCTGCAGTCATTCACATTGCTGCTCCCTGTGTGCAATACATTAATTTATTCTGGCTACTTCTAAGATTTTCTTTTTAATTTTTGGTTTTCAGCAGTTTAACTGTGATCATTGGGATTCATCCTGCTTACTGAGCTTCTTGAATTTGTAAATGTATGTCTTTCATCAAATTTGAGAAGCTTTTGATCATTATTTCTTCAATTTCTTTTTTGTTTTTGCCCCATTCTCTTGGTTATTTGTGAGACTAATTACCTGTTTATTTGACCTTGAGATAATTCCCCACAAGTCCATGGGCTCTGTTTTTTTAAAAACCCTTTTTCTCTCTCTTTTATCTGTCTTCAAGTTCACTGACTTTTCTTTATCATCTCCATCATGCTTATTAAGCACACTCTATGCTTTATTTATTAGTTCTAAAATTTCCATTTGGTTCTATGTTTATTAACGTTTTGTTTCTCTGCTGAGTTTTCTTTTCTTTTTATTCATTACTTAACATTCCTTGACTTCATTAAGCGTCAGCATAATAGCAGCTTTAAAGTTCTTGTCTGAATTATAACATTGTAGGTTTGACGTTGACATCTGTTAATTGCCTGTTCCCTTGAGAATGAGAATAACTGAATTTTTCCCTAGCCCTAGTGAATATTATGTTCTAGAGATTTAGAATTCTGTTATATTGCTCTGAAGATGTTGATGGGTTTTATTTGGAAGCAGTTAACTAGGTTGTGCTCAAAGTGCAAACTCTGTCAATGTGTCTGGTAGACAGTAGTTCCCATTTCAGACTACCACAATCAGGCCCGAGCAAGTGTGAGTCAGAAGTCAGCCAGAAACTTGGGCAGAGTTTATACCCAGAGTTTGGGGTTCCCATCTCTATTTCTCTGCTTTCTGGGGGTCCCCTCTCACTCTCTGGCAGTCTTAGTTGCCCTAGGTACCTTCCCCTGATGTGTGTCAGAAAGACAACAGCTTTTATCAATTACAGCTGATCAACACCTTGCCACCATAATTGTGGCCTCCCCTCTGGCTGAAACCACAAATTTCTATTCTTCTCCAAGATCTGTCTGCTTTTGTTAACTCGCCAGTGCCCTCAGGTAGGTTTTTCTGTTCATTCATTTTGGTTTTTATAGTTTGTCCAGAATTTGTCATTTGCTAGAGGGTTGGTGTGTTAGGACCTTGCTCCTCCTTACCAGAAGCAGAGGCTGTGTGTTTCATATCAGCCTCATGTCTGATATCTTAGGCCATCAGATGGGGGGGCACTGTGGAGCCAACCAGAAGCTCTGAGTATGTGAGCAAGGCTTGTTGACTGTGCACTTCACTTTCCATATGGGAGCACTGTGCATCTGGCTGGACCATTTTCATTGGGGACCCTTCTATATCAGCATTTTGAGGTCCTGTTCCTCTTACTCTCCCCTGCCTATAGGTGGAAACTTGACTGTATTTAGAGCTAATTGTGGGGGAGGGGTGAGAAAGAGTAAGGGCTCCCACTATCTCTGTCTCTTTTCCCCTTTTCAGCATGGTACATTCACTTTTAACTGTGGTTAGTATCTTCTAGAGTAGAGAGGATCAAGATCTTTTATTTTACCCTCTTCAAGGCTGGGGTAGGTGATCTAGAGGCTAAGTAAATACTTCAGCAAATATTCCACCAGTTTCCCTGTTTTTAGACTCTGCGTCCCTGCTTTCGGGGATACCTAGTGCCACCAATGTTTGATCCCGTCACGTGTTCTGCACTATTAAATTAGGTTGTGTCTTGCCTGGGATTCTGCCTTCTTCAAATCAAATACGACTTTCCAGATGCCAGAATTTTATCACTTCTGTTCTTTTGGTGGATTTAATTGGGGAAGGGATTATACCTTTTTAAAACATCCTTTACTGTCATTTTACTAGAGGTTTGGAGAGATCAAAGAATTAAATGTGTATGTTAAATTCATAATCTTTAACTGGATTATTTGATTTTTTTTTCATTTAAGTCTTTAGCCCTTCTGTAATTTTGGTAAATGGCATATAATCGAAGTCTTATTTTCATTTATTTCCAAATATATTGAATTTTCTAATTTTCTGTTTAGTAAAATAGTCTATTTCCCTGACTCATAAAATTCTATGAAATATAGGGAGATATTATGTATACTGGATAAATGTCTAGCCTTTCTAGTCTTTTGATCAGTAGTTTTATTCCTTTGCATATTTAATATTCCAGATGAACTTCAGAATTATTTATTTATTTATTTATTTATATTTAGAGACAGGGTATTGCTCTGTCTCCCAAGCTAGAGGGCAGTGGCGTGATCATAGCTCACTGCAACTTTGAACTCATGGGCCCAAGCAATCCTCCCACCTACTCCTCCTGAGTAGCTAGGACGATAGGCACATTGGCCACCATGCCTGTCTGATTTTTCTTTCTTTTTTGTAGAGGTGAGGTCCCACTATGTTGCCCAGGCTCTTCTTGAACTCCTGGCCTCAAGTCATCCTCCCGCCTTGGCCTCCCAAATTGCTGGGGTTACAAGAGTGAGCCACCATACCTGGCTTATTTATCTGTCTCTGTCTGCTCCAGCCCCTAACTCCAGAAAAATGTGTGTGTATGTATAGATGTATGTATACATACATACACATTTACATGTTTATATATACACATATATTCGTGTGTTGGGATTTTTTTAGCTTTTTTTTTTCTTTTTCTTTCTTTCTTTATTTTTTTAGACTGACATCTTTGCAAAATCAAAGAACATGCTTTTCACTACACTTAACTTGGGTCCTTCATATACACTATTGTCTCAGTAAATATTTGTAAAGTGTTTGCATTGTGCTAGAACCTCTGTAGGTATTACAGTCATAATGGTGAACAAAGCATGGCCCCTTAGTGTTATGTTACCAAGCCTTCATATTTCTTACTGAATTAAATCCTAAGTATTTTATATGCTTGTAACTGTTGTGAATGGTTTTTGGTGTTGGTTTTGTTTTGTTTTGCTTTTTTGGTTTTCTTTTTTTAAATTAACTCTTCATGTTTTCCAGTTGATTATTGCTGGGAGACCAGAAAGTTGTTCATTTCCCTTCAGGCCTTTCTAAAGTCAACATTTCTTGTGCCAAAAACATGTCAGTCTACTCCTGGCCAGTCACATAGAGGTTTTTTCCAGGGTGCCACCTGCTGCTTGTTGATACTTGATAGTATTTGATAGTGACTCAGAATTACAGTTTGAACCATATCAACTCCTAGGGATCTTGTTAAAAATACAGTTGTCACAGAGGGTTAATTGCTGTGCTGAAGTTCAGTGTGGAAAATTTTATGATGTCTGATTTCTTCATTCAGACTTATTAGCCCTCAAGGTTTTCTTTGTTCTTGAGCCTCTTTGCCTCTCCAGCTGTCAGTTTGGTTTTGTTCCCATTTAATTTCATGCCAGACTCTCACACAGGAATGAGGGCATGGCCAGAGGATCTGGCTCAAAAGTGAGGGAGGAGCTCAAATAATTCAATTTTTTTTTAAGTTTTGTGTTCTTTGAGAGCACTCCCTCAAAACTAAACAAGTGATAGAGAATTATTCCATTCATCTTGTTCTAAAAGTTCTAAAAGTGTTGTTACATTATAATACACAAAAACACTTATCTAATTTTATGGGAACGGTTTCCCTAGGTGATGGCTGAGCTGTATCATCACTATGTATTGATTTCCCCTCCCCCTTAAGGCTGTGCTAATTCCCAGCCTCACTCTGATCTATGTGGTATCTAACTCTGATGACTAGGGGTGTTTTTTCAAAGAGCATGGAGTCTTTTCCTGCAGCATTAATCATTCATATGTGTGTTGGTGGTGGAGGGTAGAGGGGGGGAAATGGCTGTTCTTTAATTGAATCTCAACCCTGTTTTTGACTCCAAGTATTGTGCTTCCTCTATTGCATCACATACATGGCTAAACTTCTGTAACTGTTACAGATCCTGAGCACTGATTTATCAAAAATGTTTTGATACCTAGTTATAGTTTCTGTTTCCATCTCCTGTTAGAGTTACAAGCTTCCAAAGTTTACTAGTGTCCCTTATGTATTCTCCATTTCTCTTCTTAAGTGTTTAGGAAAACCTTTCTGTCCTACTGCATTGAAATGTAAGGTACAGTGTGAAAGCTTTAAGTCAAATGGATGTGGGTTTAACTCACTTAACCAGCTAGATGACTGAGCAAGATATGTTACTTGTATGAATTTTTGTTTTGTTCTGTTTTTAGGTTTCCTAAGTGTAAAATGAGGATGATAATAGAAACTACCTCATAGGACTATTGTGAGAATTAAATGTAATGATGTGTACCAAGCATGTACCACAGGGTTTGGCACAGAACTGACACTTAAGAATTTGCTGCTAATATTATTATTGTGGTTGTTAGGAATAATGGTGATAATTAAATCTATAGAATTCAGACATCTAATCCTTAGCCTTTGTCTATGACACAAAATCTTTTTAGTCTGCCTTCATGACAATCCTATCACCACCGCCTGTTTCATTTGCTGCTGTAGTTCTCATTTATTATTCTTGAGTGTATTATAATTTTAAATAAAGAGGAAACAAAAAATTGTACCCTTAATTTTAGGTATGGTTGTATTGTGGCTTTATAAAAGGGAGACAGCATTTTCAGACTTGTTTCTTTGCTTTATACATGTCCCTTATAAGTCTGAGTTGGTCAGGTTTCTTCATGTACATTTCCTTGGGTGGTTTCTTTACATGGCTTTTTCTTTTCTTCAAGGAAGTCAAGATCATATTGCCAGATTTAGTTTTCCAAAGCCATCCTCACACAGAATTATCTACCCCTAGGTTATCTATCCTTATTTTCTTCCTGCTTATTTATGTAAGTTTTAGAGATCTGATTTCCCAAATTCTGGGCTGCTGATAGGATTTTGCCAGGATTCATGGTCTTGGCTGTTGTCGGTTTGGGGTGATTTGGTTCTTTTCTCACACGTTTCCTATTACTTCTGCTTCACTAACCAGTTCATGTTTGTGGGTCAAAATTGGGCCCAGAGTAACATCCCCCTTGTTAATTCATATGTTGTCAGGGGTAAATAGGAAAAGAATAAGACGCCCAGCAGCTGTCCAGATTGCTGCTATATCTTCTGTGTTAATCCCATGATCTCCAACGTAAAGGTCTCTTCTGTTTTCCCTCTAGATGGGCATGGGTAATATGTTCCCTTAACAGTTTCATTTCTTATTCTTTTTCCTTTTACCCTTACCTCTACCATGCACTCCACCCCTGTTTCTTGATTTTCCACACAGTTGTATGCCTTCTCAATGATACTCAGCTTTACTTTCCTACTTTATTTTCCTCTAACTATTCATCAGTTCCTTCACCCCACACACACACCTCAAAAACCTTTCCTGTGATTTATGCTTGGCAATGTACTACTGTCCAGAAGACCTTGGTTTCAGCTATAAACTTGGAGGTTTTGCTGTGTACCTCCAAAGCTTTGAGGAACTTGGTAGGCTAGAAGTGACATAAAAGGACTGCCTCACAGTTTAATCTTCTTACCATTTCTGGTTTACCCTAAAGTAGCTGGAAACTGATGAAAACTCTGAGTCCTTTTTGTGAGCACTACTCAAAGTAGATGGGAAAGGCTTTTGTTTGTTTTTCCTGGTCTTATGCTTAAATTTAAGTATAAACTGGGAATACTTGAGAGAATAAGTTGCTTGGGCTATGGGGATCGGTATTTTATGATTTAATTCTTCTAGTCCTTCTTAGTTTACAGCTGGTTTTTTTTTGCTTTGTTTTGTTTTTTTGTTTTGTTCTGTTTTGAGAGGGGGGCATTTTGCAATACAGTTTTAAGTGTCTGCCCTGCTGCATATGTAGGGGGCAGGATTCCTTCTAGACTGCTGTCATTTGGTCCAAATTTAGAAGTGAGGGATTTAAGGCCATCAGTCGACAGCTTCCTGCATTTTGTGCTGTTCTCCATTGAAGTCATGATTAACGCCTGGGCTTTCGTTCATTTGGGTCCCCTCAGATACACCTATGAGCGAATTGATGGGCGAGTACGGGGAAACCTGCGCCAGGCAGCCATCGACCGGTTCTGTAAGCCAGATTCAGACCGCTTTGTCTTTCTTCTGTGCACCAGAGCGGGAGGCCTGGGGATCAATCTCACAGCTGCTGATACCTGCATCATATTTGATTCTGACTGGAACCCACAAAATGACTTGCAGGTAACCACTAGGATGATTGCTGTTTACCTTAGCTGCCCTGGATCCCAGAACATCATGATAGGGCCTGGCTTGGCTACAGAGCATCCGTGATGCTCTATGCTATGGTGTCAGCTGGATGACAGGCTTAGGGCCTTGGTCAGGGGGTGAAACTGAATGAAAAGTAAATGTCGACCCTTCCAACTAATTAGAGAGTGTGGTTCTTTCCGTTAAATCAAATGATGTTTCACAGTGGTAGCCTCCAGATATAGACTAGAACTACTAATTATTATTATTATCAGAAATAAAGATACTAATCTTGACTAATGCTCTAATTCTTGATATGTAGACGATTCGGGCATTTTCACTCAGTTTGTTGGTTAAGATGGTCATGTGTCATGTACAGTAAACGAGTTAACCCAGAGGGGTGGGAAAGTTCCATGGTGTGGCAGGGGCAACAGTGGCAGCCTCACTAGTTCCTTTGTTCTCCACACAGTGCAACACATTAGAGTTTATATGTGTCCAGTTAAGTGGCTTTATGGATTCTATTTTCTGGTTTTAGCCAAACTAAATAACCGGTGGCTTTAAAAGATTACTGCAAAGATTGGAGTTGATATATTTTTTGAAAGCTAACATAAACAAGCAAGAAAATGGCAGGGTCCAGTTTGGAGTTCTTCATCAACCCTGTTTCAAAGTAAAAACAATGGCATTCTAACTATATGGGACGCGAAGTCAGCCAAAAAGATTCTAACTTGTCAATAAGACAATATGGAATATAGATTTACAGCCATTATCATTAATGAAGAACTTCATCTTAAGTGTATATCGCATATATCTTGAGATATTTACTAACACTAGGATTATGGGTATGTGGTGAAGAAGGTGGGTGGGTGGCTCAAAACCTTTTTCATAATACAGGTGATTGATCAAAAGAAGTTTGGAGGCTGCTGTTTGACAGGATTCAAGAGGTACTCTAGGGGATACTGCAAGAGAAGGGATGCAGGGAAGAGGGCACTAAGCCAATGGGTGTCTGGGCTTCTTCTCTACCCACCCACTCCTACAGAGTTGCTGCTTTGTCTATTCCTTTCTTTTTTTTTTTTTTTTGAGACAGAGTCTCACTCCATTCCCCCAGGGTGGAATGCAGTGCGGCAATCTCAGCTCACTGCAACCTCTGCCTGCCAGGTTCAAGCGATTCTCTTGCCTCTTGCCTCAGCCTCCTGCGTAGCTGGGATTACAGGGGCCTGCCACCACGCCTGGCTAATTTTTGTATTTTTAGTAAAGATGGGATTTTGCTATGTTGGGCATGCCGGTCTTGAACTCCTGACCTCAGGTGATCCGCCCGCCTCGGCCTCCCAAAGTGGTGGGATTAGAGGTGTCAGCCACTGCACCCGGCCCTTTGTCTTTTTCATTTAATGAGTTTCCACATAAACTTGTGTTTGAAGAAAGCAGCCTACTAGTTGAAAACTAGTGCTTTAAATTAAGTTAGTGATGGTTAAAACTCTGAAAATAATGGCCGGGCACGGTGGCTTATGCCTGTAATCCCAGCACTTTGGGAAGCCAAGGCAGGCGGATCACAAGGTCAGGAGATTGAGACCATCCTGACTAACACAGTGAAACCCCGTCTCTACTAAAAATACAAAAAAAAATTAGCCAGGCGTGGTGGGTGCCTGTAATCCCAGCTACTCGGGAGACTAAGGCAGGAGAATGGCATGAACCCACGAGGCGGAGCTTGCAGTGAGCCGAGATTGTGCCACTGCACTCCAGCCTGGGCAACAGAGCGAGACTCGGTCTCAAAAAAAAAAAAACTGAAAATATTTCATGGTATACATCATAAAGTAAACTATGTTCAACATGCAACCTCAAAGAAAACCAGTGATCTCAAAGAAAACCAGTGATTATAACTAGCTTACCATCTTTCTACTGGTGAAAAGATGGCTGAATATGAGTTGCTGGATGTAATGAATAACCCATTTTTAAAGGAGTAACACACTCAACACTAAAATAATAATAAGCAAAAACTAATATTTGATCAGCTCACTATCAAGAACCTACTTACGACAATTATACAGATTAAGGGGTGGAAAATGATTGCCTTTTGGCCTGCTGCCTGTTTTTAAAAATAGTTTTATTGGAATATAATCACACCCGTTTGTAAGTATATAATCTGTGGCTGCTTTCATGTTACAGTGGCAGAATTGAGTAGTTGCAACAGAGACCTCATAGCCAACAAAACCTAAAATATTTACTATCAGGCCCTTTTCAGATTTTTGCCAACCCCAAAACATGATTTCTTAAGTCCTTGACAGTTACAAAGTTCTCGGCTTCTTTGTGATGCTCACCTGACTGTGAGGCATGGCAGCTGGAAGAATAGTGGCACAGGAAACCAAAGTTGAATGGCCAGTTTGAGGACACCTCGGCTGGACATGCCTGAAGCGATATCCAGGAGGATCAGTGGAAGCATGGGGCTGGCAACAGCTCATGGCCAGAGGCAAACATTTTGGAATGACCATGCTTCACCTAGGTGAAGTCTACACATTACCAGTTGAATAGGTGCAATGCCATGGGAAAAGCAAGAACGTGAATAGTCAAACCTAGTGGAGAAGGCAAAGTCATCTGAGGTGACTGATTTATATGTGTAGCAACCAGGGAAGTTGGGTGGGACTGTCCAGAATAAGGGTCTTGGATGAAGGGAGAAGCTTTGGAGTAGCTGTTCTCAATGTCCACTGCTGGGGAGCTGGCAAGAGATGAATTAAGGAATAGCAGTGAAGTCCAAACTGAAATTGGATAGTGTGAACTTTACTAGTGTGTTGAGTCAGTTTCTGAACTTCCTCTAATGCTCAGCCTGAATGAAGAAACGAAGAAGACCAGCACTGAGGAAGATCCAAGGTGGAAGATGCAGGGTGGGAGTTCGTAAGGAGAATGCAGCAAAAGGTTACTGTGTGAGAGAGAACATGTGTACAACTCGGAAGGAATCATCCTTTTTTTTTTTTTAAAGTCTAGCCAGTCTAGGTAGAGATGAAGGAATTGAGAAATGTAGAGCAGTTTTAGGACAGGGGACTAGAAGAGTGGCTATTAGTTAGTGGGACTGGTGGGCTATAAAAAGATGTGATAGAGAGAGGAAGGTCCAAATTCTGTGTCTCCCACAGAGATGGAGCAAGGTTCTTGCTTGCTTGGTGTGATGAGGAAGAGAGCAAGAGGGCTTTCCAAAAGCAAGAGGGCTGGAGACTGTCCACAGAATGATGCACTCTCCCCACACAAACACACACATTCCCACGCCCCTTGGCATTTGCCCTTGCACCCACGTGCTATAAATATAGAATATTTACTCCAGAGAGAGTGTGGAGGCTGGGACGCTGACATCATTGTGTTCCTCTTCCCAAATCCTCCTGTCCTCCTCTTGCTTTCCAGAAAATGAAGGCACAGGTTCATTAGGATCCAGGATAGAAACTGGGTACTACTTAGGAATAACAAAAGAGATTAAAGTTAGCACTGAGAGATCTTAGCAATATTACTGTTTTATCTGGACTATTAAAAGGAAAACCAATTTTTACGTCCCCTTAATGGGGAGATCTTATCTAGAGTCAGGTAAGTGCCACACCCTCTCTCAAACCTTGAATATGTCTGTATTCGCATCAATGTGTGTACAAAATTGAAGGTTATCAGTTTGCCTTTTCTCACCATCATTTAGAAGACAGAGGCTCTAATTTAGTCCTGGCACATCAGCAGCAGCAAGTGTTGTCTAGGTTTCCCATAACACCTAAGGTTAAGAAGTGGCACAGGACGATAACAGTAGCCTGAGAAGGAAAGACAAAGGAAAAACTGGGTTTTTGTCTTCTTTCTTCTTAGGAGTAGGCCACTGTTGCTGCTACCCCTGAAGGCAAAGGCAGACCTCTTGGGAATAACATGCTATCATGCTCCCCTCAGAGACCACAAACCTTCCTCTTCCATTGTTCTGTGATACTTCTGCTTCTTATTCTCTGGGGGACTTTTTGCATCTGGAGGCAAGAGATCCTTAGGGTTGAAGAGGGTTCAAGATAACAACGGTGGGCTGCACAGTTCTGCGTCCTTCCTGCTGCTAAGGTCCCTGAAGGCAGAATTCAGAAAGTGTGGGAGCAGATGTCCTGGCCAAGAGCACAGCCACAAGATAATGCAGCTGCTGCATGTCTGCAGGATTTTGGAAGTCAGTTGGGAGTCCAGAGTGAGGAGACAGGCCCTTTCCACAATCGCCAGAAGCAGGACTCAGGAAACTCCCACACTGCTCCGAGGGGAAGAGGTATTGGACCCCTGTGCCTCTTCCTCTGCTGCCACCACATTGCTTGCACCCCCTATTTCTTACCTAATTTTATGTTTTCAGAAGACAGGATCTCGCTATGTTATCCAGGCTAGAGTGCAGTGGCTCGAAGTCAGTTCACCGCAGCCTCCACCCACCTCAGCCTCCTGAATAGCTGGAGTTATAGTCATGAGCCCCATGCCTGGCTAATTTTTGTAATTTTTGTAGAGAAGAGGTTTCAACATGTTACCTAGGCTGGTCTTGAACTCCTGAGCTCAAGTGATCCACCCACCTCAGCCTCCCGAAGTGCTGAGATTACAGGCATGAGCCACCACGCCCCACCTACATCCCCTGTTTCTTGACAGTACGTGTGTCTGGAGTTTGGAGGATTGCACCTGTTGAGTCTTCTTTGCTATGAGAAAGTAATAATTTGTAAATGTATACACAAATACTATACTATGTAGTCATTTATTCAGTGACTATCTCTTGATCACTGGGACATGCCAGGTGTTACTTAAAGTATTGGAGAGACACTGGTGAGCTAGACTGACAGTTTTATTTCAGTAGGATAGGCAGACAATAAATGAGGAAAAATAAGATAATTACAGATAAGCAGTATTTACTGCAAAGAAAATAAAATAAGGGGATAAGAATGATGGAAGTTGGGGCTGGGCGCGGTGGCTCATGCCTGTAATCCCAGCACTTTGGGAGGCCGAGGCGGGCAGATCACCTGAGGTCAGGAGTTCAAGACCAGCCTGGCCAATATCGTGAAATGCTGTCTCTACTAAAAATACAAAAATTAGCCAGGCGTCGGGATGGGCACCTGTAATCCCAGCTACTTGGGAGGCTGAGGCAGGAGAATCGCTTGAACCTGGGAGGTGGAGGTTGCACTGAGCCAAGATCATGCCATTGCACTCCAGCCTGGGCAACAAGAGCAAAACTCCATCTCCCAAAAAAAAAAAAAAAAGAATGATAGGAGTTGGTTGCCCTGATTTAGAAAGAGTGGTCTAGGAAGACTTCTTTAAGAAGATGACATTTGAGCAGAAATAATGAAAAGGATCTAAAATTATGAGATAAGAAGGAAGAATATTCCAGACAAAACAAAGAGTATGACCATGTAGAGTGGGATGTGAATAGGCGGCACGTCTGAAGCACAGGATGGGACAGGCACTTATTACACAGCACCAGTCCTAAATAGAATGAGTCACGTTCCTTTTGAGTACGCCGCTGCCTCTCCTTGTCAATGTCCTCTTTTTTTTTTTTTTTTAACTCCTTTCTGTTGCCCAAAAGCACCCCTTTCCCATTCTGTGAATTCATCTGTCCTTCCTGTTCTCAGCTAGTTCTTGACTGACTTATCTGACAGATTTAACCCCAGAGAGGGTCTTGTTATGTTGACAGCCCAGGCTGGTCTCAAACCCCTGGCCTCAAGCAGTCCTGCCTCAGACTCCCAAGGTGCTGGGAAGATGGGCGAGAGCCACAACACCCAGCCTTTTTTTTTTTTTTTTTTTTTTTTTCATTGTCAGAACGTCGTTATTCATTTCTCTTTGGCTTTTGTCCACCCCAAATGTATTAAAAAATAAAGAAGAAATTGTGAGCACTATAATTAGAGCACTATAATTTTCTCCAGGGATTAGGGCTGGGGGATTATAGCACCACTGCCCCCTAGTTGTGTTTTACTCCAAAGGTTTTTATATGTATACCTTTGCTGATGCATTTCCCTTGGACTTCATCTGAGTTCCTGGCCCTAGTTCTGAATGTTTCTTTCTCTATCTCATGTTTTTTTTTATTGAGTTCTCTTAGGAAAATAAAGAATGGTTTGAGATTTGACTGTAAAATGATGAGTCTCTTAAATGTGATGGGACTTATCCTGTTGTCCTTCAGGTAAGTCATCTTGGGGGAGAACATGTTTATTTCTATGTAATTTAGCTGCTTGTGGCCTCGGCTCTCCCAAACAGGGGTTTATTTTTCTCAGTTAACAAGTCCAGAGGTAGGCAGTTGAGGACTAGTGAGGTGACATCATAGTGTCATCGGAGTCCCGGGTTCCTCCTGTCTTTCTGCTCCACTGGCCTCAGTATGTGTGGTTTACAGCCTCTTGGTTCCATCTCAGAAAGGAAAAATAAGGAAAGCAGGCATGTTGGTTTTTACAGGAAAGCAGAACTTTGGCACATATCTTCAGGAGGTTCTGTTACACCTCATTGTCTAGGACTGTGTTACCTGGCCATCCCTGGGAGGCTGGGAGTAGTTTCGGTTGAAAATGTTGCTGCCCTGTACAAGAGTCAGGGTTCTGGCAGTGAGCAAGAAAGAGATGGATGCTACGAAGGCCATTAGCAGTGTCTGCAGGGCTCCTCCATCAGATCTTTTGCTCAGAACTTTTCAGCTCCCTCTTGTAATTTACCCTCAACACCATATGAGCCAGAAAAAGAAATCAGGGTCAGTACTTAAGGGCCGTATAAGATTACTATCTTGAAGGTCTCATAAACCATATTGTTCACCATGATCACTTCCTTAATTTGCAGAATCATTCATCAAACCTCCCAGTAGCAGAGATTTGCTACCGCTAAAGATACAGAAAGAAGGTCCAGCAACGAATTATAATAGCTAAAGACTACACAACTGAATTGTTCAGCAATAGATGACTAATTGAATAAACTGTAATATATTCAGCTTTGAAAAAAGAATGAAGACTATCACTATATCCTGCTATACCCTGGATTGTACCCTGGATATATTGTTAAGCGGGGAAAAAAAATAAGGTGGAAAAAATTTGTACTGTATGCTAGCATTTATCTTAAAAGGCTGTGTGTCTTTGTCTGTCCCTTCCCTACCAAGGGTAAAACTAAA